>NC_000011.10:112626970-112930000 GCF_000001405.40 Homo sapiens
GAGGCAAAGTAAAAGCAAAATGATCCAAGAGTCGGAGGCAGACAGGCCAGTACTAGTTTCTCTGTTGGTCAGGTAAGGAAATGCAAGGTTACAGGAGTGTTGCAGGCATATCTGATGCTGGAATATAGCTCTATAGTATGAATATATTTCAATGACCCTGTGAGTTCTATACTAAAAGAAGGGAATGTTTGGTTACATTAAGTTTTAAAAAAAGAAAAGAACAACCTGTTCTGCACTGATCCCTCAACTGGGTCTTACATAAATCTCTTAGTTCTCAAAGCTGCTCAGCAATTCCTGTAGTTTTCTCTTGGATGCTCCAGCTCATGTCCCTCATGGCATCCTTTCTTGAACTTCACTCTCTTTGATTCTCTGACCTCAGTTCGTCTTCTCCCTTACTCTTATCACGTGAGCTCACCAACAACTTCCTGGAGATCAACATCATCTGTCCCAGTCAGGATTATCGATTGCAAACAACAGAAAGTAGTCCTGTTGCCTTTAGGAAAATAAGGACTTACAGATGTGGAAGCCAATAGAATCCACAAGAGATGGAAGGAGCAAGCTTGGGAAATAAGCAGAATCCAAAGGGGGTCTGGAGGCTGGGCAGCAGGAGGAATCTGGCCAGATGCTCTCATAGCTGCTGCCTCTGACTCTACAGCAGGACACTAGTGCTGGACAGCCGACTGGCAATGAGTGAATGTGGCCTCCAAAGTGGCCTCTGAGTGTCTTCATCTTCCTGTTCTCATATCCTCAGTACTCTCTGTCTGCATTAGATGGGGCTTTCCTGTGTATCTAGTGGGATATTGTGTGAGTCAAGGGTAGGTTATAAAAGACATTGTGGTTTCTGCCTTTCACTTTTTCAGATCATTTGATCTGGGGAAAACCAGGCACTATGTCATAAGGTCACTCAAGAAACCTTGCAGAGAGGTATTTCTGGAGAGTAAGTGAGGCTTTCTCCAATAGCCAGTGACCAGCTGTGGCCACCTGCTCACGGACATGAGAGTGAACCAGCTTGGAGGTGACTCTCAGCCCCAGTCAAGACTTCAGATGACTGCAGGCCCAGCTGACATCTTGACTGCCACCCATGAGAGGCCTCAAGTAAGCACCACCCTGCTAAGCTGCCCACAAATTCCCAACCCAAAGAAACAGAAAATAAATATTTGTTGTTTAAAGTGACTAAATTTTGGGGTATTTGTTATGCAGCCTAAGTAAAGAACACATGCCCCCCTTACTTTTGGATTATATTCACCATGTTGAAATACCCGAGGGGAGCTACTGATTGACTGAATGTAAGTCATGGGCCATGCCCTGCTTCCTAGGGGCTAGTGGAATGGAGTGAGATGGAGTGAGGACCCCTTTGCCTCTTTAGGAGAGGTGGACACTGCATCACACTAACACTATGCACACAGGGAACTTTCCCAACTAGAAAGATAGAGTTTAGAGAGCCAAAATATAGAAGTATCTACTATCCCTTTGTATCTGAATTGTTGCAGTGTCTCTATTCTTCTAATCAGAATGTGTCAGGACATCCTTCTTCCTCTTCCCTTCTTTCTTGTCCCCAGCAGAGATGCATCCTTCCTTTCCCCAAAGCTAAACTTGAGTTCTACTTGGCCTGTTGATCTCATTCCCTTCATTGGTCTCATCTTCCACTCAGTAGTTACCTCCATTCCAGCTCACATCTTTTAATGTTTTCTGTGTGTCAAACATGTCAGTTCTCTGGTTCTGGATTATCTCCTCTCATTTTTCTTCCCCCTGTAGGAATAGTCTCTTGCTCAGGGACTTTTTAAACATCCTTCCCTAGTGAACCACGGTAAGTACAGCCTACTTTGATAAGGAAAGTATGGAGTGGGGAATGGAGCATGCCCCAGTGACCACAAAGCCAATGTTCATATGCTCTAGGGGGATGGAAACCATGTTCGTGGTCAGACTGACGGCATATCTCTTGCAGGTGCCTGCCCATTCCCATCATTCCAACTTTGAATGGTCAACTTTGTGAAGAAAGGTTTTGGAAGCACAGATGGGGTTACTATAGTCCTCCTATTCTCACAGACTAGAAAATCACTACATTGCAAACTTATTGAGAGGAAGAACAGTGATTTGTTGTCATTATGTCACAAAGCCTAGCACAATGCCTCAAACATAGACCATGGTCAAAAATATGTATGTTGAACGAATAATTGAGTGAAATGGGAAATGGATAGAAGGTGGAGTTTCTCTGTCACCCATGCATGCTTGATGGAGATTTTTTTTTCCCCCAAACAGCCCCTTGAGAAGGGTGAGAATAAAGGGAAATGTTGTGATCATCAGAAGCTGCCTTGACTGAGATCTGAGTAGGGAGTAGTCCCAGAATCAGAGACCCACTGAGATCAAGGTTTTCTGATCTGGCCTCTGGGAGGATTTATAACCTTTTCACAGTGGCCGAAGAATTGACACAGAGCCCTTCGCTAGAGCCTCCCTGCATGACTGAAACAAGGTTGGGGCAACAGAGGAGAAACTGACAGTAAAGGCTATATGCACCCCCCTACCCCAGCTTGTAGTTCACTACAGGATATCTTTCTGCCTCCATGCAGCAGAGACCATCTCCAACCTGTGCTCATACCAGGAACACAGGTTTGGGGCCCTGACTCTGAAGACTGAAGGTTGGGTATGAGATTGAGACAGAGACTGAGGTTTCTGAGCCCCATCCCCTGAGTGCTGGTTCCTGTCTAGCCTGTCTCTTCTCTGTGATTGACTCCAGGGTCATCTTGTTCAGGGGAAATCATTTCATCCACAACGGAGTGGTCTTTCATTCAGGCACCAACACATAAGAGTTAACACAGCAACTGTGGCATTCCTAGGAGTGAGCAACATTTTGGTGCTGGGAGTCCTTCTGTGATGAGGAAAGGGAGCAGGGCCAGAAAGGACTTGAGCCTAGAAGTAGGGGGTAGAACTGGGCATCATCTGACCTTCCTTCCCTCCTTCTCTTTATTTACTTGCCTTTTTCTATTCTATGTCTATTTTCTCTTGCACATCTCATATGTACTAAAATTGTTATCATAGGAACTCCATCTACAGAGGTAGGAATGCTGGCAGGGGGTATTTGTGGAGGGCATCTATTCGTAATTAACTATGTGGCAACACTGTTAGTCTTTCTCCCTTAACTTCATTATTTACCCCTACTTCCTCTTTATCCATTTCTCTCTTTTTTTCTTTTTTTTTGTTTTTTTGAGACAGAGTCTCGCTCTGTCGCCCAGGCTGGAGTACAGTGGTGCGATCTCGGCTCACTGCAAGCTCTGCCTCCCAGGTTCACGCCATTCTCCTGCCTCAGCCTCCTGAGCAGCTGGCACTACAGGCACCCACCACCATGTCCGGCTAGGTTTTTGTATTTTTTTTTAGTAGAGGGGTTTCACCATGTTAGCCAGGATGGTCTCGATCTCCTGACCTCATGATCCGCCCGCCTTGGCCTCCCAAAGTGCTGGGATTACAGGTATCCATTTCTTAATGCCTTATGTTTGGGCTTCCATCTCTCCCACTCTATCAGGAATGTCATTAGAAATCTACCTGACATGCAGGATGCCCTCTCTAGTTCTCTGCTCCCTTTCTGTCTTTGCAACATTAATATGAATCCTTCTCTCCCCTGGCTCCTGTGACAACAGCCTCTCCAGGATTTCTGATCATTGCTTTGGGGGGTTTTCACCTGCTCCTTCTGTGTTTCTATGCCTTAAATGCAGGCATTCTCTGAAGTTCAGTTTTGAGTGATCTCATCCTTTCTTACTTCCCCTTTCCAAAGTCCATCCACACCAACTGTTTTATCACTCTATATAGCTGATTCCTAAATCGCTGTAGCCTAGATTCTCTCCCAAATGTTAGACCCACATTTCTGCAATCCAATGGACATCGCTACATGGATCAGTTTGCAAAACACCAAGTCATTCAGTGAACATGGTGGGGGAGAAGGAGATAGGGCAAGAGAATAAGCAGTAGACAGCAAGAGGTTATGAAGGACCATGCGTGCCTCCATCAGAGCTCAGTTACGGATCACAGAATTCACTCTGCAACAGGAAAGGTTTTAATACAGGGAGTTGCGTACTGCAAAATTATCAGAAGGAATAACTGTCAACTCTCAGAAGCACTCAGCTACTGGCATGATCAGGAAAGCTGCCTCCCAATGCAGAAAGCTGTCAAATCAGGAAATATCTCCTCAATTAGGAAGCCGCTGACTCCAGAAAACTCCACCTCTACCTAATCAGCACCCAAAACAGAATGCTTTGTACCCTGCCTTGCTTCCTGTTGGACTCAGTTCTGAAACAGAGGCTCACATGAGCTTATATGATTTACAGAATCTAAGACATATTCAGAGCTCCACCTGCAAGAGATCCTGAGAAATGTATTATTTGATTTCCAACCTCTGCCTTCTAAAACATGTTGGGATAAATGCTGAGCAAGCCAGTCTGTGGTCTCTGCCATGTTGTGTGCACCAGGCAGGGCTCTTTCTATTGCAAGTGGCAGGAATCCAACTTTATCTCACTTGCATTCAAAAAGAAACATCATTGGCTTGTAATGAATGTGAAGGAAGGGCAAGGGCCAGTCTGGCTCCAGGGACAAGTGACACTGAGAATCTCTCTTCTCTCTCTCCACCTGCTACTTCTGCTTTTCTTTCTGTGTTAGTTCCATTCTCCCCAGTGAAGAACTTTCTCTATGAGCCTGGAGATGTGGCCACAGGGCTCCTAGGCACCCTTCTTTTACCACTTCATGATTATAGAGGAAGAGGCTTGCTTTTCTTGGTTCTCATTGTAAAAGTGTCCAGAGAGACCCTCATTTGTGCAGCTTAAGTTTAAAAGGCAGTTCCTTTTAAAACCTCATTTTAGAGATAGATGAAAATCAGGTTCCAAAAAGGAGGGACTGACAGCTTGGTAATAGCCACTAGAGAAAGAATATGGGGTCAGAAGAATGTCCTAATTTGTGTGTCCTACACTCTGACACGGCTTTTCCTCCCCCAGATCTGAACATGATAGAGAACTAATGCAGAACCTTAAGCCGTAAAGTGGCACAATGGAATAATAATATTTTGGTCCAATTGCTAACGGGACTGAATGAGATAATGAATGTATATGATAGCATGGTACACAGCACACAGTAGGTACTTGCCTTGATTTAGATTCCCCCAGAAGCTTCTTCTTCTTCTTTTTTTTTTTTTTTTGAAATAATGATTCAAGTGCAAGTTATTTACTTGGGAAGTGCAGGGAATACCAGTAGTAGAGTGGAGAAAGGGGAGCAGACAGTGAAGGCTGAGTTATTAAGCTACTAATGCAGTAGTTGACCAAAGCTTAACCCCCACAGGGAAACTCTTGGAAGTGACACAAAACGGATGCCTCAGAATTATCCCACCTGAGGGGCAAGGGAACTAGGATACGTAGATACCACTTCTGGGAGTCGTTGGCTGAGGGCTGCTTCCGTGGGGTTATTCCTCTGCACTGCTCTCCTGCTACACATATGGGCAGAGTGGTATTCTGTGGTTCTAGCCTGAGCATAAAAGTTCCAAGGGGCACAGGAGAGTCTGCAGTGCTTAATATGTGTGAGCTCCTCCCCAGGCTCCTCTCCCCTGGCCATCGGTTTAAAAGTCTCTTGAGTGTAGGAACCCCATCTTATTTATTCTCAAATCTCCCACAGAAGCTGGCACAATCTCTTACACATGGTAATGGTCAATATATATGTATTCTTGGCTTAATTAATGACATTGCAGGACAGCTTTATCCTGGTGATCTTTTGGTATTGCTTCCATATATCTTGGATTTCTGGGACAGAAAAAATTTTGTGTCATTATATTCTATCCTGAAGTATATCATAGAACATGATCTGATTTTTATACTTTTGTAATACTTCTCATGTAATTGTATTCATAAATACATTTTAAAAGCCTGCCAAGTTTATGCTACAGGTCCTGTATGGTGTGTGTGTATTTTATTTTTTATCTCTATAAGAAGTAAATTAGAGGAATTTGGAGACTCCTGGCATGTAGATTCTTATGCACTTCCTTCTCTGACTCAGCATAGTCATCGGCCAGCAATAATAACCTGCTCCCTGTGCAGTCAGCTTGTCCAGTTCTTGAGCCAATGAGAACCAAGATTTATGTTGTATTGAGAGCTCCCTTCATCCAGGGGTGAAGAGAGGCAGGAGAGGTCTGATGTAAATCTGCTGCCTTCTGTTTTTCAGGTCAGAACACCTGGGTTCAGCGAGGAGTGTTCAGAGCCCCAGGTGCTAGATAAGCAACCAGCTCTAGATTCTTCTTTCATATCATCATGCACAGGCACAGTCTCCTCCCAGGTGCCTTGTCTTGGACCGCAGCTCTGATCCCAGCTTAGTAATCTTGAACCCGAATCCTAGTCACCTAGTTTTCGCCCAATATCTACCCTAACTCAGACAGAATCCATGTCACTATTAATTGCCTCCCCCAGAATTGTCCCTGCCTAGAAGCCACTGGCACTGTGTTTACCTGTTCCTTCAAATTGGCCAAATTTCTCAAATATTGATGATGGAGTTTATTGTATCCCCTTACAATTGGGTGGTCACAGCCAGTGCTGGTTGGTCCACTCAACCCTCAACTCTTGCCAGCGTTGGCAAGAATCCCATTCACCATCTCCTCCATTCTCCTTGTATTAATCCTCCAGCATGCTTGGAGACAGGGTCACCAGTGGAGGCATTTAGAACATTGTTAAAGTGGGTTATTTTAGTAGACATTGCCTAGATTTGGGATTCTACCTTGCTTTTCTTATCCTTAGGCCACTGGATACTGATGCTGTCTTTCTGCATTCTTGCAGATGGGAAAATCCAAGAGATGGGATTTGAAAATGAGCATCCAGCACTGGGTTGTTTAAAGTAACTGGCATGAATGCCTTGTTCATACCATGGGGTATCCAGACCAGTGTTCAGTTCCAAATGCCTCTACTGTGCCCCTTATATCTTTCTTGATGTATCAATTACTGAAGAATGTCATCTCCATTTGGGATTGGTGGCTAGGTGACAAAGAGAAGATAGAGCTATTTTTCTAACTTATTTTTCAGGAGAAAAATATTTTTATAAAATATTGTCAAATTGTCAAGCTTGCTCCCTGTGGGACCCTCCTATTGCTCAGAGTTTCTGACTTTGCCTGTCTTCTTACCTCTTCCCTTGAAACTTGCTTTTCCCTCCCTCCCTCTTGCCTTTCCTTTCTCTTTTCTTCACTCCTCCTCTCCTTCTCTTTCTTCTTTCTTCTTTCTTCTTTTAGGGGGCAAACCATAGCTTCACTGTTTGCTTTCTAGTGCCCTTGGTATCTATCATACATTCTCTTCAAGTTCTTTTACTTTAGTTATGAACTACAATACAATCCTTAACTATTTTCAGAGGAGTTGGGCTACCTTGGTACTTTCCTTTATTTCCTAAAGGGTGCAGGTATTTCTTGAAAAGCTTCCTAAGCATCAAATGACATCTACAAAGGCCCAGAAATTGTTGATTCAAGTAGATTCTTTGCAAAGTCACTATTATAGTCTCCAGAGCCTTGGTCAATAAATAGCAAATCCAGGAGACCTAAATAATCATTTCTGAGATTGTATACTTGGTCTTAAAACAGTCCCAGCTAGTGTCATACTCAGAGCCTGGACAGGGAGAAGAGGGGGAAGAGTTACAAAATTTCCATTTAAATTGAGAATCTTTCCCCTGGAAACCCAGAGGCCTCTTTGCTGGCCTCCTGCTGTTTGCTTCCTTTTATGCATCCTATTCGGAGGATGGCATGATTATTCCCTAAACATATTACTGCAGCTCTTCCGGCAGATTCTCTCTTCTAGGAATGTCACAAATGAATTACCATACGGTGTTGGCATGGGGCCTCAGCCAGCAGGAGCCAATTATTTAAAAAATTTCCAAGCAAATCAGATCAGTGTTTCGCAAGTTACTGGCCAAGAATCTTCAGAAAGTCGTGTGGCGTCCCTTTGCCACAATATGCATTGCTGACCTAAATGTGTACAAATCTCATCGTCTCTAAGTCGACACCCCAAGCCCTGTGGGTTTTGTGAGGGACACCAGCTCACAATCATTTGCAGAAATCCAACGAGATAACTTCACTTATCAAAACTGTAAATGGATGTTTGATGAGATCAGATCATTACGTTTTCTTAATTAGGCAGCACAGACTCCCCCTTGCCAGATGGATTGAGCCGCACCTATTTGTGACACAACTTCATCACACTTTGCCTTGCTGTCAGGGCCGTGTTTCAGGGAGGAAATATGTTCCCTTGGCTAGATTAAACATACGCCATCCAAATCTGGCATCTTCTTCTATAAGTAAGAGACTTTGCTGAATTGGAACATGTAAGAATGTATGTCATGGTTAAAATACATTAGCAATCAGCAAATGGGGAGATTCTGCCACGTCTGATTTGAATTCTTAACAAAATCATTTATTTATGGAAAGAATGGACTCTGCTTTTATTAGTTAGCACATCAAATGGGTATTCAAAAATATTTAGCCTGAGGGATAAAAGAATAAGCACAAAATCAATGTGTCACAGGGCCAATTTTTGTTGTTTATGTTTCTTTGAACTGTCAGGCTGTCTGGAGATGGTTCTGTCTCTGACGACAGGTGCTTCAGAGCAGCAAGGAATTTATGTCACTTAGACAACAACTTCAGGACTTTATGTCTCTTTCCATCAGGCACTTCTCCTGCTAAATT
Organism: Homo sapiens; assembly: GCF_000001405.40. Lineage (NCBI taxonomy): Eukaryota > Metazoa > Chordata > Mammalia > Primates > Hominidae > Homo > Homo sapiens. The sequence goes on from NC_000011.10 coordinate 112,635,651, forward strand.
CTTTGTGGTAAAGTTTTATTCTGTTTATTTTTATTCTGCTATCAAGAGAAGTAGGGCTCTCCATGGTCACCGATATCCATATACTGTAGAACTTTTACTAACTGGAAAGTACAGGTTCATTTAAACACTGAGTACACAATAGAAAAGCATGTTTTAAAAATCATAATGAGAACGTATGAGAAATTTTAGTGTCTACTTTTGTCTAAACAGAGCTGTTTTCTTGGATTCTTTTTATTACATTATAACAGGGTCTAGAATACATTATTATCATTTCTCAGAATTATCACTGTAGGAGATCAGTCTGAATTGTTGTGATCTCTAGGCATACATCATCTGTGATTATGGACTACCATATTGAGAGGGATTTTGTTGTTATTGCTGTTGTTTGTTTCTACTTCCCCTTTTCTCCTATAGGAGAAAAATATACTGCTATTCACTGAGATACTAATTTAGGATATTTTCAGTTATTTCCCAGCCTATGAATAGAAATGAATCATATTAACAATAAAACTTAAACTTTAATAGTCACCATATATTTGTATATAAAGTGCAGGAATAGATTTGCAGTTTCCTGCCTCCAGGTGTTTCTGGAAATTCTGCTGAGGTTGCCTTAAAGGCATCCAGGCTTGGTCCTGGTTGTTCCTTGCTGTTATACCAGCCTGGCAAGGACTCCTGAGCTGCTGCTAAGAGTGGTTCCTTGCCTGACTGTTCACGCCATGGCTTCTTGTTGCAGAACCCTGTGCTCTTAATGCTGCAGAGCTGCAAATCTGTCACTGCCACCTCTGAGTAGATCACTATTAAGGGACCTTGGTCAGCACTGCTTTTATGAAGGAAAAAAGGTGATATGATTTGGCTCTGTGTCCCCACCAAAATCTCACCTTGAATTGTAATAATCCGCATGTGTCATGGGAGGGACCTGGTGGGAGGTAATTGAATCATGGGGGCGGGTTTTTCCTGTGCTCTTCTCATAATAGTGAATAAGTCTCATGAGATCTGATTGTTTTATAAAGGGGAGTTCCCCTGCACAAGCTCTCTCTCTTGCCTGCCACCATGTAAGATGTCCCTTTGCTCTTCCTTTGCCTTCTGCCATGATACCTCTTTCCTTTATAAATTACCCAGTCTCAGGTATGTCTTTACTAGCAGTGTGAGAAGAGACTAATACAGAGGGGGAATATCACTTTTCTCTACATTTTCCTCAAGCAAGGGCTTTGGTGGTGGGAAGCAGGGTTGAGCACAGGGTTATTACTTGGACCCCTGTTGTTAGGGCTCATGGACACAGCTGTCTTCTTGTCCTTGAGCCTTTTCATTGCTGTGCAGTGCAAGCCATTGCTGTTCATCTCATTGAGCTGGGATGAATTCTCTTTGCTCCACCTTGAGATGGCCCTGCAGGAGATTCACAGAAGGCAGAGGATGCCCTGGGTGCTCATAGTGCCATGGCAGCTCCATAGTCTATAAGGAGGTGAACTGTTTCACTCAATGGGAGGGTGCTGCAATTCAGACCAGCAGCATGTCCCAGCTGGGTGGCTCAGATCCCAAAGTGTTAGCAAGTTCTGTGAATAAGTCCTTTCAATTCACACACACTGCCCCCTTTCTCCTTTAGGGCACACACAGCACCATGGTGGCTGGGCTGGGCTGGCTTCCCACGACAGCTGCAAGTTGCATCTGGAGCCATCAGTCCCCTCCTTCCTTCAGTTCTGAAGCTGTGTCTGATTCACTGTGACAGCCCCTCTCTCATGGGTCCCATCATCCCTCCCTGCATCTCATTTCTGTTGGGAATTCCCAAAGGTAAGCGTTGGATATCTCTGATGATGTCTTACCTACTTTGGGTAGGGCTCCAGTTGTTATTTCCAAGAGACTCTTTAAACCCCATTTGAATTAAATGACAGGAGAAGAGAAAAAGCATTAATTAACTCCATATGCCTGACATATTGAGAATCATCTCTGCTCCTAGCAGGATCCTCACAGAACAAGGTTTTCTGTTGCCTTCTTTCACCTTATAGAAAGAAACTTGTGTTACATAGCCTGCCTTTTCAAGTTTTTTTTTTTTTTTTTTTAAAATAAGGGACCTCAGAGTGGTACAAATTATATGTATTTTTACACTTTTTTTACATTTTAGTCTTTAAGTAGTTTTACTTGGGTATAATGGATATATAATAGATTGCACATTTAAAGTGAGTGTACAATTTGATAAGTTTTGACATATGTATATACTCATAAAACCAGAGCCACAAATCAAGATAATAAATACATTCATCATCCCTCCAAAATTACCTCTGTGCACCTTTAACTCTTTTTCTTTATCTGGCTTCTTTCACTCAGTGTAATTATTTGAAATCCATCCATGTCATTGTATGTGTTAAGAGTTCATTCCTTATTGTTGCTAATATTCCAATGTGTAGATACACTGCAGCTTGTTTATCCAGTTACATGTTGATGGATATTTGGATTGTTTCCAATTCTTAACCACTACAAATAAAACTGTTATGAATCTTCATGTCCAAGCCTTTGTGTGAACATATGTTTTCATTTAAATAGGGTAAATTCTTAGGTGTGAAATGGCTGGGTCATATTATGGTAAGAATATATTTAAATTTTTAAAAAACTGCCAAACTTTTTTTCTAAAGTACCATTTTACATTCCCACCATCAGTGACTGAAAGTTTCAGTCCCTCCACATCCTCACCAGCTTTTGGTATAATCAGTCTTTTTAGTTTTAGTCATTCTAATATATGTATAGTGCCTGTCATCGTTTTAATGTGCATTCCTCTAGTCTAATGATGTTGAGCATATTTTCATATACATATTTGATAATCATGTGTCTTCTTTAATGAAGTGTATATTTGACTTGTTTGCCCATTAAATAAATTGTTTAACATTTCTTACTCAATTTTAGGAGGTCTTTACATATTCTGGATACAAGTCCTTTCTTAGATACATGTTTTGCAAATATTTTCTTCCAGTCTGTGGCTTGTCCTTTTCTTCTCTTTACTCAATTGGCTATTTGTTTGAAAATGGGATCTTGTAGGGTTAAACGAGGCCATTAGTTACATTTAGTTTTTGTTCACCTTCTTCCATTCTTTCATGGGGCATATACCAATTAAAATCCATACACTTTGTTTTTATGAACACATTATATACGGATAAGAATTAATGACAATTAATGCCAAACTAAAACAACTAAGTCATTCTGCTGGGATTAGCACTGGAGACAAACACTGTACAAAATTCTGGAGCCTCACCCAGTTTTTAAATAATTTTTTAGGTCAATGAACCATTTCGAGTCAATTTTTAAAAATAGTGCAAGGTATGGATTGAAGTTTATCTTTTTGCAGGGGGAACATATAGATAAATAATTACTTCAGCATTTTTTGTTGAAAAGACTAAAATATTTTCATCTTTTGTTGAAAGTCCTTTCTCTGCTGAATTGTCTTTGCACCTTTTTCGAAAGTCAGGTGTCCATATACATATGAATTTGTTCTGAGTTATCTATTCATCTTCATTTTTCTATTCGTCCATCTTGGCATCAATACTAAAGTGTCTAGATTACTGTAGATTAGTAATAAGTTTTTAAATAAGGTGGTATTTTTTATCTCCCTCTCTGTCTCTTTATTCCAGTTCTGGATATTGTAGGTGCTTGCATTTCCTTAAGATTTTTAGAACCAGCTCATTGGGATTTCATCAGAATTGAATTATCAATTTGCTGAAAGCTAACATCATAAAAATATTAAGTTGTTTGACCCATAAATGGAATATTATCTCTCTGTATATTTAGATATTTAATTTCTCTCAATATCGTATTATAGTTTTTAATGTAGAGGTATTGATGTCACTAGTTACATTTACATCTAAATATTTAATATTCTTATACTATTGCAAAGGATATTTTGTAAGACTTTTAATTAGCTCTAGTTGCATATTCCCTTGTATTTTCTACATAGAGAACCATATCATCTGCAAATAAAAACTGTATTACTTCTTCCTCTCCAACATGGGTGTTTTTATTTCTTTTTCTTCTCATATTGCAATGGCTAGAACTTCCAGAACAATGTTGAATAGAAGTGCCAAGAGCAAATAACCATGCCATGCTCCTAATTTTATGAATGTAAGTATCTAGTATTTCACCACTAAGTGTGATGTTAGCTGTAGGTTTTTCATAGATGCCATTATGGATTGAAGAAGTTCTCTTTTATTGCCAGTTTGCTAAGAATTTTTTCCAATCATGAATGGATGTTGAATTTTGTCAATTACTACATCTATTGAAGTGATCACGTGGGTTTTTCTTTATGAGTTAATATGTTAAATCTATTGATTTAAAATGTTAAACCAACTTTTCATCCCTGGGACAAACCTCACTTGGTCATGATGTATTGTTTTTTATATGTTGTTGAATTCAGTTTGCTGAAATTTTATTTAGAATTTTTGTGTTGATGTTCACAAAGAAGCTTGGTCTGTAGTTTTCCTTTTTTGTAATGTCTTTGCCTAGTTTTGGAATCAGGGTATTGCTGGCTTCACAGATGAGTCAGAAGATAGAATTTCCTCCTATTCCATTTTCTGAAAGTATTTGATACAATTCATAGATGAAGCCATCTGGGCCTGAAATTTTATTTATTGAAAGGAAATTTATTTAACTGCAAATTTATTTTCTTCAATAGATATAGAGCTATTCAGGCTACTTCTCTTTCAGTGATCTTTTGTAGTTTGTGTCTTTCAAGGAAATTGTTGATTTCTTTTAAGTTGTTGAATTTATGGGCATAATATCATTTTAATATCTGTAGGATATATAAAAATGTCAATTCTCTTATTTCTGATATTGCTAATTTAGTTCTTCTCTCTTTTTTTCCTGATCAGTCTGGTTAGAAGTTTCATTAAATTTCTCTATTGGTTTCTCTGATTTCTCATTCCTTGACTTCCACTCTGATATAGTTTGGATGTTTGTTCCCACCCGAATCTCATGTTGAAATGTAATTCCGAGTGCTGGAGGTGGTGAAATGGGTCTGGTGGGAGGTGTTTGGATCATGGGGGCAGATCCTTCATGAATGGCTTGGGCCATCCCCTTGGTGATAAGTGAGCTCTTGCTCTGAGTTCACATGAGACCTGGTTGTGCAAAAGTGTGTTGTGCCACACACTTTTGTTGCTCCTGCCTTCTCTTGCCCCACCCTCTCTTGCTCCTGCCTTCACCATATGATGTGCCAGTTCCCCCTCTGCCTTCTGCCATGATGATAAGCTTCCTGAGGCCTCATCAGAAGCCAAGCAGAAGCCCAGCACTGTACTTCCTGCACATTCTGCAGAACCATGAGCCAATTAAACCTCTTTTCTTTATAAATTACCCAGTATTTTCTTGTAACAACACAAGAACAGCCTCATATACATTGTGATATTTATTATTTCTTTTCTTCTGTTTAATATGAGTTTAATTTACTCTTCTTTTTCTAATTTCTTAAGACAAAAACTAAGGCCCATTAATTTGAGCCTTTGTCTATTTTATAATATAGGCATTGAGTGCTGTAAATTCCACCCAAGTACTGCTTTAGCTGTGTCCCCCAAAATTTGATTTGTGTTTTACTTTTCATTCTGTTCAAAATACCTTTTATTTCTTTTTGTTTCCTCTTTGACTCAATATGTCATTCAGTTTCCAAATATATGGGAATTTTTCCAGTATGTTTCTATTACTGATTTTGAATTTAATTCCACTGTGGTCAAAGAACTTTGAAATCTTTAAAATTTTAAATATATTGAGACTTGTTTAATGGCCCAGATTTTGATCTATGTTAGTAAATGTTCTGTATTTTCCTGAAGAGGTTGTGTATTTTATTTTTGTTGAGTGAAATGTTATATCAATGTCAGTTGGGTCAAGTTGGTTAATGGTGTTGTTCAAGTCTTCTATACTCTTGGTTGTTTTATTCATTATTGAAAGATGGGTATTAAAATCTCTGACTGTAATTATGGACTAGTTTATTTAGTTCCTTGTAGTTCTATCATTTTTTGTTTTACACATTTTGAAACCATATTGTTAAGTGCATAAGCATTTAGGATTATTATGCCTTCTTGATGAATTATTCCCTTTACAATTACAAAATGACTGTCTTTATTGTTGATAGTATTTTTTGCCCTGATATCTAATACTAATATAACCACAACAACTTTCTTTTGATTAGTGTAAGCATTGATGGCATTAATTAGTGTTGATCAGTAGTACATTTTTCCATCCTTTTGCTTTTAAGCTTTTTGTGTTTAAAGTGTCTTTCTTGTAGGCAGCATATAGTTGAGTTTTGCTTTTATATGTAGTATAATAATCTTTCCCTTTTAATTGGCATGTTTAGACCAAGAATTGGCAAACTTTTTCTGTAAAGGACCAGATAGTAAATATTTTAGTCTTTGTAGACCAAGTCTATATGACCTTTGCCTTCTCCTGCTCCTCCCACCTCTTCTTCCCTCCTTCTTTCTCCTCCTTTCTCTTCCTTCTCCTCCTTCTTAATGACTCATTAAAAATGGCAAGACCATTCTTAATCAAGGGCTGTACAAAATCAGGCTACAGGCCAGATTTGGCCCATGGGGCTTAGTTTGCTGACCCCTGGTTTATACCACTTATATTTAATGTGATTGTATTGTTAGGTTTAAAAATATATCATCCTGTTATTTTTTCTCCTTGTGCCATCTTGGTTTTTTATTGTCGCTGTTCCCTTTCTCTACTTTTTATGTCTTTTTTTGGATTAATTAATTGTTTGTAATTCTATTCTATCTCACTTTTGGCTTACTAGCTGTGTCATTGTTTTGTTACTTTAGTGCTTGTTTTAAGGTTCATAATACATATCTTTAATCACATTCTATCTTCAAATGATATTATACAGTGTCATTATATATAATACGTATTAGACTTATATACTTAGATTTTTCCCCTCTCATTCTTTGTGCTAATGGTGTCATACATTTTAATTTTACACATGTTGCAAATCCCATATCATTATTATGATTTTGGTTTAAACAGTCAATTATTTGTTAAGGATACTTAAATAATAAGAAAAAAATCGTATATATTTACTGATGTATTTACCATTTCCAATGGCCTTCTTTCTTTTGTATAGATCAAGATTTCCATCTAGTTTCATTTTCCTTTGCCTTAAAGGACTTCCTTCCTTTAACATTTCTTGTAGTACAAATCTGCTGCTGATAGACTCTTTCAGCTTTGTACATCTGAAAAAATGTTTATTTTGCTTTTTTTTTTTTTTTTTTGGAAACACTTTCCCTGAGTTTAGAATTTTAGGTGACAGTTTTTTCTTTCGCAGCTTTAAAGATGCTGCTCCACTCTCTTCTCCCTTGAATTAATTCCGATGAGAAACCTGCTGTCATCCTTGCCTTCGTTTCTTCGTGCATAAAGTGTCTCCCTTGACCTCACCTTTGGATTGCTTTAAAGACTTTCTGTTAGTACTGGTCTTGTCCAATTTGATTATGATTGTCTTTGATGTAAATTTCTTCATGTTTATTGTGCTCAGGGTTTATTGAGCTTCCTATCTTTGTGGGTCTATAGTTTTCGTCAAACTCAGAAAAAAATTGGTAATTATTTCTTCAAATATTTTTTCTTCTTTCTTCATCTTTCAGGGTCTCCATTTAAGTAAATATTAGACTGCTTGAACTTGTCCCATAACTTAATTGTATACAATTCCTTTTTCTCTGTGTATTTCATTTTGAACAGTGTCTATTGCTAAATAGTTTGTTTACTAATTTTTCTCCTGCAAAGTTTAATACGCTGTTAATCTCATCTAATGTAGTTTTTATTTTAGACATCATAATTTTCATCTCTAGAAGTTCATTTTGATCTTTTTAATATTTCCCACATATTTATTTAAACTTTTTGAACATATGGAAATAATTTATAAGAACTGTTTCACTGTTTAACATTCTTTTCTGCTAGTCTAACATCTGTGTCTTTTCTGAGTTGGTTTTAATTAACTGGATTTTTTTCATTATGAGACATATTTTTATGCTTCTTTGAATGTCTGTCAGTTTTTGATTGGATGCCAGACATGAAGTAACTTGTTGGGTGCTGGCTAGATATTTATCTATGAATTCATATAAATATTCTTGAGCTTTTTTCCAGGACAAAATTCAGATACTTGAAAATACTTTGATTCTTTTCAGTCTTGGTTTTAAGATTTATTAGGCAGCACTAGAGCAGCCTTTAGTTTAGGAAAAATTTTGCTAATTCTGGTCTTTCATACTCCATCTTGGACAGAAACAAAAGTCTTTTTGACAAGTTTTTAATTTTAGAAAACCTATTAAAAGCCTAAAAGAAAATTGCACCACTTAAGGTGCCAGCATCAGGAGTCAACCCTGTTTAGGTTAGTATTTCACTCCTCTTAGTTTTTCTGGATAATGTTACTGTCCTCTAATATTTTCTTTATCTAATAAATAGATATATTCATAAATAGTGATCTACATTCTTACTCTTTTACAAAATTTTACTTCTTTCTTTTAGTTCACATATGTTATATATATATACAACATATAAGATATATATAACATAAGATATATATATATAACATATATATATAACATAAGATACATATATATTCATATATCTATAATTTTGCAATTTCTCTGATCTGCAATGTTTGATAAGGGGTGGACTTAAGCAGTATTTTAAGTGATAAGATTTTAAGTGGACCTATGTCTATATGTTCCAGTTTCTATTGCCTATAACAAATTAAATCTAAATGACTTTTTAAAAAATACTTTATTATGTTCATGGATCACACAAGCTGGGAATTCATATGGAGTACAGTAGTGTTGGTTTAGCTCTGTTTCATGATGTCTGGCACTTCTGCTGGGACGTCTCACTGGCTGGGGGCTAGAATCATCTGGAGATATCTTCACTTACATATCCAGTAGTTTATGCTAGCTGTAATCTGCAACCTTATGTGGGGCAGTCAACCTCAGCATGTACATACGGTCTCTCCCTAAGACCTGGACTTTCTCACAGTGGTTTCACGGCAGTTGGACTTCTTATATCATGACCAGGGCTCCAAATGCAAGTGTTCCAGTGTACAAAATTGAAACTGTATCACTTTTTATCACCCAGCCTTGGAAGATGTATGTCATTATTTCTCCTTTACCCTATTTGCTAAAGCAGTTGCAAGCCCACGTGGATCCAAGGGAAGGGATGAAGGCACCACCTCTTGATAGAATACTAGCAAGATTACATTGTGGAAGTGCTTGTGAGATGCGAGATATTGTTGCAGTTGTCTTTGAGAAATATAATCTGCTACAGTCTGCCTCTGACCACAAAAAGATTCACATCCACTTTCACATGTAAAACTCAGTTACTCCCCCATGCCCTTCAAAGTCTGATTCCACTGTGGCATCAGTTCAAAGTCCAAGATCTTGTCAACTAATTTTTGTTCAGCTGACCTTAGGGCTTCTCTGGTGCATCTTGTCTAGTATAGTTCTTGCTGTAAAGTTACATGAGTTAAAGTAACAATTTATGTGCCTCTCATTCATGCACACATCCAGGTGAGAAAGGCATATGATAATCAGTATAATATTCCTATTCTAAAAGAGGGAAATGAAAGGCATACAGCAGTCACTGATCCATTGCAATTCAAAAATTCAGCCAAGCACATGTCAGTTTCTTAGGTAGGGCTCAGTCCTACACCCTGGAGTTGTCCTCCATGACTCTTGGCTTCTTTTTCCATAAAAAAATTTCCATGTTTGCAGTTACGTAACCTTCTCAGCCTGCTTTCTGTCCATAGGAGCTTAGGGATTCAAAGATCTCTGTTTACTTTCTGTTTTCTCTGTCCCTTTCTGTCCAAACTGGTACAATTCCATTAAACATTTTTGGGATTCCTGTGTTATTATCTTTTTCCACACTTTTTTTAGTTAAACCCCACCCTCCCAAATCTCTTTGAGATTAACCCTTCTTTACCTTGAGATTTCTGTAAGATAAGCCCCTTAAGAATCTTAGAAACCATATTGTTTAACAGAGGAAGTCTGCAAGAAATTCCTTTAAGATACTTAGAAGGGGCTGGGAGCAGTGGCTCACACCCGTAATCCTGTAATCACAGCACTTTGGGAGGCCAAGACAGGCAGATCACCTGAGGTTGGGAGTTTGAGACCAGCCCGACCAACATGGAGAAACACCGTCTCTACTAAAAATACAAAATTAGCCGGGTGTGGTGGCACATGCCTGTAATCCTAGCTACTCAGGAGGCTGAGGGAGGAGAATCATTTGAACCCGGGAGGCAGAGTTTTCTGTAAGCCAGGATTGCACCATTGCACTCCAGCCTGGGCAACAAAGGTGAAACTCTGTCTCAAAAAAAAAAAAAAAAAAAATACTTAGAAGTTCTTTTGTCTATTTGAAAAAGTCTATGTAGCATAAGCTTAAATAATCCTGAGGCCCTACTAAGGAGTTTTAAAGCCATGCTCTTGGCTTCATGTTTACTCTGAGCTATATATTTTAGCACCCTGGATTTGATCTTCACCTTGAGGCCATTTTGGTTTTTGAACATTTTTTGCTATGACAGAATGCCTTTATCTTTCCTGTAAATTTTTTATTTAAAAGGCAATAGTTCCTTTTTTGGTTCATCTATATGCATCTTATCTTACATGCTTAAAATAACTCAGTGGGCACTTTCATATTTTGCTAGAAAATCCTCTTAGCCAAATCCACCAGCTCATTAGGTTTATTTTTATTTTCCATGTCATCACAAAAAACAATTACATTGCAAGGAACATTACAAAAAACAATGTTGCCAAACTTTCTGCCACTATATAATAAGGGATATCTTTTTCCCCAGTCTTGTCTTTGAGCCTTCATCAATCACTATCTCCTCAAGGCTGTCTCATCTCTACTGGTCAAAGTAATCAAAACTCTGCCCAGATTCACAGGGAAGAGAGTGGCAAATCTTGCTGGGGGTGTGGTAAGGTTACACCATAGAAGGGCAAGTAGGACAGGAGATATTGCTGCAGCCAGGGTTGGCAAATACAATCTGGCACCTTACATATAAAAAATTCAGTGCTTATGGGCAAGTGAGATTTATCACAAGATGCAAAAAGCCCACAAGAAGACACTATTGTGGGATAAGACTAGAGAAAGCTACTCCAGGTTGGGAGCAAAGATGCATGATTGGGCTTGTCCCTTTTGTATCTTCTAAGAATATTCTTGCTGCTTGTTATAAGATAGAGTTGTTATGGTGAGGGCAGAGGAGGAATACTGAAAGGAAATGGCCAAGAGTAGAAGGCATCCTGAGGTCCCAGAGTTACTAAGATAACATAAGCTAAAATGGCCTTTGCTTTTCTCTTTATTATGCTATACCTTAAGGAGTTCACACCTATTAAATAAGTGGTCTTGCAGTAATAAAGCAGTTCAGTGGGACTTTTTAAAAAATCATCCCACGTTTGGCCACCTATTCCATTTTCATATTCCAATGCTTTCTTTATTCATATTTAATGAGGATCAACATTGTGCCTCTTACTGCAGCTATTAAAAATATGGGCTTGACTTAAATTAGCTCAAAGTGATGGGCAGAGATAAACGTATTAACACATATTTTATATATATCTGGATAATTTCTAGGAAAATATTTTTAAAAAACAGCTAAGGGAAGAACAGAAAAGTGAAGAAAGCTTTAATGGTAGGGTGAGTGGCTGGAGTATTGCTGGCAGAGTTAATTCATGAAAAGTAAAAATTAATTTCCAGGTAGAGAAGTAGTAGACCATGTAAATAGTATTTCTGGAAGAAGGAATAACAATTGCAGAAGCATAAAGTCATGAAAGGACATAGCTTGTTTTAGAAAGAATGAGAAATTTAGCATGGCTGAGCCCTAGGGGTCCTAACAGAAAGTAAGAGGTGAGGCTGGACCGGAGAAGGTTGGAGCTAGATCGCTAATCCTTCTACATTAAGTTGAGTAATTTAGTGTTTATTTTATAGGCACTGAGAGACCAGTAAATGTCCTTAAATAGAAAGTGATGAGGAAGATGACACTGGTGGTAGTGTGACAGAAAGAAAAAAAAATGGTGGCAGAAAGAACACTTAGAGAGTTGTTGCAATAGTTCAGTAGAGAGAATAGCAAGCCCTATGCTGAGACAGTGGCAGTGGGGACTCTGGGAAAAGGTCAGGTGCAGAAGATTATGCTGCAGCTTATTCTGTAGCATGTGGAGACCGATTGGGTGGATGGTGTAGCATCATCAAGGCTTCTAGCTTGGGAACTCAGTAGACGGTGTTACCATTAATTGAAACAGAAAATATATATAGAGAAACAGATTTGCAGGAGTATGGAGTAGAAACACAGAGTTCAGTTTTACACCTGTTAGGTTTCTGGTGCTTCTGGGATATTAAAAAAAGAGATGTCCAGAACACCATTGGAAATATGGGTCTGGAGATTGGGAGAGAGGTTGAAACTGAAGGTGAAGTTGAAGTCATGGATGTTCTTATCTTTTATATGATGCAAGTTTGGGGACTTGGGATTTGTCATTGTGCTAAAATAGAGCAGCCCAACTATTGACAAGGCTTTGCTCAGTTTAAAATGCAGAAGGCTTTCATCATTTCAAAAGATCTAACATCTCTTCCTAGAGAACACTCAGAGAGGCCTTGGGGTCTGGCTCAGAAGAGGGGTCAGATGATGATTAGTGAATTGAATCAGGGTTAATGTCCAGTCCCTGGAGATCTGTCCCTGCCCCAGTAGCTGATATATTATTTATTAAAAGTACTCCACTCACTTCCCAAGAAAAGAGAGGGCATATAATAGAAGATATATACACATTAAGGAAGAGTGAGAAAATCCAGTTGTAAAAGGAGAAGATAATTATCAAGGACCTTCAACTAAGGATAAGACATATCACTGAACACAAAATATCACTATGAGTTCACTGATAGCCAGGGAAAGGAGGCACAAAGCAAAGAATACCCATTTACCAGGAAGGACAATCTGTTTCCCTGGCATTTAATTCAAGGAGAAACTCAAAACATAATATGAAGCCCATCTTCAAAAACAATCTTAGAAAATACCAAATATTATTCTTAATATTGTTTCCTTATTTAGACTAAGTCCATGATGTTAAATCCTATTTCTGTGTGGACATTTCTATGGATAGCCAATGCGATATTATTTACCCTTAGTCAGTTCTCTCCTCTGCTTCCCCCACGGAAAGGCCAATCAGAGATGAGGAACTTTAGCTCCAGAGACAGTGTTCCTTAAAGACCAAGAGAAGGGAGAAAAAGCATTCTTAGATTGTGTTGAAGTGAAAGCTGAGAAAAAACTATTTATGAGGCAACAGCCTCTCCCCAGCTCAGGAAGCAAGGTTCATGGCCCCAAGGATTATCTGTGGCTTGAGGCTTCTTGCATTTCTGTAGGAAAAAGGGGAAAATTGTGAGAGGATTAATTGCTTGATATAGAGCCAAGGAAAGGGCATTCCCAGCAAGACTTTGTCGTCCGAAGTCCCTGTGGGTCAGAGATTCTGACTAGCATGGGAAGCCAGAGCTCAGCAACACAGGTGTGTGCCGGCCACTCCTGGATTTTCATCCAGTTTCTAGGTCCTTACCAGAGGTAGTGGAGGCCTGGCTATGGAGAACAAGGAGAAATAGGCTTTATCTCCTGAACCAACTCTGATTGGTGGTTGCTGCCTCAAACACTGTGCTGAGAGGGTTTCTGAGGCCCCACCTAGGCCCAATAGAAAAGGGTATCATTACAGAATAACAATGTCTGCCATAGACATGGAATCAAAGTAATTAACATACTGTAATTTATTCCTATAATTAATATTAATATAATTAATCAGCACTCACATATTAATGAACACAAATACCATTATTCAATATAATTAATATTATTTGCCATCTCTGATGTTGAGGTGTTAATAACAATTGCATGTGGACTTTCTAGCTAGTACTGAATCGAGCACCCAGGACAGTTAATATTGCCAGAAAGGAGCAGCAGAAAAGTGAGAGCTGTGACTAACCCTGGAATCCCTCCCCTCCACCTTCACTTTTGAGCCAGAGGGAAGAGATTGGGTGGCCTGAGGCTGTGCTATTAATTTGCCTGCTGGCTGTAACCCTACTATGTGACCCTAAAGGGCTTATCTGTTACTCCAATATATATGTTTCTGGGTAAGACTTAAGATACAGGTTAAATCTTAGAGAACACTGGCAGGGTTTTACAAACACCAGCATTCTCAGTGGCCTCAGCAAGGCAAACAAATGAAACCTAACCAGGATGTGGCAATGACACCTGATGAGGTGTAGGCAACCTGAAAAGTGAGAATCTGGCCTAAAAGCCATCCAAAGCTACATTTTTGAAAAACAGGCTGCGTGTGTGTATGTCTCTCTCTCTCTCTGTGTGTGTCTGTGCGTGTGTGTGTGTGTGTGTGTGATGGGGATGGAGACGCTGCACACACATCTGTAGCTGAAGTCAGCCAATTGGCAACCAAGTTGCTACATCTGATTGGAGGAATGAGTGGCTAGAGAATGTGTTGGCTCCATGTTTTGCTAACAAGATTGAGGTTCCTGGTGAGTGCAGCAAGCTCACATACTTGCTGGGGTCGATGAAGAGGAGCTCCATACGTTTTGGCTTCCAAAGAAAGAGGAAGCAATGATGACGGCAGCCATAGGCATGAAGTGGGATGCACTGTCATCTCCCTGGTGGAGGTTAGCCGTGCAAGGTGGCAAAAGGCTCCAGAATGTTCAAAACCAGAGCTAAGATTTTTTCAAAGAAACTATTTTGTATTTGTTCATAAGTTTAACCAGATTTCTGGTGAAAATCTTAAGTGTTCTAGCCATCTAGTGCAAGGGTGAGATGACATTGACTTGAAAGATTTAGAGTTCCTGCTTTTACTTTAATATTCCTGCTGAATATACCTAATTTTGGCCAGGACCTGGTCTTCTAGGGCCCACAAGGATGAGCTGGCTATAAAAGGACTCTGCAGATAATGAAACTAATTGTCCTGCTGAATGGAGATATTCAAATCTTATCCATCTGGATGCCGAATAGCCTCTGCCGAGTATGACTATTTGAATTTAGCACAATTGATATTGAGCTGTTCTTTCTGAGAGTAATTGGCCACCTGGTTCATGGCCATCCTGCTAATGTCAGTAATACTGTGTCATCAGTGTATTAAAAGCTACTTGTCTTCCAGTCTGGCAGCCAGCATTCATAGTATCTAAGAGCTGAATTATACTTAGTAGGTGTTGATTGCAAAACAAGAAAGCCGGGACCAAGCCCTCCTTTGGGTCATCTAAGGTTAAATTTGCTCAGTTACAGCCTCCTTCCTACCTAGTCACTTAACTTAGCACTGTGGCCTTTGGAGAAATGACACCTGTCTCATTTTTTTATGTGAACCAGGAAAGCAGAGTGTCGGCTGTGAGGGAAAATACCCATTAAATGTATAGAATCCGCCAGATGGAATCATGAAGCCAAATGTGTTTCTGAACTTGGCATTATTTTAAAGGGTGAAGTTCAGAATGGTATCAGATAAAAGTTTATTTAATTCTCAATTAGGAATTGTTTTTATGCAGTGTCGGTGGCATTAGGACTTCTATGAGCTGTGCTATTGATTGAAATGATGCCCTCATTGGGTGTTGATTGAGTGATCTTTTGATTCCCTCCCTATTAACATGCTAATCATTAGGGGTACAGCTCCTCTCAAAGGCACCTGTTATTCCAAGGATGGATGTCTCTGACCTTGTACATTTCTCCCAAGATGCTGGGGGTGAAGGGGTTCTTCAAAGTCCTCATTAGCATAATGTAGCTCAACTCCCAAGGGTGATAAATTAAAAGAACAGGAACACAATTAGGAAGATTTTTTAAAGGTTACAAATGGTGGATGCATTCTGAGAATGTCTGGATCTACATGTCAAGGGCATCTAAGTTAGTCCTGAGAACAGCTGGAGCCCAAAGGCCAGCTCCTCTCTGTGCACCAAATTTACATAAGCTTTGAAGATATTTTTAGCTTTCTGCACTCCTCTTAATATGCTCCTGCTTCTCTGTCTCACAAAGAGGGAATGCTGCAAGCTTAGGATTCTGATCTTTTGGTCTTCAGAAGTTCTGATGTTGTTTTCTTTTTCAGATCTTCTAGGGATAAGCAAAAGCAGAAACTGATGAAGCAGCCATAAGCCTGTTGTACATAAAGCCCCTATACATGGGTGCCAGGGGAGGGTGGGTCAACTCCTTTCTGGGGCTGTCTGCTCACATGTGGTTGCTCATTTTAAAATGAGATTAGCTGAGAAGATATACATTCAAGACGCTGGCATAGTGCTCTGCATATAGGACCTTAACAAATGTATTGTTTTTTTTTCTCTCTCCTTTTACCCCTCCCATGTTAAAATGGTCTCTGAATCAAGGTTATGGTGAAGACCACAGGAATTTTGGGAAGACAAACATCCACTAACATTCATTATTCATTTATTTTATTCAACAAGCAATTATTGAGCAGCACAGCATGCCGGGCATTGAGTTAGGTGAAATCCAAAATGATTTAAAAAAAAAAAAAAAAAAGACCTAGTCACTGTCAATAGTCTAGAAGTCTAAACTCTGTGTGTGGGGGGTGCATCTGTGTCTGCTGGGAGGTACAGGGGCCTTGTGCAGGCTGCTACCTCATTATGGTGTGAACCCAGAAAATCTGAGCCAGGTCTCAGTTAATTTAGAAAGTTTATTTTGCCAAGGTTGAGGATGCACCTGTGACACAGCCTCAGGAAGTCCTGACAACATGTGCCCAAGGTGGTCAGGGCACAGTTTGGTTTTATACATTTTAGGGGGACATGAGACATCAATCAATATATGTAATAATTACATTGGTTCTGTCTGGAAAGGCAGGACTACTTGAAGCAAGACTGGAAGACTCAAGCCGGGGAGGGAGCTTCCCAGTCACAGATAGGTGAGACGGTTGCATGCATTCTTTTGAGTTTCTGATGAGCCTTTCCAAAGGAGGCAATCGGATATCCATCTGTCTCAGTGCCCAGAGAGATAACTTTGACTAGAATGGGAGGCAGGTTTGCCCTAAGCAGTTTCCAGCTTGAGTTTTCCTTAGTGATTTTGGGGGCCCAAGATATTTTCCTTTCACAATGGTAACGAGTAAGCTCATGGCACTCATTCATATCTCCTGTCCAAGTAGATCAAAGGAGAGCCAGAGACTTCTGGGGTGAGAGAGTACTGCTCTGCCATAGGAGCCTTGGGTTTGGCCCTGGTCCTGTCTCTGAGTAGTTGTGTGATCTTGGGCAAGTCACTGTGCCCCATGGGCCTTCAGGCCAGCAGCAGAATGCAGCAGGTTGGCAGCCTGAAGCAAGTAGGGGAGGCCATCTCCTGCATCAACATGTTCACATTGTTCATTTTGTGGTTGCAATCAAATGGGATGATAGGAAGAATTCTGCTCCAGGCTCTGAGTTACAAACATTGGATGAGATGATCTCGCTTCTTACAGCTCCAGCATTCAAGAATTGAAGGACACAAACCACCCGCCACTCGGCCCTATGTTCTTCCCAGTAGAGTTAATCTTCCATGGCAATAATTACATGAGTAAAATAACATGACAACATTAACCTTTGAAAAAAGACAGATTTTATTTCTATGTCAGTGAGTCATAGACCTTTTGAGAAAGCATTTGGTGAAGCATCAAGTTACAAAGGAAGAATGAACCACTGCTAGAACCAGCCTGGACCTAATGCCAGAAGCTCCAGGGCAGGCAGTAACCTGGTTTTCTCATTAGAGTTGGGTCATGGACACTCATCTCTGCTGATCTCTCCTCCAAAGTCCATTTGTTCATTGGATGTACTGTGTACAAACACTGCACTGGACATATGTCCTTTGATAAGGAAGAATTTGGGGGTACTGGCTGCCAGGAGAGGTTCCATTTCCTAACTACATCAAACTGTCTTCAAGGCTGTCCCCAGGTCCTCTCCTCTCCTGTCCTGAATTTGGGGAGTTAAGACTTCCAGGGTCCTTTGGACAGGACTCTGACCCAGGAGACAGGCCTCATGGCAGATACTGCTGTCCTGACTTCTAACAATAGAGTGAACAGCAGGGTCGGGTCCTGGAGATGGAGACTTGCTCAGGGTGACATGGCCCCCAAAGCCCTATTCAGACCTTTCTGGCTCAGGAAACAGTCCAGACATGACAACCCTTGAGGGGGCCCAGCAGAGATATCCAGTGGGGGCTAAATCTATTTGTAGTCAGTTTTCCCAACTGCGCATTTTCATGAAGCCTGCCAGCAAGGAGTGCCTTTTAAAAATCACCTGCATATTGTGCACATGTACCCTAAAACTTAAAGTATAATAATAATAATTTAAAAAAACACCAAGAAAAAAAAATCTGTGTAAGGAAGCCTTAGTAGGTATCTCCTCTCTCACCCCAGAGTAAGGACCGAAATCAATTCTCAGGAGGGGCCATGACATCTTCCACTTCACATCCCACATTCTATACCTTTCTCCAGGCCCAAATTGACAAGAGATAGGAAGGAAGTGAAGGGGCCACTGAAGCAAGGTGGATGATCAGGTGGCAGATACCAATGCTCACCTCCTGGGCTCCTGCAGTGCTGCCATGGTCCCTGATCCAAGAGAGGGCAACACTCCACAGACAAGATATATAGGGGCACACACACAGATACATGCACACACCAACAGACATGCAGACATACATCAACACACTCAAGACACACCCAAACACACAGTCTTTGTAGTGGACACTAGGATGCACTACCCACATATGCCATTAGTAATGAGGGACTTACTTTCCCTGCTGCTGGTAGTGCCAGAAGTCAGTCCTCAGCTGAGGGAAAGGAGACTGCCTTGCCCAGGTCACATCTCTTCCAGGGAAGCTGGCATTCAGTGGCTGGTTATGGAGGTAATGAGGGCCTGGTCTCCTTGCCCAGCTCGGGACATCAAGGTCATCCTAGCTCCAGAGTTCCCATGGAGTTGGCTGAGGCCTTCCTTGGGACTACATGTTAGCTCAAGTTCTCCCTCTGTACATTCTACTTTTGTCCTTTCTCTTCCACAGGCATTGGCCCCAAAGGCACCCCCTAAAAAGGTGCTAAACTCAGTCTCAAGGTCGCTTCTCAAAGGATCAAGAGTGCAATGCAGATACACACCCATAAACAAAGACACACACAGACATACTCACACACATACACAGATACACACACACATTCCTCAAGGAAACCAAAGAGTGAGAGGTAAGAAGAGAGTTTGCCCTGTGATTACAGCTGCGTGACACAATCACTTTTATGATATGAATTTATCAGGCTTTTTCTTTCAAATGTTCACTTTTTTAAATCCAAAGTGAACATTTCATTATTATAATGAGAGAGAGAAAAAATAAAGGTATTTGGAAAACTATTAATAAAACCAGCTCTTCACAAATAACTCTCTATGCACAGGCCCTAATCCTCTAAGAACTTGTGGTTTTGCTTCAGACCTTCTACTGTCTTTGGGAAAATCTCTAGTGTCCCAGTTTATCACCACCAAAGATATGCTGCATTCTTTCCTGACCCCCCACAAATTAGACCTTGAGTTTCAAAGATCTGGTCTACTAGCTGCACTTGTTTTAAAATTGTTATTCATCAAAAACACGAGGAACAGCTGATCAAAGTTCAGAAGCGCTCCATAGAAGTAACATTCCGACCTCAAGTGGATTTTATTCCAGCCCCAAACAGATAGGGTTTCTGAAAATAAGAAGGGCTTAGGAAACCTTATTCCTGCCGTTGAGGACCTCTGGAAATCATAGATTCTATATTTTCATACCCCTGCTTCTGGGCAAGGCTTCACCCATCACACAGATGTGGATGGTCTCCTCAAGGGACCAGCAAAGTTTTGCTCTTCCTTGATGGGAAATCCTTCCTGTGTGCAGCTGGAATTTCCACCATGAAACTTCAGTCTGTTTTATTGTTTTTGTGTTTTTGCTTTGACCTCACTAGGGGTCAGCAGTCTGCTAGCACTTCATCATTGTGTCATGGACTAAGTGAGAGCACCAGGGCCTTGGAGCTCCACCAACTTGGCTCTGAGTCCTGCCGTGCTACTAACTAAGTAGACTGAATCCGACTGGGCCTCTGCCTCCTCTTCCTTAAGATGGGATAACAATTATAACAGTCCCAGCTGTTGGAGGGATCAGGGTGATTAAATGAGAAGGCATTCCATAAACTTTGTCCCTTAAGCCTTCATTTCTTGGCCTTGAGTTGCAAATTCCTTCATCCTTTTATTTTTCTCCAGTCCTTCTTCATTCTTCTTTACTGGCTTTTGATTTTGTTTCCCCAGGGCCTGACACTGCAGCAGGCACGTGGTGAGTGCACAATAATTAGGTGTTGAATGACTGAATGGACAGATAGCACCAGGAGGGGTGCTGTAGAGGAGAGGCCTGTACTGAAAGGGAGGTCACCGCGAAGGTTCAATGGTACAGAGAATTGATGAACACTTTTTCTAGAATAGGAGAAAGACATCTCCTTTGTTGCTTTCCCCTCACCAACTTGCCTCTGCTTCCATCCCTTGCTCCTTGCTACTCCTTCATTCTCCAAGTTTCTGGCCCTCAATCTGCACGTACTGTGAGTCCCAGGTCTTTTCCTCTCCCACAGATCTCGCAACTCCATTCCAGTCTTTCTGTTGCTGCCTTCCGGGCTCAGCTCCTCCCTTGCAGACCCTGGGGAATCTGGGCGCCCAGACTGCCCTCTCCCATCTATCCTCCTTGGTGCAGCAGAGCCTTCCCTCTAAAGAGCAGCGCTGTTCATCCCTCTCCTTCCCAAGCCCTCTCCTCCCCTCACATGGCACACAGAGCCCTTTAAGACTTCCTGGCTTCCACTGCCCACCACCCCACCTGCACCTCGTGTGTCCTGTTCTCCATACACATCGTGAGCTTCCACATCTCTACCCTTTTCATTTGTGTTTCCTGTGCCCCAAAGGCCCTCTCACAACCTCCTTGCCCACCTAGTTACTCCTGCTCTCCTTGAAGATTCTGACCAGCACGGTCTCACCCAAGCCCAGAGTCTGACTTAGGGGCTCCACTTCTGTGCTTCCCCAACACCCGCTGCCTCCTTCTGTCATGCCACTTGGCACTACAGCATTGTGCCTATTGGTTCTCTTATTCAGATTCTCTGCAGGGACAGTGTCTCATTTCTTAGTGTGTCCTAGCACCTAGCACAACCTCTGGTATTTAGTAGAATCTCAATAAATATGGAGCAAATGAATGACTAAATGAATGAATGATTATATGAATCCTTCTCTGCCATTGCCCTTTTTGAGGCGCCTTGGTGTGGGACAGATCCTCACCAGTCAGACAGGCCCCACTGTGTGAGGGCAGCTAGTGAGTGTGGGAAAACCACTTTGCTATACTGAATTTCTTTTCAGCTATGAGAAACCAAGAATACACCAGAGGATCTCACTTCCCTTGACTCTCTTCTTGCTGCAAAGGGTGGCTCCAGGCTTCATATCTACCACTGGTCTCTTTTCTTGGGCTGGGGTTGTAGGGTGCAGGTGATAAGCCACTGGAATTCCCACATCCTTCTCTGTTTCCCTCCTGCCTACCTCCCCTCTCCTCTCTCTCTCTCTCTCTGGACCAGTTGCCGAGTACTCAGCGTCCAGCTTGCATAACACGAATTCTGTCATCTGAGTCACTCCAATTTCTGCCTGATGACTGAAGATCATTTCAAACATTCTCTGAGCTCAATTTGCAGTGCCCAGCAGGGAGTGTATCACTGAGTCACGATGTAACATATCCCTTTCCTGAGCTTTCTGTGGAAGGCCAATTAAGCTTTTGCTCCAGAAGCCACAGAACTCCTGAGATGCACAGGAAGGACAGGCTCTGCCAGGACCGGCAGATGTCCACACCCAGGGGGGCCCACAAGACCCAGAAGAACCCTCTGCAGGCCCTGGAGGGGTCAGTAGAACCTCCAGAACTCATCTAGCCCATTGCCCTGACCTTCCTCAGCATCACAGTCATAGTTTTGGTTGCCTTCACATTCTATTAATTGAATTTTTACTTGTATCTAACCTAGATCTTTCATGCTGCAGTTGCTTTTATCTCCATATTTTCTTGTAAAAGTCACTTAGGGCAAGGCCTATCCTAGACAAAATTGTGTGCTAGGACTTTAGATGCATGATTCCCCCACTTCCCTTCTTTCTGGATGCTTTACCCTCCCCCTGTCCCTGTTCTCCATAACAAGTGCCCTTATGTTACCCAGGGACCATTTCTTTTTGGAAGAATTAATCCACTCCCATGTATTACTGATGTCATACCCATCAATCACCCCCAGGACCTATTTTCTCTGTAGAAGGGAGTACAGGGGTAATGAATTTGTGCACCTTAAAAGCTTATATTCCTAATGGTGAAAATTTAGACACTAGAGTGCCCAGGATAATTTGGAACAAAGTAGACCAGGAACACCAAGTCAAGGTCTTAGAATACTGGGGCTGGGAGAGAAGGTTGATATTATCTAGTCCCATGTCTTCTTTACACAAATGAGGAAGCTGAGGCTCAAAGAGGTCTTCACCTGGTCACTGGCAGCATCAGCATTAAAACCTAGTCTTCTGTTTCCTACTCTAGCGGTCTTTCCATTGTAAACATAGTTAACCTTTCTTGAGCACATACTATATGCAAAGTATGGTTTTAATCTTTTTACAAGTATGTATTCATTTTTTTAAATCTTCACAACCCTGTGAGGTAGGTGTTATTATCCCCATTTTACAGAAGATGTAACTGAGGCCCAGACAGATTATGTCAGTCTCTCAAGGACACAAACTGGGAGGTGGCAGAGCCTCTGCTCATACCCACAACATTCTGCTCATGCAGCCTCATCAACCGGATTTCACGAAGTTCCTTGAAGCCTTGTTGCAACGGCAATTTTCTACCATGTTCCTTTTTTTTTTTTTTTTTCTGTCAGGCATCTGTGCCTTCTCACTACTAAACATGCATCTCACATTCCCCACCCTGGCCTTAAAGGCCACCAACACCTCATTGAAAACCCTTGTTCCTCACAGGAGGTGCTGCTGATCCCTGACAGACCCGCCTGTTTGTACCCCTCTCCTGTGGTTGGTTGTCACCAGGGCTGTTATTAAAGCCAGAAATAGGATGCAGAGCTCTAGTCCTCCTCCAGACTTCTCACCCGGGAAGTTCCCACATGGCTGTGATATCATGGCATCCCCTCCCCCTCCCATGATGTCATTCCCACAGCCCAGCTCCCTCCCCTCCCCTCCCCAGATTTCCACCTGCACCCAAGCAGGAGTCACAGATCATCTCACATGACTAGGAACAGTTAAGAATGAGACCTGTGAGAAGTAGAATCTTTCTTTGGTTGGGGCCAGAAACTATTCCCTCCCATCTGCCTCTGCCCCTCCCAAGAGGATAATTCATCCTGGCTACCACATGTTAGCCCCTCATCTGCCTGGGAGTGAGGTGGGGGACTTCACATACAACTCCTTCTTCCTCTTCCCTCACCTCCTCTTCTTCACAGGACCAGAGCCAAGATCCTTCCACTCTGAAAACTCCTACACCCATGTGGCATCTCAAATCAGCTGTGTGTTTGTCTGGAGTATGTGTCTTTGTGTGTGTGTGTGTGTGTGTGTGTGTGTGTGTGTGTGTGTGTGTATGTGTATGTGTGGCTGAGCTGTAGACCTGTGGAGGACATGAAATCAGTCCATCGTTGGGAAGTTGGTTGAAAATAAACTAGGTTCCCGGGCATAGGATGGATGCTGGCACCAGCTTTAAATGGGCCTGTTGCCTTTTTCCTCACATCCAGAGCAGTGAGGCTCTGGGTGTAGTCCTGGCATCAAGATTGGGGAAGGGATGGCCACGGGCCAAGGGCTGTGTTCTATGCAAAGCATGCATATTGACTAGATTACATCTTGCAGACATGGGATGCAGAGAGCCAGATAGGACTTCTTGTTGTTCCCCAACTTTTCTTTGTTAGCATGCAGGCTCACAGCACTTTTCAAGTGTGATTCTGTGCTAGACACTGTGCTAGGAGCTAAGCATACACATAAGGGAAGAAGGGTTACAAAATTTAATCCATTACAACTCAGATATGAGAGAAAATGAGCTCTATTATCGAAAATGAATTTGGGATTCTTTCCCAGAAAAATAGGTGAAGGGTGGGGGAAAAGTAACTAAACGTCCAAACTGGTTTAGAGCTTGATCTCATCCAATAATGCCACAGCCCTTTTTGGAAATGCCAGTCTCCAAAACAAAGCTGCTCAGTCTCCCACATTATCCCTCTGTCCTCCTAGTCCTCTTACTCAGGTGGAAGAAAGAAGGAGGGGGCTTTATGTAACATCATGGTAGAGGGAGAAGTTTCAGAGTTCTCCAGCCCCTTTGGTCTACAGAGCCACACCCTTGTCCTCATGTCTGGTCTTTGTTCTGTTGGCATTTTAAGCCAAATCTGTGCCTTGTATACTTTGTGATCTAGTCTCTTTCTTTGGATTTGGTTAGAGCCCATGTCTCCCACCTTTCCAGGTGGACTCAGCCTCACTTTGGCCCTGCTGATGTTATGGGCCTCATAAAGTTGAGCCATGACTCTCATCAGGCCCAGCCTGCATGGTGGTATCCACGGCCTTGCCCCAGGTCTATGGTGGCCTGCTGTTCAAGACTCCACAGAAGGGCCCCTGGCTACTTCTAATTCTTGCCTTTGCCATGAAGCAGCCAAGGATAGTTGGGTCAGCAAAGCCCTACTTTAGGAGTTCCTTCTGCCTGTTTATGCTACAGACTCCTCCAGCCTGCCAGGTTGCTTCTAAGTCTGTCTTGTCCAATGTCAGTAAATTCTTAACGGGATGGTGTATTAGTCATGTTTTTATCAGCAGAATCGATTTTAGTGCTTGGCACATAGTAAGAGCTTTGTAAATGTTTGTTGGATAAATGAATGAGTGAAATGTGTTTGGCTGGGGCTCCACATTACGAAGGCCACATAGCATCCTTTGGATAAAATTAGCATCTCAGAGAGAGATGACAGAAGTTTCCAGAACAATTGGAAGACAAGTTGTCTATGAGAGTAGCTAGTTTTGTTGAAAAATCACCAGGGGTCAGGCACTGTGCCAAGGGCATTACAAACACATTTTCCTACTTGAAGTCTGCAACAACCCTTTGAGGTAAGGGGTGGGTGTACTATGATTATCGTCATGTTACAGATGAGGATACAGGCCCAGAAATGCTCAGTAACTTGCCCAAGCACACACAGCTGGAAGTTGGCAGAGTTTGGACTAGAAATCCATAGCTAAAGCATTGTGTGCCCTCCTTTCAGCCTGGAAACATCATAGGAGTTTCCAGTAGATGGGTCTCCTAGGACTCAAAGAACTATTAGAACTGTAAGAAATCCCAAACGGAATGAAATTCTGACCTAATGGAGCCTAAGAATCAGCAGGAGCCCAAGTCCCAGTTTAAAAAGTAAAGAAAAGACAAGTATAAATACAAGGAAGAAATTCTGTAAAATCAATGCTTTAAACAAGGTCAAATAATTAATGTCTTCCAGCAGCTTCCATCCTCTGAGAAGGGCCTGACCTGCATGCCACCATGTCCCTTCAAGTGCAGGCAGACAGGGAACTCAGGATAATGGCTCCTTGAGCATGGCTAATGTATGATGGAAATGCATCTTTCTCCTCTGGGGCTGGCAATGTAATTTCATACTAAATTTACTGTGGTTTATGTAATTCTTTTCATTCACAGCAGAAGGAGTTTCTTTGCTGCTTCCCTTTTCAGAAACTTGGAGACCATATATCTTTGCAAAGTGGATTTTTAAAAATAAAGAAGAAAAGATTAAATCAGAGAAGCTCCCAAGTTTTCTGCCTTCTGCCTGGACCAGCTTCCTGTGCTTCTTCCTTTCCAAAATTGATGTGGTAAATGTTATTGCAGTAGCACTGGCTCAGAAAAGCCCAGGCCTTCCAAGAATGTAACCTTCATGGAGAAATTCTGCGACTCTTTCTCCTCTTGGGAGGCTAGAGAGGTAAGACGTAGAAGGAGAGAGAGAAAAAGAGACACGGAGAAATTTGCCTTGTTAGTGGCTTTCAGGAGAACAAGGCCAGAAGACACAGAGTCCCGGACCTTATCCACGTGAGTCCCTCTTCTTTTTCCACTGTCTGTCACCTGAGCCTTTTCTTATTGCTTCAAAGGCCTTTGCTTGTCAGTCTCCAAAGTGCCCAAGCCCCTTTGTGTCCTAGAAGAATGTACCTCCTTCTATCCCTCAAAGAAGGCAGGCCTGAGCCAGGAGATTGGGCAGAGGAGGGGCAGGTCAGACTCATGGGTGGGTGTCAGAGTCCTGATGACTGGAATTCTGAGGAGTTTGGACATCTCAGTGATCCTTTAAAAAAATCCCTAAAACTTAAAGTATAAAAAAAAAAAAAAAAAAAAATCCTTACTGCCTCAGTCCCCGAACAGGAAATTCTGATCTTGAATTGATCTTAGAATAAAATCCTCCCCCAAACCCCAAGAAGCCCTATAGAATCTTCTTTCTGTCTTTTTTCTGACCTCATCTCATGCTATTCCATCTCATGCCATTGCCTTACACACCTGGCCCTGTGATTTTCTTTCTGCCTCTTTAACACACTAAGACCTTTCCTACCTTTAAGGTAGCTACTCTCTTTCCTTGGAATGCTCAGCTCTGCACTCCTTTGGCTGGCTGCATCTTGAGCTTTGGGTAGACTCCTAATTGCCTTCTTGTCAGAGAGATTTCCCCAAATATCTGCTCTTAAAACAGGTCCCTATCTCTCTCACTCTGTAGTCCCTTGCTTTTAAAATTTCTTTCATGGCACTTTGCACAACATATATGATCTTTATATATAACATGCCTGCTGTCTGATTCCCCCACTGGAATATACATTCCCCAAGACAGAGATCATGTCTTGCTTGTCCCTGCTAAAGCTGCAGTGCCTAGCACAGAGGTCATATTCAATTGACATTTACCAAATGAACAGCTGAATTCCAACTCCCTATTACTTCCATGGCTGCCTTCCCTATAGACTGTGAGCTGCCTGAAGGCAGGGACTGTCTTTCTTCTCTACGTCCTCCATACATAGCACAGATCCTGGAGTAGAAAAGACCCTCTGCACATGTTTGTGAATAAAGGAAAATCTGCATCAGACTTTCTGCTCAAAATGTCTGCAGATGAGTCTCTCTGATCAGTAAGAGATCAGGAAAGCAGAGCAGGCCAGCCAGACAGTAGGCCATGTGTGAGTGTCCAATTATCAGATGACTTCATCTCCAGATGAGTTGAAAAGAAAGTGATCATCGGAAGCAGTCACAGCCCATTGAATCTTTCTTTGGCATTTGTATCACAGTTATGCATCTGCTCTTGGTCCTTCTACCATGCCTGCTCCTGAAAGCTGAGGTTTGGTGTTGGGTTTTTGTGAGGGTGTTTTTCCCTGCTCATTGCTGGAAGGGATCTTGACAAGTTTCTAGTATCTGGTCCAACTTTTCAGTGAGCAGAAAAATCTCTGCTCAGTCTCAAAATTCTTCTAGTGGCAAGGAATGCACCACCTTGAGAGTCAGAACCCCCAGGACTGTGTGGCCATGGGGTTTAGCAATGCCTTGCTCAGGGAGATCCCAAAATTGCCTTGTTGTGACTTTACCCTTTGGTCGCAGCTCCCCGACCAGGGATTACCTTCTATGGGATGGCCCAGTAGATATGGGAGCTGAATACTGAGCCTTTCTTTCACTCCAGCCAATTAGTCTACTCCAGAGACACTTGTCCATTCCTGGGTTTCTCCCCACTCTAACTGACATGCTCTTGCCCAAACTCAATTAGTAGGAAGTGGGTACCCAGTCTCTTCAATTCCCTCTGTGGCATTAGAGGTATCTCTCAGCCATGAGAAGAAATGAAGGGCTTTTCTGCTTTCTTGATTGGGGGTGACAAAGAAACCAAAAGCGAAGAGGTTGTGGAATTTTAATGTCATTTTACACATCACAATCTTTTGTCTGTAACTCTGCCTCCCTTGCCAAAATAGTAACTGGAAGCCTCAATGAGCACCTACTTTCACTATCTTGAGAGTAGGATTCGTAATACTCTCCTTTCTTCTACCTCTTCCATCTTAGGCTCCTCATCCCAGAAGATGTTGCCGTTAGGCATGCCCTAGTCTCAGGTGGGCAGTGTACCTTTCCAAAAAGCTCTATATAAGGGAGCAGCCAACTGCTGATTTTCCCCTCCAAGGAATGGCCCCACTGAACAGATTTCCTCACAGCCCCTCCCTCCTTTTAGGTGAGGTTAGCAGCTCTACCCCTAAATCATTCTCAAGTTCCACGGTCTCAAGTCCCCCTCTTGCCTGGTTATGTCCCTCTTGTCACTGTCTAGCCCATCAATGTCAGAATAATGGTGACTTGATGTTATGAGATGGCATTATGATGGTGCAATATGCCAGCAAGACAAGAATACACAGAGCATGCCTTCAAACAATCTCTTATCTTCGTAAGTTTCTGTAATCATATGCTTGAGGTAATATATAGCAAAATACTATAAACTGAGTGGCTTAAACAACAAACACTTATTTCTTACCATACTGGAGCCTGGGAAGTCCAAAATCAAGGTGCTAGGCTATTTCGTTCCTGGTGAGGGCTCTCTTCCTGGCTTGCAGGCAGCTGTCTTCTTGCTGTGTCTTCACATAGTAGAGAAAGAGAGAGGTGGAGAGAGACAGGGAGAGGAAGAGGGAGAGGGAGAGGGAGACAGAGAGAGAGAGAGAGAGCTCCAATCCTCCAGTTTTTCTTATTATAAAGGCACTAATCCCCTCTGAGGACACCATCCTGATGACCTCATCTGATACATGTAGACGAAGCAAAGAAGAGCAAACCCTAGTGCAGATCTCAACCGAGCAAAACCAGTGCAGTAGAAAACTCCTTTTGTCAGGCCCAGGCCAGAGTCAGTGTAGAGCCCAGAACCAGGGCAACTCCCACAGTCTGCCTGGTTCCTTATCTTCTCAGTGGGCACACTTGAGTCTCAGATACTTGCCTCCAAGGAGAGAAATGACAGATCCAATACCACCCACCAGCACCAGGAAAAAAGGACCAAGAGACAGAGCAAGAGAGACTGGTGGTGCTGATGTGCAGAGTAGGACTGGTTCTGGCCTCCTGTTCCAGGTCTTCTTAGGCTTGGTCGGTGGCCCTGGAGCCTAAATCAGTCATGTGGGAAGAGAGGGAAGGAAGAGAGAAAGTCAGAGAAGAGAGAGAGCTGGGAATAGGTATGGTCAAGAGAAACTGAAAAAAAAAGGACAAGACCACACCCATGTGTCTGGACATAGTAATTCTTTCATAAGGTTTTACCCCTTGAAAATATGACTCAATTAGATGACCTTGAACTTGACCAATCCAAACTCTGGGGGTCGGAGGTACAGTTAGGGCAAGGCCTGAGGGATCCAATGTTATTCCTGGAAGCCCAAAATCTATATCCATTTAAAGGAGAGATACCCATAACTGCATTAGTCTTTATATTTGGTCATTTTTACCTCCCTTGACCTCCTGGCACAATAAACATATGCGACTTAAGACTGCTTTAGATCTTTTGGTAGCTGCATCTCACTGTTGGGTTATTCTGAGTTTATATATATTCACCCAAACCCCCAGTTACTTTTCCTATGAAGTGCTTTCAAGTCAGCTCCACCCCACCCTGAAATTGTATAAATGATCATTTGCACCTTCATTTGGAAGTTCACATTTGTCTCTGCAAAAGGTTGTCATGCTGATTTTGGCCTATCATTGAAACCCACCAAAATTATTTTGAATTGTAATTTTGCTGTACAACATATGAACTATTTCTGCCTTCTCCACTTTACTGAAATTTTCAATGCAGCGTCTCAAGAGTTGCTGCTCAAACTAAAAATGTCCTACTTAGCATTCATCCAGCTGCCTCCTTCACTGCTTCCAAAACAGAGCTCAAAGCTAAACTCTCCCAGGAAGGCTTCCAAGATTAAATGGGGGCAGAAATGAGGCTCCTTCCTTCTAGGACAAGAGGGAACTCCACAGAGCTGCATCTCAGAGTGGCCCGGGGCTACTTGTGGATTTCAAAGAGGAAACTCTGTTCTTAGAAATGAAGAGCACAGAATGTGAAACTGCATAATGTCAAATGTGCTGCTTCTGGGGAGAGTCTTGTGTCCTCAGACACCAGGTGCCTCATTGGCCCCAAAAGAGATACTCATCCCTGCCTTCATGCCATACCTTCTGGGCTATTAAAATACTTACCTCTTCCTGAGAGAGAAAGGAGTTGTCCAAGAGCCTGCTCTGTAAGTTCTCAACCCTCCCAACCCCAGCCTGCAATCAGAGGAAACAGTTTGACCATTCTGGCTCATGAAAGGCAGTAAAGCTTGGAGGTCAAGTGCTCAGATCCTGGAACCAAATGGCTCTGGGTTCAGATACTTGCTATGCCGCTTATTAATGGTTTAACCCTGGGCAAATGCTTCTGCTTTCTAAGCCTCCATGTCTCCTCATCTATAATACAAGACACTTCACAAGTCCGACCTCTAAAGGATAAAATGAAATGACAACGGTAAAGTCTGGTGCAGAGGGCTCATCACATGGGAGGGAGGCACTCAACAAATGAGAGTGCTCATCATTGTGTGGTCACACTTTCCTTACCTCGTCTCTGATTACAAATCTGTGACAAGTCTCAGTTATTGGCACTGAGTTCCTACTTGCCCAGCTGGCCACAGTGTCTACTTAAAATAGATGTTTTATCAAAAGTACAAGTGATCAATAAGCATTATGTTCTGAAACTGGGGAATCAGTGAAGTTAACTGAGCTGCCTTTCAGTGTCTCTAAACAATTGCTATTTCAGTTATCTGTTGCTGCCTAAGGAACTAGCCCCAGACTCAGCAGCTTAAATTACAAGGATTTAATACCTTTTCATGAGTCCATGGGCTGGCAAGGCTCAGCTGGGTGGTTCTTCTCCATATGGGGTTGGCCAGGGTCATGTGTGTAGCTGCCTTCAGCTGGGAGCTGAGCTGGATCACTCTCAATGGCTTTACATGTGCCATGTGCTTTAGCTGGGGTTGCTGGAACAGCTTGGCCTGGCTGAGCCATTCTCTTTCGACACAGCCTCTCCTAATTTAGTGGTGCCTGGTGACCACTGTTACATGTTGGCTGGATCCTAGAAGGGTGAAAACAGAAGCTGAAAGGCCCCTTAAGGCCTAGGACTGGAAATTACACTGCATAGCTGCCGCTGCATTCTGTTGGTCAAAGCAAGTCATGGGATTGGCCTAGATTTGAGAGAAGAGGAAATGGAATCTACTTCCTTATGGGAGGGACACACATATACAGAGATGGGAGAGATTGTTGGTGGCCACCTTTGCAGAAAATCTACCACATCCCTCTGCTCTGATTTCTCTTCCAGTCTCTTTATGTGAACCATGCAAACAGGTGCTACCCAGAGGACACCAGCCATTGGCTCTGGCCCTGGCTTCCTCCATTTCCCAATCTCACTTGCACGTGGCCTTTGTGCTTCTACCACTATTTGCTTCTTCACACTTAGCTCCTCATGTTCACCCTGGGCAGAGAGAGAAATGGTGGTAATTTCTTCTAAGCATATTCTCTCAAACTGGCACTTTTACAACATACTTCCTTTGGAAAGATGTTGACCTGACATTTCTTAAGACCATGATGGAATGACATTAGAGACAGCAATAAAAAATATGAACATGGCACATAGAGAAAGTAGCAGAGGTGGCACCTATTCTAGGTGTTTTGCACTGTCTGATCTTGTGGAAAAATCTACGTAGATCCAGCAATAAAGTGCCAGGGCAAGGATGCCCCTGCTTTTTGAGACAACCTGTGTCCTGTCCCTGGGCAGAAAACAGCCTCAGCCAAGAGGAAAGACAAAGTGCCTCCTTGCAGCCTCTGGACCTACACTCAAGACAGCCAATGCACCAACTCCAGTGTGTAGAGGGGCTAAAGCTTTATGCCTCATCCTAAAAGGGCTCCCTTTCATTTCTCCACAAGGAGGTAAGGAGTGCCTTTCTCCAAAGTCCGTTTCCTATTTGCTTCCACTGAAAAGATGGCTCAGTAATCTCTTGGATCTGGGCGGGATGCTGCTGCTGCTGCTGCTGCTGATAAACAAATAATAAAACAATAGTGCTTACTGAACACTTTATATGTGCCAGGCACCATACTAAGTGCTTTCAATGCACTATTATTTAAAACTTACACATTCGTAGTAATTTGCCAAGGTCACATAGCTCACAGTCAGTAAGTGGCCAACCCTGGCTTCAAACCCAGGTCAGTCTAATGCTGGAGACACAATACCTTCACCATCAGACCAAGCACAATGCTTCTGGAATCATTTCATCCAGAAGCCCCTGCCCAGTGCCAAGTGCCAACTCCTGTCTCAGATAGAACTGGACTGTCAGCTGCTGCTGAAGTCAGCATACCCAAAAGCCTGCCCAGGCCCAAAGACAGCATGGGACACGAAGCTCCAGACTCAGGTTCTAATTAAACAGAGTGCAATTTCCCTGAAAGGTTTGAGAGAAGAACCCAGAGAAGACATAAAGGGAGCACAAACAGCAAGGCAGGCAGGATGCCTTGGAGATGGGAGCTTCAACCTGTTTCACAGGCACAGGTTCCTCCTAGAGCCTCCACTAGCTCCTGTTAGCAGCATCCTCCTCTGCTATAGAAGGAGGAAGCATCATTTTCCCAGTGCCTACATGAGGCTTCAGGCACCTTCTCCTTTAGCTTTACTCTGGCTCCCAATGCCAGACCCATGGGAAGCTCCTGGGCTGGAACTGTGGGACTGGGCTCTAAGGAGACTACCATTTTGATTAGCCCCCTCTACTGCCACATCTTCCCAAACCACCAGAGAACCTCTGCAGGCCTGATTCTGGCTTCTCAGGCAGCTGCCATACAAACAAATTTTTGTGTTTGGCTCATTACCAGCCCTGCCACCCTCCAATGAAGCAGATCTAGCTAGTTTTACATCTAATTTGCATGACAACCTACACTTTTGCCTGGGAGGACCCTCCACTAAGTTTCCAGGTTATTTTCCTTTTGTTCTGATGGGCACCGCTCGGTCTAAAGAACACTAACAAATGCACTGATTTCAACCTAGAAGGCAGTCTCCCTGGAGTTCCTAGGGTCTGTGTCACCAACTCTATCTCTCTTTTGTTTCCTAAGTATTTATTGTTGAATGTGACATATGTAACAGAAAGTGACTTAAAAATGTACAGCTCAATTAATTACCACAAAGCAAACATCCACAGAACCACCACCCAAATAAAAATGGAAGAGTGTCCCAGAAGACCCCTCAGGCCTGCTACAGGTCACCCTCCTGTCCCCCGCTGTGATAACTACTGGCCAGATTTTTGTGGCTAGTATTTGCATTTCTGAATTTTATCACTTAATCAGGCATCTCTACATACTACTATGCATGTCTTCATTTTACTTGCATTGCTTAATTTTACTTATTTGCATTTTTAAATTGTATCATTTCATCCGGCATCTCCACATACTATAGTTATTAGAATTATTAAAAAATGAAGTCATACAGTATGCTTTTTGTGTCAGGCTTGTTTTGATCAATGTTATGTTTATGAGATTTATATATATTATGGCTGGATTTCATCTATTTTCATTGTTATATCAAATTCCTTTTTTTTGTCTTTGAGACAGAGTCTCGCTTTGTCACCCAGGCTGGAGTGCAGTGGCGCGATCTCAGCTCACTGCAAACTCTGCCCTCTCTGCACTCCTCCCCCACCCCACCACCACCCACTTTAAGCAATTCCCCTGCCTCAGCCTCCTGAGTAGCTGGGACTGCAGGCATGTACCACCATACCCAGCTGATTTTTTTTTATTTTTAGTAGAGATGGGGTTTTGCCATGTTGGCCTCAAACTCCTGACCTCAAGTGATCTGCCCACCTCGGCCTCCCAAAGTGCTGGGATTATAGGCGTGAGCTACTGCACCCCACCTCAAATTCTTTTTTATAAATACAGCACAAATTATTTAACCACTCTTTTATTGATAGACATTTGGGTTGTTTCCAGTTTGGGACTATCACAAACAAAGCTGCTATAACCATTATTGAGCATGTCTCTTCGTGTTCATGTGGAATTGCCGGGTAACAGATATGTATGCTTGGTTTTGAGAGACATGCCAAACTATTCTCCAAGGGGATTATACCAATTTTCAACCCTACCAGTAGTGTATGAGAGTTCTTTTGCTCCATATCTTTGCCAAAGCTTATTATGGTCATTTCTTTTAATTGTAGCCATTCTGGGTAGTGTTCTCTTTCAGTATACTTCAATTTGCTTTCAATTTTTGCATTTCACTGATTACTAATGAGACTGACTTCCTTTTCCTATATTTATTGGGCAATTGAATATCCTCTTTTGTGAAGTGCCTACTGGTGATTCTTGCAGATTTTTCTATAAGGTTGTATATATTTTACTTACTGATTTGTAAGACATCTTTTTTATGTTATGGCAATGAAGTCTTTGTTGGTTATGTGTTACAAAATCTTTTCCATTTATGCTTGCTTGCCTTTTCGCTCTCTTAATGGTATGTTTTGATGAACAGAAGTTCTTAATTTAATGTGGTCCAATTAACTGATCTTTTATTTAGGCTTAGCAACTTTTTTGGGTCTTATTACAGTTAGATTTCCCTACCACAAGGTCATAAAAATATTCTATATTTTCTTCAAGGAGTCTTATGGTTTTGCTATTTCACAGCCTTAGCTGTTGTTGCCTTTGGGGTCTGGGGAATCTGAGGAGACTAGGGACTGGAGTGGTCCTCTGGCATGTGCAGCAGCTCTGGAGAGGTGGCCAACAGCTTTTTCATGCAGGTCTGATTCTGTTTCTCTTTACTGGGCAGAATCTCCTGTCTGAGGTCTATGACCACCCCCACCAGTGTTTTCCAGCCAGCAGTAGTTCCAAACCTCCCTGGGGTGAAGCTCCCAGAGGAAGGGGTGGGCTGCCATCTTTGCTCTTTGGCAGCCTTAGCCGTTCTGGCTTTCAGAACTTGGAGAGTGCAAGGTGACTGCGGGCTGGAGCAGACCCCTAGCACGGCACAGCTGCTGTATGAAAAAACCACCAACTGCTTTTTTACAGAGGTCCCCAGTCCCATTCCTTTTAACTGGGTGGGACCTCCTGACTGGGGTCTCCAGCCACCCCCTCCAGTGCGTTTCAGCCAGCAACATGTCCATATCTCCCTGGGATGGAGCTCCCAGAGGGAGAAGCAGGGTGCCACGTTAGTTGTTTCACAGCCTTCACTGTCGATACCTTCAGGTACTGGAAAATCTAAGGTGACTAGGGACTGGAGCAGACCTTCAGCATACTCCAGCAGCCCTAGGAAAAGTGGCCAGACTGTTCGTTACATGGGTTCCTGATCCTGTATCTCCTCACTGGGTGGGTCCTCCCAGCCAGGGTCTCCAGCCACACCCTGCTGGGGCTATTGAGCCAGAAGCAGCTCTGCAACAACCTGGACAGAGCTCCCAGTGGGAGGGGCGGGTTGCCATCTTTGCCATCTTGCAGCCCTGGCCCTTGCTGTCTCCAGGCTCTGGAGAGTCCACAGGGGCCAGGAGGTGATGGAACCCCAGCACAGAGCACCTACCTTATGGAAATTGGCCGGGCTATTCTCCACGCAGGTGCTGGTCCTCACTTCTCCTCACTGGTTAGGGCCACTAGACCTGGGACTCAACACTACCACCCTGTCCCCACCTGACCACTTCAATCAGAGGCAGCCCAGCATTTCTCCAAAGAGGAAATCCCAGAGTCAACCTACAATTCCTCTGCTACTGCAGTGGCAGTGCTACTGCCCTAACAGTGCTCAGGCTGGAGAAAGAACAAAGGGCCTACTCACTATGCTGGCACCTCCAGCACAACGCAGCTACCATACAGAAAGGATGGTAGTTCTTCTTCCCTGGGAACCCCCATCCCCCACTCCACTAGGAAGGGCTCCCAGGTCATGATGGCGAAACATTGCCCCACCCACGGCTGAGCATACCCACTAGTAGTGGCCCTGAGTTTCCCTGGGGAGAGGCTCCTGGAGGCATCTGACAGCCTATCTGCTACTGCTACAGAAGTGGTCCTATCCCTGCTGCCCTCAGTCTGGGGAAGAAACAAGAGTCTCAGGGCTACACCTGAGCTTACAGCATGCCACAGTCACCATACAGAGAGGAAACAAGTCTCTCTTCCTGATGAGCCCTTAACCCCCTGCTCCCCAAGCTCATGCCAGCAGGGCAGCTGCCCTACCCCACTTGCTGAACACTCCCAGTAACAGTGGGTCCACGTTTCTTGGAGTTGGAGCCCCCAGGGGAAACCGAAAGCCCCTTTGCCATTTCCTCTACAGTGGTACTGCCCATGCTACCCTTGGACTAATGAAGGAGCAAAGACCCTAAGTACCCTATCCACACCTCCAATAAGCAGCAGTCAACCCAAGAAGAGGTGGCCAGTCCATCTCCCACAGGTCCCACCCACTCCCCCTGTTCATCACCAGGCAGGGAATCCCCCAGCTTGGGCCCACAGCACAGACCCCCATCCTGTTCTGATCACATAGAGCAACTGCTGATCTGCATCTCTCTGAGGTGGAGTCCCCAGGATACAAGCAAAAGACCATTGGCCACAACCACTGCTAAGGTCCCTTTTCCTGCTGGCTCCAAGTTGGGGAGGAAACATAAACCCTGAGATCACCCTAGAGCTGTGATGGGCAGCTTGGGAGTGCCAAGCCATGATCTACAGTCAGCACTCAAGTGGGAGAGGGACCCACAGTTTCAAAGCATTGAAAGGGACTATGGCTGCAAATGTGAGGAAATATAGGGGAGCGACACAGCTGAGCAAGAGTCTACCTACTGACCACTATGCATAAATTAACAACTTAACATCACAACTAAAAGAAATAGAGAAGCAAGAGCAAACCAACCCCAAAGCTAGCAGAAGACAAGAAATAACATAAATCAGAGCCAAACTGAAGGAGATTGAGACACAAAAAAATATTCAAAAGCTGAACGAACCCAGGAATTGGTTTTTTGAAAAAATTAATAAGATGGGCCACCAACTAGACTAATAAAGAAGAAAAGAGAGAAGATTAAAATAAACACAATCAGAAATGACAAAAGGGATATTACCACTAACCCCACAGAAATACAAAAAATTATCAGAGACTACTACAAACATCTCTATGCACACAAACTAGAAAAACTTGAAGAGATGGATAAATTCCTGGACACGTACACTCTCCCAAGACTGAACCAGGAAGAAATTAACTCCCTGAACAGACCAATAATGCGCTCTGAAGTTGAATCAATAAGAAATAGCCTCCAACCAAAAAAAGCCCAGGACCAGAGATTCACAGCTGAATTCTACCAGATGTACAAAGAAGAGCTGGTATTAAAACTATTCCAAAAAGCTGAGGATGAGGGACTCCTCCCCAACTCATTCTGTGAGGCCAGCATCATCCTGATACCAAAACCTGTCAGAGACACAGCAAGAAAAAAAATCCTCAGGCCAATATCCTTGACAAACACAGATGCAAAAATCCTCAACAAAACGCTTGCAAACTGAATCCAGCAGCACATCAAAAAGCTAATCCACCACAATCAAGCACACATTATCCCTGGGATGGAAGGTTGGTTCAACATATGCAAATTAATAAATGTGATCCATCACATAAACAGAACTAAAGACAAAAACCACATGATTATCACAAGAGGGGCAGAAAAGGCTTTTGATAAAATTCAGTATCTTTTCATTCTAAAAACTCTCAATAAAGTATGTATTGAAGGAACATACCTCAAAATAATAAGAGCCATCTATGACAAGCCCATAGCCAACATTGTATTGAATGGGCAAAAGCTGGAAGCATTCCCTTGAAAAGGGACAAGACAAGGATGCCCTCTCTCACCACTGCTATTCAACATAATACTGGAAGTTCTGGGCAGAGCAATCAGGCATGAGAAAGAAATAAAGGGCCTCCAAATAGGAAGAGAGGAAGTCAAACTATCCCTGTTTGCAGACGACATGATTCTATATCTAGAAAACCACATAGTCTCGGCCTCAAGGATCCTTCAGCTGATAAACAGCTTCAGCAAAGTTTCAGGAAACATAATCAACATACAAAATAACTAGCATTCTTATACACCAACAACAGCCAAGCCAAGAGCCAAATTAGGAATGCAATTCCATTCACAATAGCCACAAAAAGAATAAAATACCTAGGAATACAGCTAACCAAGGAGGTGAAAGATCTCAACAATGAGAATTACAAAACACTGCTCAAAGAAGTCAGAAATGACACAAAAAACATTCCACGCTCATGGATAGGAAGAATCAATATAATTAAAATGGTCATACTGCCTGAAGCAATTTACAGATTTAATGTTATTCCTATCAAACTACCAATGACATTCTTCACAGAACTGAAAAAAAAAACAACTACTTTAAAATTTATATGGAACTAAAAAAGAGCCTGAATAGCCAACGCAATCTCAGCAAAAGAACAAAACTGGAGGCATCATGTTACCTGACTTCAAACTATACTACAGGGCTACAGTAACCAAAACAGCATGGTACTGGTACAAAAATAGACACATAGACCAATGAAACTGAATAGAGAGCCCAGAAATAATACTGCACATCTACAACCATCTAATCTTCAGCAAAGCTGACAAAAACAAGCAATGGGGAAAGAACTCCCTAGTCAATAAATTGTGTTGGGATAACTGGCTAACCACATGCAGAAGATTGAAACTGGACCCCTGCCTTACACCATATACAAAAATCAACTCAAGATGTGTTGAAGACTTAAATGTAAAACCCAAAACTATAAAAACCCTGGAAGACAGTCTAGGCAATACCATTCTGGACAGAGGAACAGGAAAGATTTTATGATGAAAATGCCAAAAGCAATCACAATAAAAACAAAAATTGACAAATGGGATCTAATTAAACTTAAGAGCTTCTGCACAGCAAAATAATCTATCAACTGAGTAAGCAGACAACCTACAGAATGTGAGAAAATTTTTGTAAACTATGCGTCTGACAAAGTTCTAATATCCAGCATTTATAAGGAACTTAAACAAATTTATAAGAAAATAAAGACAACCCCAATAAAAAGTGGCAAAGGATGTGAACAGACACTTTTCAAAAAAAGATACAATACACATGGTCAACAAAAGTGTGAAAAAAAGCTCAATATCACTATCATTAGAGAAATACAAAACAAAGCCACAGTGAAATACCATTTCATACCAGTCAGAATGGCTACCATTAAAAAGTAAAAAAAAAAAAACAAAAAAACAAAAAAAAAGATGCTGGTGAGGTTGTGGAGAAAAGGAGATGCTTATAAACTGTTGGTGGGAGTGTAAATTAGTTGAACCATTGTGGAAAGCAGTGTGGCAATTCCTCAGAGCTAAAAACAAAACTACAATTTGACCCAGCAATGCCATTATGAGCATATATCCAGAGAAATATAAATCATTCTACCACAAAGACAGTTGCATATGTAGTTCATTGCAGCACTATTCACAATAGCAGAGACACAGAATCAACCTAAATGCCCATCAATGGCAGATTGAATAAAGAAAACATGATGCATATACATCATGGAATACTATACAGCCATATAAAAGAACAAGATGATGTCCTTCGTAGGAACATGGATGAAGCTGGAGGCCTGAGCAAACTAGCACAGGAACAGAAAACCAAACACTACATGTTCTTACTTGTATGTGTTAGCTAAATGATGAGAACACATGGAAACAAAGACGGGAACAACTGACACTGGGGCCTACCAGAGGATAGAGGGTAGAAGGAGGGAGAGGATCAGAAAAAATAACTGTTGAGTACTAGGCTTAGTACCTGTTTGACAAAATAATCTGTACAACAAACACCCGTGACACAAATTTACCTACATAACAAACCTGTACATGTACCCCTGAACCTAAAATAAAAGTTTAAAAAATTAAAAATTAAAAGAAGACACACAACAGCTCTTTCTCTCTCCCCAACTTTCTAATTTCTGTACTGTTTTTTTTCTTGCTTCTTTGTTCTGAATCAGACCTCCAGTTTGACATTGACTGGGAATAGCGTTGGCCAGCTAACTGTGTTATTCAAATCTTTCATTTGTTATTTCAAAAGGAAAGTTTTCAACACTTCATCATTAAGTTTGCTGTTTGTTATAGGGTTGTTGTAGATTTACTTTATCAGGCTAATAAGTTCTATTTCTACTTTGCTAAATGATTTTTGTTTGCCTGTTTGTTTTAATGATGAATGGATATTGAATTTTAATGCTTTTTCTTTATCTATTAAAATGATCACATGAATTTTTTTGTTGTGTTAATTGTGAATTAGATTGATTGAATTTTGAGTGTAAACTAAATTTGCTTTCTTGGAGTAAATCCTATTTGATCTCATGCCTTAGCCTTTGTACATTGCTGATTCCATTTACTAATATTTTGTTTAGTTATTGGCTTCCATGTTCTGAATGAGACCACCTATAATTTTTCTTTATCATCATGTTTTTGTAAAGATGGATGCTAAAATTATTTTGGCCTCATAAAACAAGTTGGTTAGTGCTACTTTATCTTTATCTTTATTCTTTATTCTCTAGAATAATTTGTAAAAGATTAGCATTATTTTCTTTCTTAAACATTTGGCAGAATTCACCATTGAAGCTACGTGGGCCCAGAAATATTTTCTTGGGGAGAAGATTTTCAATTACATATTTAATTTCTTTAATAATTTTACATTCATATGTTCAATATTTTTCTCATGTCGATTTCAAGTTGTGTTTCTCCTAAGAAGTTTTTCATTTTATCAAATTTTCAAACTTATTGATATAAAGCTATTTATACTGTCCTGGTCGTTCGACATAATCTTAGACTTCTTAGAGGCATTGTTTATATTTTCTTATTCTTGTTTCTTTGTCAAAATCTTTTTTGGATTGAGTTAATTGGAAGACCTTGTCTTTGAGCTCTGAATTTCTTTCTTCTACTTGTTCAATTCTATTGCTGAGACTTTCCAGAGCATTTTGCATTTCTATGAATGTGTTCAATGTTTCCTGAAGTTTTTATTGTTTTTACCTTGTGCTATCTATTTCCTTGAATATTTCTCCCTTCATTTCTTGTTTTTTTGGATTTCCTTGCATTGGGGTTCACCTTTCTCTGGTGCCTCCCTGATTATCTTAATAACTAACCTCCTGAATTCTTTTTCAGGTAAATCAGGGATTTCTTCTTGGTTTGGATCCATTGCTGGTGAGCTAGTATGATTTTTTTGGTGGTGTTAAAGAGTCTTGTTTTGTCATATTACCAGAGTTGGCTTTCTGGTTCCTTCTCATTTGGGTAGGCTCTGTCAGAGGGAAAGTCTAGGGCTGAAGGCTATTGTTCAGATTCTTTTGTCCCACAGGGTGTTGCTTGATGTAGTACTCTCCGCCTTTTCCTATGGATATGGCTTCCTGAGAGCTGAGCTGTAGTGATTGTTATTTCTCTTCTGGGTCTAGCCACCTAGCAAGTCTATCAGGCTCTGGGCTGGTACTGGGGGTTGTCTGCACAGAGTCCTGTGATGTGAACCATCTATGGGTCTCTCAGCCATTGATACCAGCACAGTATCTGGGGTGTCTCCCCGGTCTGGCAG
This sequence comes from Homo sapiens, assembly GCF_000001405.40. Lineage (NCBI taxonomy): Eukaryota > Metazoa > Chordata > Mammalia > Primates > Hominidae > Homo > Homo sapiens. The sequence goes on from NC_000011.10 coordinate 112,677,124, forward strand.
GAGCAGTCTGCTTCCTTCAGAGGGTCTGTGGGTCCTCTCAGGATTCCTGATTTATTCCTGCAGTCGTTCTGGAGCTAAAATTCACCATGCGGGCCTCTGCACACTTCTCTGTCTGTCCAAGTCAGAGCTGCAATCTAGTCCTGCCTCCTGTCTGCCATGATATGCAATTCTGGTGGAAGAAATTCTCCTCTGGAGAACTGACGTCACTAGGTGTTCTCCTGAGAGTTGTGCCAGTCTGGGGCCTGGGAAGTCCAAGGGCATGGCTTCTGCTCAGCACTGGTGAGGGCCTCCTTGACAATCACAAGGTTCCACAATAGGCCATCTGCAAGCTGAGGAGCAAGGAAGCCAGTTTGAGTCCCAGAGCTGAAGAACTTGGAGTCTGATGTTCAAGGGCAGGAAGCATCCAGCACAGGAGGAAGATGTAGGCTGGATAGCTAAGTGAGTCTACTATTCAAGCCTTTTGTCTGAATTTTAAATTGGCTTGTTTGTCATTTAATTTTTGAGTTGTGAAAGTTCTTTATAGATTCTATTTACAAATTCTTTGTCATGCATATATATACATGCAAATAGTTTCTCCCATCTGTAGTTTGCCTTTATGTTTTCTTTTTTTTTTTTTTGCTTTCTGAAAATTTATCTATTTATTTATTTATTTTTTATTTTATTTATTTATTTTTATTATACTTTAAGTTTTAGGGTATATTCTTGTCTTTGGGTATAGTCTAGGGTATATTTTTAAAGTAAATTTTAAAAGGGGAAAACAAAAACTAGAGGTTTTAATGGATTTTATTTTATTTTTATAGCCAGTCAAATTCAGCAGTGGCGGGGGGTTGTATACCAACTTTAGTGAAACTAATGTTAATAAGTAATGGATTTTAAAGGTTAAATTTTTTTCTGACTTTCAGACATTGCCTTAAAGATAAGTTCAGTTTATTGTAAGTTGAAAATTAATTTCTGTTACCTATGGGATAAAATATGAAACATTTGAAATATAAATTCCTTGTAAGATTATAGCTTACAACATAAGTTGTTGCGAATGTTCCAAAATTATTTTTGTGATTTGAATTGGGAAATTATGAAGACAAAAAGAGTACATAAAATTTAGAGTAATTTACGAATAGACTCTTACTTTTTCAAAGTCTCCCAGAATGTTACTGTGGACATTCAGTAAAGTGATGTGTATGTGTATTTGTTGGTAGGGACGGTGTTCAGGGGGAAGGTACATACACATGTCTGTATAAGCATATACAAACACATGAACACATATATTTTATTAGCCTAGTCTTTAAGGAGTAATCACACCATTGGTGTCTGTTCGTATAACTAAAGAATGAGAGTAATTTAACTAAATAAATTTATTCATTTAACTAAATAAATGTATTAATTTTCACATATTTCTTTCATTGTGAGACAGTTTCAGTGGTTGATTTTATTATTATTATTATTATTATACTTTAAGTTTTAGGGTACATGTGCACAATGTGCAGGTTAGTTACATATGTATACATGTGCCATGCTGGTGTGCTGCACCCACTAACTCGTCATCTAGCATTAGGTATATCTCCCAGTGCTATCCCTCCCCCCTCCCCCCACCCCACAACAGTCCCCAGAGTGTGATGTTCCCCTTCCTGTGTCCATGTGTTATCACTGTTCAATTCCCACCTATGAGTGAGAATATGCGGTGTTTGGTTTTTTGTTCTTGCGATACTTCACTGAGAATGATGATTTCCAATTTCATCCATGTCCCTACGAAGGACATGAACTCATCATTTTTTATGGCTGCATAGTATTCCATGGTGTATATGTGCCACATTTTCTTAATCCAGTCTATCATTGTTGGACATTTGGGTTGGTTCCAAGTCTTTGCTATTGTGAATAATGCCACAATAAACATACGTGTGCATGTGTCTTTATAGCAGTATGATTTATAATCCTTTGGGTATATACCCAGTAATGGGATGGCTGGGTCAAATGGTATTTCTAGTTCTAGATCCCTGAGGAATCGCCACACTGACTTCCACAATGGTTGAACTAGTTTACAGTCCCACCAACAGTGTAAAAGTGTTCCTATTTCTCCACATCCTCTCCAGCACCTGTTGTTTCCTGACTTTTTAATGATTGCCATTCTAACTGGTGTGAGATGGTATCTCATTGTGGTTTTGATTTGCATTTCTCTGATGGCCAGTGATGGTGAGCATTTTTTCATGTGTTTTTTGGCTGCATAAATGTCTTCTTTTGAGAAGTGTCTGTTCATGTCCTTCACCCACTTTTTGATGGGGTTGTTTGTTTTTTTCTTGTAAATTTGTTTGAGTTCATTGTGATTCTGGATATTAGCCCTTTGTCAGATGAGTAGTTTGCGAAAATTTTCTCCCATTTTGTAGGTTGCCTGTTCACTCTGATGGTAGTTTCTTTTGCTGTGCAGAAGCTCTTTAGTTTAATTAGATCCCATTTGTCAACTTTGGGTTTTTTTGCCATTGCTTTTGGTGTTTTAGACATGAAGTCCTTGCCCATGCGTATGTCCTGAATGGTAATGCCTAGGTTTTCTTCTAGGGTTTTTATGGTTTTAGGTCTAACGTTTAAGTCTTTAATCCATCTTGAATTGATTTTTGTATAAGGTGTAAGGAAGGGATCCAGTTTCAGCTTTCTACATGTGGCTAGCCAGTTTTCCCAGCACCATTTATTAAACAGGGAATCCTTTCCCCATTGCTTGTTTTTCTCAGGTTTGTCAAAGATCAGATAGTTGTAGATACACGGCGTTATTTCTGAGGGCTCTGTTCTCTTCCATTGATCTATATCTCTGTTTTGGTGCCAGTACCATGCTGTTTTGGTTACTGTAGCCTTGTAGTATAGTTTGAAGTCAGGTAGTGTGATGCCTCCAGCTTTGTTCTTTTGGCTTAGGATTGACTTGGCGATGCGGGCTCTTTTTTGGTTCCATATGAACTTTAAAGTAGTTTTTTCCAATTCTGTGAAGAAAGTCATTGGTAGCTTGATGGGGATGGCATTGAATCTATAAATTACCTTGGGCAGTATGGCCATTTTCACGATATTGATTCTTCCTACCCATGAGCATGGAATGTTCTTCCATTTGTTTGTATCCTCTTTTATTTCCTTGAGCAGTGGTTTGTAGTTCTCCTTGAAGAGGTCCTTCACATCCCTTGTAAGTTGGATTCCTAGGTATTTTATTCTCTTTGGAGCAATTGTGAATGGGATTTCACTCATGATTTGGCTCTCTGTTTGTCTGTTATTGGTGTATAAGAATGCTTGTGATTTTTGTACATTGATTTTGTATCCTGAGACTTTGCTGAAGTTGCTTATCAGCTTAAGGAGATTTTGGGCTGAGACAATGGGGTTTTCTAGATATACAATCATGTCATCTGCAAACAGGGACAATTTGACTTCCTCTTTTCCTAATTGAATGCCCTTTATTTCCTTCTCCTGCCTAATTGCCCTGGCCAGAACTTCCAACACTATGTTGAATAGGAGTGGTGAGAGAGGGCATCCCTGTCTTGTGCCAGTTTTCAAAGGGAATGCTTCCAGTTTTTGTCCATTCAGTATGATATTGGCTGTGGGTTTGTCATAAATAGCTCTTATTATTTTGAAATACGTCCCATCAATACCTAATTTATTGAGAGTTTTTAGCATGAAGCATTGTTGAACTTTGTCAAAGGCCTTTTCTGCATCTTTTGAGATAATCATGTGGTTTTTGTCTTTGGTTCTGTTTATATGCTGGATTACATTTATTGATTTGCGTATATTGAACCAGCCTTGCATCCCAGGGATGAAGCCCACTTGATCATGGTGGATAAGCTTTTTGATGTGCTGCTGGACTCGGTTTGCCAGTATTTTATTGAGGATTTTTGCATCAATGTTCATCAAGGATATTGGTCTAAAATTCTCTTTTTTGGTTGTGTCTCTGCCCGGCTTTGGTATCAGGATGATGCTGGTCTCATAAAATGAGTTAGGGAGGATTCCCTCTTTTTCTATTGATTGGAATAGTTTCAGAAGGAATGGTACCAGTTCCTCCTTGTACCTCTGGTAGAATTTGGCTGTGAATCCATCTGGTCCTGTACTCTTTTTTGTTGGTAAGCTATTGATTATTGCCACAATTTCAGATCCTGTTATTGGTCTATTCAGAGATTCAACTTCTTCCTGGTTTAGTTTTGGGAGAGTATATGTGTCGAGGAATTTGTCCATTTCTTCTAGATTTTCTAGTTTATTTGCGTAGAGGTGTTTGTAGTATTCTCTGTTGGTAGTTTTTATTTCTGTGTGATCAGTGGTGATATCCCCTTTATCATTTTTTATTGCATCTATTTGATTCTTCTCTCTTTTTTTCTTTATTAGTCTTGCTAGTGGTCTATCAATTTTGTTGATCCTTTCAAAAAACCAGCTCCTGGATTCATTAATTTTTTGTAGGGTTTTTTGTGTCTCTATTTCCTTCAGTTCTGCTCTGATCTTAGTTATTTCTTGCCTTCTGCAAGCTTTTGAATGTGTTTGCTCTTGCTTTTCTAGTTCCTTTAATTGTGATGTTAGGGTGTCAATTTTGGATCTTTCCTGATTTCTTTTACGGGCATTTAGTGCTATAAATTTCCCTCTACACACTGCTTTGAATGCATCCCAGAGATTCTGGTATGTTGTGTCTTTGTTCTCGTTGGTTTCAAAGAACATCTTTATTTCTGCCTTCATTTCGTTATGTACCCAGTAGTCATTCAGGAGCAGGTTGTCAGTTTCCATGTAGTTGAGTGGTTTTGAGTGAGATTCTTAATCCTGAGTTCTAGTTTGATTGCACTGTGGTCTGAGAGATAGTTTGTTATAATTTCTGTTCTTTTACATTTGCTGAGGAGAGCTTTACTTCCAAGTATGTGGTCAATTTTGGAATAGGTGTGGTGTGGTGCTGAAAAAAATGTATATTCTGTTGATTTGGGGTGGAGAGTTCTGTAGATGTCTATTAGGTCTGCTTGGTGCAGAGCTGAGTTCAATTCCTGGGTATCCTTGTTAACTTTCTGTCTCATTGATCTGTCTAATGTTGACAGTGGGGTGTTAAAATCTCCCATTATTAATGTGTGGGAGTCTAAGTCTCTTTGTAAGTCACTCAGGACTTGCTTTAGGAATCTGGGTGCTCCTGTATTGGGTGCATATATATTTAGGATAGTTAGCTCTTCTTGTTGAATTGATCCCTTTACCATTATGTAATGGCCTTCTTTGTCTCTTTTGATCTTTGTTGGTTTAAAGTCTGTTTTATTAGAGACTAGGATTGCAACCCCTGCCTTTTGTTTTCCATTTGCTTGGTAGATCTTCCTCCACCCTTTTATTTTGAGCCTATGTGTGTCTCTGCACGTGAGATGGGTTCCTGAATACAGCACACTGATGGGTCTTGACTCTATCCAATTTGCCAGTCTGTGTCTTTTAATTGGAGCATTTAGTCCATTTACATTTAAAGTTAATATTGTTATGTGTGAATTTGATCCTGTCATTATGATGTTAGCTGGTTATTTTGCTCATTAGTTGATTCAGTTTCTTCCTAGTCTCGATGGTCTTTACATTTTGGCATGATTTTGCAGTAGCTGGTACCGGTTGTTCCTTTCCATGTTTAGTGCTTCCTTCAGGAGCTCTTTTAGGGCAGACCTGGTGGTGACAAAATCTCTCAGCATTTGCTTGTCTATAAAGGATTTTATTTCTCCTTCACTTATGAAGCTTAATTTGGCTGGATATGAAATTCTAGGTTGAAAATTCTTTTCTTTAAGAATGTTGAATATTGGCCCCCACTCTCTTCTGGCTTGTAGAGTTTCTGCTGAGAGATCCGCTGTTAGTCTGATGGGCTTCCCTTTGAGGGTAACCGACCTTTCTCTCTGGCTGCCCTTAACACTTTTTCCTTCATTTCAACTTTGGTGAATCTGACAATTATGTGTCTTGGAGTTGCTCTTCTTGAGGAGTATCTTTGTGGCATTCTCTGTATTTCCTGAATCTGAATGTTGGCCTGCCTTGCTAGATTGGGGAAGTTCTCCTGGATAATATCCTGCAAAGTGTTTTCCAACTTGGTTCCATTCTCCACGTCACTTTCAGGTACACCAGTCAGACGTAGATTTGGTCTTTTCACATAGTCCCATATTTCTTGGAGGCTTTGCTCGTTTCTTTTAATTCTTTTTTCTCTAAACTTCCCTTCTTCCTTCATTTCATTCATTTCATCTTCCATCGCTGATACCCATTCTTCCAGTTGATTGCATCGGCTCCTGAGGCTTCTGCATTCTTCACGTAGTTCTCAAGCCTTGGTTTTCAGCTCCATCAGCTCCTTTAAGCACTTCTCTGTATTGGTTATTCTAGTTATACATTCTTCTAAATTTTTTTCAAAGTTTTCAACTTCTTTGCCTTTGGTTTGAATGTCCTCCCATAGCTCAGAGTAATTTGATCATCTGAAGCCTTCTTCTCTCAGCTCGTCAGTCATTCTCCGTCCAGCTTTTTTCCGTTGCTGGTGAGGAACTGTGTTCCTTTGGAGGAGGAGGGGTGCTCTGCTTTTTAGAGTTTCCAGTTTTTCTGCTCTGTTTTTTCCCCATCTTTGTGGTTTTATCTACTTTTGGTCTTTGATGATGGTGAGGTACAGATGGGTTTTTGGTGTGGATGTCCTTCCTGTTTGTTAGTTTTCCTTCTGACAGACAGGACCCTCAGCTGCAGGTCTGTTGGAGTACCCGGCCGTGTGAGGTGTCAGTGTGCCCCTGCTGGGGGGTGCCTCCCAGTTAGGCTGCTCAGGGGTCAGGGGTCAGGGACCCACTTGAGGAGGCAGTCTGCCTGTTCTCAGATCTCCAGCTGCATGCTGGGAGAACCACTGCTCTCTTCAAAGCTGTCAGACAGGGACATTTAAGTCTGAAGAGATTACTGCTGTCTTTTTGTTTGTCTGTGCCCTGCCCCCAGAGGTGGAGCCTACAGAGGCAGGCAGGCCTCCTTGAGCTGTGGTGGGCTCCACCCAATTCGAGCTTCCCGGCTGCTTTGTTTACCTAAGCAAGCCTAGGCAATGGCGGGCGCCCCTCCCCTAGCCTCGCTGCCGCCTTGCAGTTTGATCTCAGACTGCTGTGCTAGCAATCAGCGAGACTCCGTGGGCGTAGGACCCTCCGAGCCAGGTGCGGGATATAATCTCCTGGTGTGCCGTTTTTTAAGCCCTTTGGAAAAGTGCAGTACTCGGGTGGGAGTGACCCGATTTTCCAGGTGCCGTCTGTCACCCCTTTCTTTGACTAGGAAAGGGAACTCCCTGACCCCTTGTGCTTCCCGAGTGAGGCAATGCCTCGCCCTGCTTTGGCTCGCACACGGTGCATGCACCCACTGACCTGCGCCCATTGTCTGGCACTCCCTAGTGAGATGAGCCCGGTACCTCAGATGGAAATGCAGAAATCACCCATCTTCTGCATTGCTCACGCTGGGAGCTGTAGACCGGAGCTGTTCCTATTTGGCCATCTTGGCTCCAGCCACCTCCTATGTTTTCTTAATGGTATCTTTGATTAGCAAAAGGAGGAAGGCCGATTTATCAATTTTTTTCTTTTAGGGTCTTTCTCTTTTTTCTTGTCTAAGAAATCTACAACAAAGTTGCAAAAATATTGCCTTATGTTTACTTTTAGAAGCTTTATAGTTTTAGCTTTTATATTTAAGTCTATGACTCCTCTCAAATTAATTTATGTACATTATACAACTTAAATTTTGTGTTATGGATAAATTTTATATATCTTTCTATAAGGATAATCAGTTCCAGTATCATATGTTGAAAAGACTACACTTGTCTGACCTTTGTCAAAGATCAATTAAGTGTAAATGTATAGATCTATTTCTGGACTCTTTTTTTCATTGTATTGATTTCCTTGTGTATTCTAACATCAATACCAGACTATCCTGATTACTGTAGCTTTGTCTTGAAAATAGTTTACTGCATAGATTACTGTAACTTGCACCCCAGAAACAGTTAGGTAAGTCCTCTCCGATTAAGAGATGGAGTCTATCCCTCTATCTCTTGAATACATGTGGGCCTGTAATTGCTTTGACTAATATAATATGGTAGATATGTTTCTATGTGACTTTTTAAACTAGGTCAGAAGAAGCCTTGCAGCTTCTGCCATGGTTTCTTTGAATGCTCACTCTAGAATAAGCCAGGCAACACGTAAGCACTCTGCTTATCCTGACACCACCATGATGTGAGGAAGTGATGCATGACCAGCCACAGGTATTCTAGCCATTCCTGCCCAGATTCCAGACATGTGATCAAAGTAGTCTTCAGATGACTCTAGCCCCACATGACTTTAACTTTGTCAAAGACCCTGAAGAAGAACGACGCAGCTGAGCCCATGTGACCCATAGAGTTATGAAAGATAATGATTGTTTGTAAGCAACTAAGTTTTGCTATAATTTATAATATAGAAATAGATAACTAGAACAGTAGAGTATTAGAAAAAAACAAAATTTTGAGGGTCAAGGGGACATGGACTCAAATTTTGAATGTGACTTTGAGCAACCACTATCAAATTACCAGTCTGAGGGCTAAGGAACTTATATACAATTTATCACATCATTTACTCCAGTTCAAATGTGTTCCCCAAAAAGTATGTGTTAGAAATTTAATTGCCATTGGTGAGACCTGTAAGAGATGCCTAATGGCTATGTGAATTGTGCCCTCATGAATGGATTAATGCTGTTATCACATGAATGGATTTGTTATTAAGGGAAGGGAGGGTTGGCCCCTTTTTACTCCCTCTCTCTCTCGTCCTACTTTCTGCATTCCACCATGAGATGACATTGCAAGAAGGCCCTTGCCAGGTGCTGGCACCTTGATCCTGGACTTCCCAGCCTCCAGAACTGTGAGAAATAAACTTCTGTTTATTATAAATTACCGTCTATGGTATTCTGTTATAGCAGCACAAAGTGGACTAAGACATCGTTGAAAAAATGTTTAAGTACCTACTGAGGACAGGGAGTATGCTTAGGATATACAAATATGAGGATAACACAGCTCCTCCTGTCACAGAATTTACAGATCAGTGGAGAAAATAGACATGTTTCCCTACTAAGGTAGCTGATGAAACTGTTTTTTGTTAGTAGCAATTGCTATGGCAAATTCTAAGAGAAATAGCTTTGCTAATCTGGATTCACACAAAACCAATATGTACAAAACATCAGATAATGAGTATGTCATGGCCCATCTGACTTCCCTTTTGTACTGGTTACTAGGAAGGTCAGAACTGAAGGTGAGATTCAGCCCTAGTTGTTTCTAATGTCTCCACTCTTTTTCTTCAACATGATTTTCCATTTTCTAGTTCTAATGTTAAATTCTAACTGCAAAGGTATTATTGTATTTGGAATAAGTTGGGGTAAAATTGTGAGTAAAATGTGTACTATTCAAATTGAAAGCGTAGTTCCAGATCAATTAGAATTGTCCCATTCTTGTTTTTGTGCTTGGGACAGCACATGCTGAGAATGTGTCTTTACTACAACCACTATTAAAACTACAACAGTTTATGCTACTGCTAGTAACAATCACAGCTGAATGTCTGAGCATAGTACACCAGGGACTGCACTAAGTACTAAAATGAATCATTCAATATCATTTCACAACAATCCTGTTATGTAGGTATCACTATGATCCCACTTTTAGAGATAAGGAAGCTGAGATTTGGAAAGGTGAAGTCATTTACTTCAGGTCAATACTATGACAAGGAGTGTCAGAGGCAGCTCATTACATAGTTCGTGCTTCAGCATTAGGTGTTTGATGCTTGTGGGTCTAGGGAAACAGTGCTTGGATGGACTTTATTGATGGTCCAACCTGGCACAACCCTATTCTTTATTCAAAGGCTTTTCCTGGCAAGACCCAGGAATTCTGGGTTCCTATAGGGGATGACTAACCAAGGTCCTCTCCATCTCCCCCTGTACAGGGAACCCCATTTTTATAAATACTTGTATTCATGGTCCCTGAATCCAAGGCAAATATTCATAAAATAGCCTGTGTTTGCATTCATAGAGACCAGAGGAAACCAGACAATGGACAAAAGAGAGAAGTTAAGTTCTGGCAATTGTTTCAAAATGTTTGAAAAGTTAGCAATGATGTTCAAAGCATACATCCCTGGCATCATTAAAGCCCCCTTCCTTAAAAGCTCAAAGGAATATCTCCCTAATCGAGAAAATACAGACAGTGTAGTGGGAAAGGGTGGAAGACATATTTATTCAGAAGCAGAAAGGGTAGTAACAGGTATTAAGCACCAGCATGTGCCGTTCTTTTTATATGCATCTCTCATTTAATCTCCCCTCATCCAACCATGAGAAGTGAGACCAAAGACCCTGGAGTCCGATGGACTCCGCTGCGCAGCAGTGACCTTGGCAGGTTGTGTATTCTTTCTGGGCCTTGTTTCCTCATTTATAAAATAATAATAGTACTCACCTCATAGTGTTGCTGTGAGGATTAATTAAGATAAGACATGTACAGCATTTTGTAGGGGTATGATAAATGTTAACTACTATAATTATATCAGGTGCTGAGCTTCCATAGGGGGAATGTAGTTTGCCCTTTTACTTGTTTCAGTGGACAGGGCAGGAGGGGCGGGAGGGGAAGCAGTAGGCTTGAGGGTCCGGGGAGACAGTACAGCTGGTAGTGTTTGGGTCCTAGGTGGCTAGCATCTCAAAAATGTTGAGTGTGCTTGTCATATTCCAAATCAAAAGCGATTTTGGTAACATTTAATAGTGGTTTTCTTTTTTAAAAAAGTCTGTGCTTGTCAAATAAATTATGTGTGTGTCAATCCTATAGCAGCTTCCTCTAGAAATTGTGATGATTTTGTCTCTGTGATTAGTTGAAATGTTATTAAGTTGGATATTGTGTACCAATTCCAATTTTAGAACTTCTGCAAATTTGTTAAAAGCCCCTTTTGTTGTTGTTGTTGTTTTTCTCAGCTAAACTAAGGGAACAGGTGTGGGCTGCCTAACTTGTCATCTAGTTCCTAGGGGAAGAGAAGTGGCAAGTTCCAAGGCCACTTCCTTGGAACTGGAAGAGGAAGCAGAGATGGGCCACCCTCCCTACCAGCATGAAGAGATGGAATATGAGTCAGATGTAGTGTGAGTATAGATGTGGGTTCCATCCTGCTTGGCCCTTCCTGGCTTGCTGACTTTAGGCACTTCCCTTCCCTCCTCTGCTAGTTTCTTTTTTTGTAAAACAAGAAGGTTAGAATCCTTGATATAACACGTTTCTCCAAACTCTACAACTTAGGGCTTTGGTGTTCATTTACAGAAGAGCTTGCCCTGTCAGGCAAGCTGTCTGTTCTACCAGGCAGATTTGGAAATGCTTCCCAAAGCAGATAGTGTGCACCTTGAATGGTGGTGGAGAAATGTCTTGGAGAATAAGCAGGGCTTGGCATTATAGTCAGAGAGCACATGCTGAGAGTGAGTGGGAAGAGGGTCTGGGAAGGAATTCAGAAGAAAGAGTAGGTTGGGAAGCAGACGGAAAAAGAGGAGAGTGAAGTAGAGAAGGCACCATAGCAAAATGCTCCAGGTCCTGGGGAGTCATCCTGGGTTGTCCCACAGCAAAAGAAATGTACAGTTACTGATGGACATTGAGAAGGAGAGGTCAAAGGGGCCTTAAATCCAAGGATAGAAGGGAGGCAGTGGGGGACTCAGACAAGACCCCAGGAACATGGGCTCTGTAAGTTCCTACTCAGCCTGACCTCAAGCAAGAGACTTCTCTTCAGGCCTCCATTTCTTTGCCTATACTATGAAGCAGATGACACTCTTCCCAACTCAGGAGCTATTGTGATGAGTAGATGAGATCACGCAGGTGGTGGACAGCATATTATCTGTCTGTTGTGAACTTTTAACAATGGTTGCTATTTTTATGATTTAGCCAGAAGGAGCTCATAAGAATAAAGGGGGATAATGGGGGCCAATCCTGGAGCCTTAAGAAGAGATGTAGGGGGTCCTAGCATGGCAGGCGTCCTAGATTTAGTGGTGGAAATGTTCCCTAAGGGACAGAAGCAAAGACTGCAATAGGTGCTTAAGATTCAGAGATCCTGGAGGTCAGAAGAGAGAACAGCAGCAATGACAAAGACTGAATTTCCTGCCAGCCAGTGTTTGGGGGACAGGAATGGTGGTGAAATTAGATTTATTTTAATTAAAGAGAATAAAGCAGTGTGAATGTCTCACACACTTGAATTTGTGGAGTAAGATTTGCGCCCTTATATCTGCTATTCCAATATGTGGTGTGATTGTGTGTAAAGAGAGAAAAAAATAAATCCAGAAATAATGAACTTCAGGGAGGAGGAATAGAATTTCAATTTGAGTTTCGTTCAAGAAAAGATGAGAAAGATAAATTGTTACACATAACTACATGGCCCACTTACCTCTCACTTTCATACGTGATCCTTGGGGCCTCTGGTTTGGAAAGTCAGAACTTTGAAGGAGCAGAATTGTTTTTCACTAGAGCATGAGGCTGGGCTGTCTTCAAACTGTTCCCCACCTTCAGAATGGAGGTAGTATGTCCCCAGTTTCCAGGCTCACCTGGGCAGTCTCCCCACCCACCTATACTATGTTCACCTCCCTTATCCCCAATGCTACCTTAATTACCCTGAACCTTGGGAGACAAACACACCAACCACATAAGCTCTCCAGGGGAGGGTCTGAGCCTATGAGTTTAAAGGGCAAGATATCACAGTGAAACCCAGAAAGCTGGCCTGGCTGGATCATAGACGACAGCTGGGGGATGAGAAATAAGCTTGAGTTGAAGCTTCCTTTATAGGAAGCTGAAAATGGGGCAATTTCTATAGGGAAGGAGGGAACCGCAGTGTGGAGGGAGAGAGGAGCAGACAAGGACAAAGGAAAGGTTACTTCCCATGGGGAGTGGGGGAGCTAGGTCTGGGGATAAAGAACAGACCTAACATGAGGCTTGAGAAGCCAGATAAACCAAAACATGACCTTAGTAACAGGCACGCTTGCTGGAGCATCCCCTAGGGACCAAGGGAACACGCAGAGCCTTTGTCCTAGGAGGTTACCTCTGCTTGATGGTTTCCAGGCTGCGCTCCTAAGAGTCCTGGGGCTCTCAGTAGGTGTCCCAGGGGCTCTTGTGAAAGTAGGGGAGAAGGCCGGGTGCGGTGGCTCATGCCTATAATCCCAGCACTTTGGGAGGCCAAGGCGGGCGGATCACGAGGTCAAGAGATCGAGACCACCCTGGCTAATACGGTGAGACCCCGTCTCTACTAAAAATACAAAAAATTAGCTGGGTGCGGTAGCAGGTGACTAGTCCCAGCTACTCAGGAGGCTGAGGCAGGATAATGGCGTGAACCCGGGAGGCGGAGTTGCAGTGAGCCGAGATAGTGCCACTGCAGTCTGGCCTGAGCGAAAGAGCGAGACTCCGTCTCAAAAAAAAAAAAAAAAAAAAAAAAAAAAAAAAAAAAGTAGGGGAGAAAGGGGAGGTTAAACTGCTGGGGGTAGCGGGGAAGACGAGAGGGTAGAAGGAGCCCTCGGCCTTCTGATTTGCTTCAACGAAGCTGCTGCAATCTTATGTTTTTAGTATATTGGGATTTTTAATATTTTTGTCCAGGAAAAAAAAGGTCCCCCCCCTTTTTTTTTTTTTTTTTTTTTTAAGAAAAAGGTTTTAAAATTAGTCTGGTGATATGGACATATGATAAAACCCAGGAAAAGTGATTTTTCTTCAATTATTTCAAGTCAGCTGGCAAGCTGACTCTCCAAGGAAAATAGCCATCAGCCGAAGCCGGGAGCACCCCTGGCTGCTGTGTTCAGCTCAGACAACACCACTGAGGAGCCAAGGTGAGGCTATGCAGTTGGAAGGGATCCTGGGGGATCCTGGGGGCTGCTGGCTCCTCTCCAAAGCAGGCCTAGACCTTTCTTGCTGGACAGAAAGGAAGAAATGACACCAGAGAGGTGGACATGACTCCCCATGGCTGAGTCTTTGCTTCAACCCTGGGGAATTCCCAAAGCTCTCACCTGTTTGAGATACTTCATTAAATGCCTGCGTGAATTTCTCTAGCTTCATCCCCCACTTTCTTCCTTGCACTTGACACTCCAGTAGCACCAAACTGCTGATAGTTTCCTCAGCCCCACAATGACATTTAAAGATTAATTATTTCATTAACTTACTTGTTTACTTCCTTATTTGCATCTTGTCTCTACCTGGAATTCCTTTTTCTCCTCTCTGCCAGTTTATCCTAGTTCAGACTTCACCTCTTCCAAGCAGCTCTCCACTTTCCCTTGTGTAATATTAATCATTTGCTCTTGGGGTCCCACTCTTTTGTCTTAAACTAAATCCTATTTTGAATTTATTACCCAACTATAAAGAGAAATCTCTATATCCCTTAAAATGTAGGTAAAATTAATTTATCCTCACATTCCATGATCTATAGAAAGTTAAAGCCTTTCCTAAGATGTTTGCTAATTAAGGAGCTTGGGGAGAGAAGTGAATTGTGAAATTACAATTACTCTAGTTTCAGGCTTCAACATCTCCTTAATTTATGCCATTTATGTATATTCTAATTACCTTGTGCATGCAATTTTTAGTTTAAGGTTGTTGATCAAAGCTTGGAACTTACCCTTCCTTGATTTCTAAAAGATATAAGGTATAGAAAAGACAATTCTAATCTACAATGGCGGAAAGCAGATCAGCGGTTTTGTAGGGCCAGAGGTGGTAGGAATTTTCTGGGTAGAGTTACAAAGAAACTTTTTGGGATTACGGAAATGACCTATATCTTGACCAAGGTAATGATTATACAGCCATATATATTTATCAAAACTTATCAATGAGTATACTTAAAGTGTATGCATTTTGTTGTATGTAAATTATACCTCAATGAAGTTCATTTTTTAAAAAAAGTATCTTCCAGAGAGGCTTCCCTGACTTCTCCAACAGATTTAAGCACTACCTCCTTAGAACTTCCATTGGTCCCTGTGTCGTTATTATAGTATGAATCATACTGCTATGATTGTCTGTTTAGCTGTTTGCTCTCACTCTATCCTATAAGCCTCTGACAGTCAAGAACTATATTGCATTCAACCATTGTATTCACAAGAGCTGGTACAGTGCTCAATCCATAGTAGGCACTCTGTATGAGTGAATGGAAGAAAGACTGAAACACACTCAAGACAATGTCCTGAGAGCTTCTGAAAGTTGAGAGGCTCCAAGCATCAGAATGAAGGAATAAAGGTGGTGCCTACTATCCTAAGAAAGAAGCTGGGCTCAGACTGCTGAAGACCAAGAAGCACAAAGAAGTCTTCAGCAGTCTCAGCCCAGCTTCCTTCTTAGGATACTAGGCATCACCTTCAGTCTTCTCTTGCCTCTCCTCAGATATTCCAATTCAGAGAGCATATGTGTGCATGTGTGAGCCCATGAGTTTGTACATGTGTATGTGTGTGTTCTTTTGCATTATGTATAAATTTGATTGCATGCTTATGTACAAAATATAATTTTGAGAGTGTCCCTAATATGTCCCTACAATTATTCCAAATATCAAGATAGGTTCCAAGTCATTCCTAGTGATTTTGGCTCTGTAGTCTCTGCTAGAATTGCCTTTACCAGTCAAGGAAGGGATACTGGACACAATGAAAGATTGCTGGCTTGGTTCCCATATTTGGCTCTCCCAAGAGACTTCCACAGGCTAGTATGAGGTTGGGGGAAAAAAGGGAATGGGGAAACAGCTAGATAACAGGAGAATATCTAGTATACCTTTATAACCTGAATCCATGCATGCATTTTTGGCTTCAACTTGCTTGTCCAAAGGCAATTCCTTATTATATAGCCTGGGACCAGATTTTGGCCACATTAAGCAATGAAATGAAGATGTAATCGCTTGTGTTTGCTTTTGTTTACACCCAAAGTTGTTAGATGGATGGCACGTGAATAGAGCAATCTTTCTGGGCCTGCTTTCTCACCACCCTTAGATATGACCACTGAGCTCCCTGTGGTTTGTGCTGGTTGCTCTCACATTTCTGCCAGCTTGGGGGACATCTGCCAATCACAGTTCACTGGGCACAACAGAAGTGAGGTGGGGAGAATCTCCCTGTACATGCCAATGCAGTTAGCTTCCTGACAGTGCCTTCACCCATCCATTCAGTTCAACTGTCCATTTATTCTTTCATTTATTTATTCACCTGATGGCCTGAGAGTCTCTGAACTTACAACCTGAGGATCCAAGGCCTTGAGTGACAGAGCTGTATGACAAAGCAGGAAATTTCCATAGTAAAATGTAAGGGTGAAACCTGAAGGATTTAAAAATATGTCTCTGGGACAAGATGGGAAATACTGAATTGGGGAGTAGGTGGGTTCATGGCAGGGGATTGTATCAATTAGGGTCCAGGCAAGAAAAGAGAAAAATCACTCTAGGTGTTTTAAATATAAGAGATTTAATGTAGGAGTTGTTTGCAAATATTTAAAGGGTTAAAGAGCAAAAGAAGGACACCGAGGCAATCTAGACATCACTATCCTCAGGAAGCAGTTACCACTCCTAGGCATGTGTGTAGTAGGAAGAGGTGGGATGATCGTCAGAGATGAGGAACATGGAGGAGAGCCCCCTGCCCCCCACCCCTGTGACTGGTTCTTGGGCATGCGGGGCAGGAGTGGCTCATGGCTGGACCTTGGACCTCTGAGAGGTGGAAGACGGTTGATGCTTAGTCACCAAAGGAGCCTATCCGTAGCCGGCTGGGGCTGGTATCTGAGACACTATACCTAGGGGGACCCAATGAGGCTGGCCACTGAGGCTACAGCTGTCTTCTTCTGCTGGAGAAAAGTTGACCAGAAGTGCAGACAAGAGGAAACACCTTCTCTCCTCCTACCGCCTTCTGCTCACACCCTAGTGCCTCCCATGGGCAGGATATAGCAGGAGGCCAGCTGGCAAGGGAAACTGAGAGTGAATTATTCAGGCCCCAGCATTGCAGAGCAGCACCTGGAAGGGTGAGCTCATAGCTGGGAGGCAGTAGGTAAATAACCAGCACAGGCACCCACAGTTGCAGTGGCACAGGGGTGGGGGTGCGCCTTGCTAGCTCCCAAGGGATGAAGTTGTAAGAATAGCAAGGAAGAGCCAGGGAAGTCACTGCCATTCAGCTGCCAGAGAGGGCAATTTCAAACACCTGGCCAGTCTCACAGAGCTCTTGCTCCTCAGGGCTCAATACAGGCCCAGCCCTTGATCTGGGCTTCAGCTCTGCAAACTCAAACTCCAGTCTGTGAATTCACTCTGGGTGATCAGGGCCACACCAACCATGTTGACTGGGATGAACCTGGGAAATGGTTACTGCTGCACCATACAGGAGGGGGCTTTAGCAACAGGACAAGGTATGTTGCCAACCAGCTTGCAGCCTCAGATCACAGCAGCCACACCCTGGAACAGTCAGATTCTCTGACTCGGCATTTCCTGGGCTCTACCACATCAACAGCTTTACATATTTCTGTTTATCTTCCTCTGATCACATTTCAATCTTGGGGACATTTGGGGGACACTTTTGTCTGTGCACATTTGTAAGCTAACCCCTCATGGAGTGCTACAGAGGACATCTGTTTTTTTGGTTTGGGGTTTCTTTTTATTCTCCTTATCCTTTATCCCCTTCCTCTATTAGCAAACTGACTTGCTCCCTCTCTCTCTCTTCCCTCCCCCATATCCCCCTTTTTTCCAGGTAGTTTTGATGAGTCTCAGTACCTTGGTCTCCTCTGATCACTAGGCTGGGAATAGTATCCATTACTCTGACCACAGGGCTTGAGTCAAGGGTAGGGGCATGAAAGCCAAGCAGCACCAATTGGTATCCTTCCCTGGAATTGTAAACACATAAGGCCTCTCTCTTTCTTCCAGGGTTCCCACACTGGCATGATGAAAGCCTGGAGCTGTCTACGAGCATACAGACCTTGGGGAAAGAGGAGGAAGTCATAGTGTAGCGCAAAGCTGAACCTCAAGAGGGCAGGAATGCTGATGACATCATTTGAGTCTCTGGGTCCACTCCGCCCTGTTCTTCCCAGTTATGTGAATCAACCAAGTCCCTTTATTCCTTCACCTAATGTGAACTGACAAATCTCATTCAATTTATGGCAAGGGAGTGAGATTTAATAATCTGGTTCTTAGATTCTGGAAATGATTCTTATTTAGTGCCAATACTCCTGTATAGGTGAATACATATCTATTTTTGAGAAATCAATACACATTTGTATGCCAAGGCCAAATTTTGAACTTTTCTTTTAACATCAGATATGGATTTTAGCCACACTAAGCAATGAAACTAAGATGTAATCACTTGTATTTACTTTCATTTGTACCCTAAGTCATTAGATGGATGGCATGTGAATAGAGCAATCTTTCTGGGCCTGCTTTTTCATCACCCTTAGATATGACCACTGAACTCCCTGTGGTTTGTGCTTGTTGCTCTCACATTTCTACCAGATTGGGGGACGTCTGCCCATCACAGTTCACTGGGCACAATAGAAGTGAGGTGGGGAAAATCTCCCTGTACATGCCAATGCAGTTAGCTTCCTGACAGTGCCTTCGCCCATCCATTCAATTAAATCATCCATTTATTCATCAGTTGTTTTTTGAGTTCAGACCCAGAGACAGTACTTGGTGTTGGGGACACAAGTGAGACACATGCCTGTCCTAACTAAGCTCATGGCCCAATGCAGAAAGCAGACCAGGCAAGTACACTAGAGTGGAGTGTTGCTGGGATAGAGGAAGTGCTGGGTGCTAAGGAAAACATAGAGGAGGCACCTAGTTCAGCTTTGCCAAGGAAGTGGGACACATGAATGGTGAGTGGGAGCTGGCTAGACAGAGATGGCAGAGTGAGGAGGCCATGGAGCCAGTGGAGGAGGAACAGATCACAGCTAGCAGATAAGAGCTCTTGGTAGAGCAAACATCAGGTGTAAAGACTGGGAGCTGAGACCTTTTTTTTTTTTTTTGAGATGGAGTCTCGCTCTGTCACCCAGGCTGGAGTACTGTCGCCTGATCTTGGCTCACTGCAACCACTGCCTCCCGGGTCCAGGCGATTCTCCTGCCTCAGCCTCCCACGTAACTGGGATTACAGGTGCATGCTACCACACCTGGCCATTTTTTTGTATTTTTAGTAGAGATGGGGTTTCACTGTGTTAGCTAGGATGGTCTTGATCTGACCCCGTGATCCGCCCGCCTCGGCCTCTCAGAGCTGAGAGGAACAAAGAGAATCTCAGTCCAGCTCAAGTTTTCAGCATGAAGGGACAGAGAAAAGGCTATCGTGGCTCATTTTTCCCTGTTGAAATGAGCAGCCATGGCAGCTCTTCCCTGGCACCAAGCTTGGGAAGTCGGCACCTTCTCCAGTCTTCATGTCAGCTGTGGAGATGCAGGGAGTCCTGCTTGCTAGCAGAATAAGAAAATGGATTCCTTCAATTCAATGCTATCCAGTCTGTAGCATTAATCCTCTCTTCCCCTCTCTTCCTGTGGAAAAGCTTACTGGCTCACCTATTTGGAAGGAGTCCTAAGGACAGGGAGGGTAAAGGAATGTTAGCAGGAAAGCTGCAGGAAGTTAGAGAAAGTCTAGGGCCAGTTTCTGGCAGAAAAAAAAAATTTCCCCCTTCCCCCTTGGGCAGTAAAGAAGAAAATTAAATGAGAGTGTCAAAACGGTTTGCTGATGTGCAAACCGCTTACTAGACCTTGGTCAAGGTCTAATATCTTTTTAAGAATGATGGCTTTGGAATTAGACCTTTTGGGGTTCAGATCTCAGCTCTTCCTTTTGATTGGCTGTGGAGCTGTGGGTAATTTGCTTAATCTCTTTGAGCTTTCAGTTCACTATGAAACACGACCATGTGGAGATTAAAGAATCAAATGTACTACCCAATACACAGTAGGTATTCAATAAATGACAGATATTATTACTTTTAGGTGATATAGATATCATATTTTTGTGAGGATTAAATATTTTAATCCGTGTAAAGTGATTGGCCCATGAGAAGCACATGTGTTAACTGTTACTACCACTGTTAGCTATTATCAGAGATAGCTGTGTATGGAGAATTCCTGAAACCTCCAATCCTCTGAAACTAGAGTCAGGAAACAGACTTTGACACATAGACCAAAAACAGAGGTGACAGGTTCATCTTATGTACCAACTGGCCAGTTGGCAATGAGTGCCTAGAATGTGCCTGAGGCACAATTCTAAGAGCTATCTGGCTCAGTAGGGAAGAGTATGCTATGATCTATTAGTGAGATGTCTGTTCTGGGTGGCAGAGAGAGTCATGTCAGCATGTGTGCTATAGATTTGCCTTCTTTAGACTGAAGCTTCATTCTAGACAGTTTGGGAGCCAGTAACAAAGGGCTGGGGCTGGCCTTGTCCACTTGTGCTAGTCTCCACTTGCTCCATGTTTTACTCCTAGCACAAAGTTGAGACATGGCCAGAGCCCAAACCCAGCTGCCTTTTCCTCAAGAAACTTTTGCTGGCATTAATCAAGACCTGTAAATCCACCATGTGGATGACACAGGCTGTGTGCCCAGCCCAGACTCTGCGAGCGACAGAAGAGGAGGGAGTTGCTTAGTGACATGACACAAAGGGCGTCTTTGATTCATCACCCGGCCCCAGCCCCAAGCCCCTGGCCAGCAGCGAGGAACGGCTGCAAATGAGCAATAGGACTCCTTTACAAATGTCACTTTGCTGTAAAATGTAAATGTTTAACATTTAGACACGAACGCTGACTCCCAAAATGCCTAGTGCTGGGTGGCTTTTATTCATTCTCTTAGGGATTCTTTGTCCTCCCATGGTGAGAGATTTCACTGCATGATTTACACCCCTGTGCTTGTTAAATTGCTGGCATGTCTTGCCCCAGATAGGGCAGCAAAAGAGCAGAGATTTGCAGGGGACTTTATACCTTTCCTGTTAATGCAGAGTATTAAATATACAGTGCAATTCCATCGGCAGCCACTGCTCAGAGGTGCTATGAACTCTGAACAGAGGAGATTTCATTTTATTTCCAATTATCCTGGACTTCAAAATATAGGATTGTGTCATTGAAGGTCGAGAAAGACCAAAAACAGCAATAAAATATATTCCCTGGGAGTTCTGTCTTCTAGACCTGCTCATCAGCTAATTCTGTCTTAGTGGTCTGGGACTAAGGGGCAGGTACATTGAGGATATGGGTGATTGTTCTTGGGGCTAAATTCCTTTTCCCCCCAAGACAATTCTAATGAGGGTAAGCCCTGTAGCCACTCTCAGCCTCCTGATGATTGGCCTTTGGATAAAGATGGACCTAGCATAAAAAGTAAGTCAAAGTTCAGACATCTGGCAAGACTCAGAGCCAGGCAAGGAAAGCAATAGGGTCACAGGAATCACTGGGCGTAGGGGCAGGAAGATCTAGATGGCAGTTTCACCCAACTTTCGTTTCCTCTAGAACATATTGTTTGTTGAATTTTTCTCTGCACCCACCCCACACTTGCTGCCTCCCACAGTTTTGATCACAGTAGGCACTTAATGCCTATTTGTTTAATTAATTAAATAAGTAGTGAGTCACTGGCAAACCTAGCGCTGGCTGAAGAGATTATGTCTAAAGTTCCAATGGCTGAATTTTACAACTTCGGACAAGTCTCTTAACCTCTCCGTATGAGATTTTATGTTATTCCTGTCACATTCTTTGGAAGTAACTGAGATAGAAAGAGATTATTATTAATTTACCAATAAGAAACAGAGGCTCAGACAGGCTACAGGTTTTTCTTGATATCATGTTGAGTTAGTAATAAAGTCAAAATGAAAATTCTGCTTTTTTGATTTCTCATTCGATTTTTGTTTTTCTTCAGTTCACCATACTGAATGTTCACACTTTGCACCATGAACCCAGGTGAGGTACCTATGATCATCCAGGCCAGGACCAGGGTGAGGCAAGTGAGGAGCTGAAGGTATTTGCAAAACTGTGAGAGTGGTGTCCCCTTCAATGTTGTGTCCTAGATGACTTGCTCACTTCACCTTTATCCCAGCCCTGGGGATCTCACATGTGGAAGCAGGGATGAAGGGGTAGTGCTCAAGAAAAGAAATCTGCAGGCGAGCTTCGAAGAATTCATTTTCTTCAGGACTAGTACCTGGAAGTCTGGGCTCTCAGAACAGAAAGCTGGAAAGGAATTGCTTTTTCAGAGATGTCAAAATAGCAAAGAAACATGCATGCATTTAAACACCAACCCAGGTTGAGTCTGGGGGCCCTCTTCTCATCCTTCCTCAGCAGGGTGACTGATGACACTTGCCAGTAGCTTTTGATCAAATCTGCCCCCATCAGAAGGTAGGGGGACCAGAGGACTTGGGGAATTCCTGTATGACTGATTGGTATGGTTTACTACCATGCAGGGTCTTTGTATTAGGATGCTTTTGATCACAGTGTGTTAGAAATGTATCTCAAACGATCTTAGGCACAAATGGGAATGTATTGGATGCATACTGAAAAATATAACTATAGATGGAAAGAGACCTCAGAAATCATTGGAATTAAGGAATTAAATGACCTAAGGAGTTTAAAAAAAATCTTTAGCCTCCATTTCTTTTCCCTCATTTGTGAGAAAGGGGTTTCCTTGGCATTGAGGAAAATAAAGTCACTAAAAGTTATCAAGCTTCATGTCCTAGACCCTGCCATCAGTGAAGAAGTAATCTTCTTCCCTTACTTGCAGTTTTCAAAACTCCACAGAAAGACTCTGATTAGCCTAGTTTGGTCAGGTGCTCACTTCTGTGTCTACTATTAGGCTCAAAATCATGTTCATATAGAACCAATACAGCCTCTGGGCCACTTCTGTGTATACAAGCTCTCACCAAGAGTGAGATCCTTGTGAGCTGGGCAACCAACTCAACCTAGCAATTTTCTCAGCCATATTCATGATCAGCAATGGTGCAATAGTGGACATTCTACTTTGGAAATCTGGCCCAATGAGGCTTGCAGAACCAAAGCAGGTGGAGGGAGTTACCTACAGGAAGCCCATGTTTTGTACAGCCCATGTAAATAATATAAAGCTCTGAGTTATTTCTAGGAATAATGTGAAATTCAGCAATTCTCATGGGAATTTCTTGGCTCTAAAACCTAGCACCTGCTTGGGCTATCCCCTAGAGCTTTACCGTCTCCCCAGAAAAGTGACAGTACTAGTTTTGGTGTCAATGAAATTCTTCCTTCCCTGAGCTGAAGTCTTTTTGTTGTTTTCAAGGAAAATCACAACCTGGCCCAACCCAAAAGCTCCACAGGGAACTCCGAGTTGTATTCCTACTCTTCCTTGCTTGGATATATTTTCATTAAAACCAGAAGGTCAAAAAAATTAAGAACATGTTCTCTAAAAATTGGGTTCCTGGAGTTCAATGGGTAGAAAGGCATAAACCCCTCTTTGAGAAACTTTTTCAATGAATCCAAAGAAGGGATATTAGAGGTAGTATAATTTGTTGGAAATAGCACAGATTTAGTTTTTAAAGTTATTTAAATTTTAAAAGCAGAAATATCTCTAAGCAAACTTGGGAAAAAGAGAATTTTACCAGTAATTCCTCCACAATAATATTGTTTTTGTGTTGACTCCTCCAGGCTTTCATATAAATGGTTGTACTTGGCATACATGTGATCCATGTGATAGGGAGCATGAAATGATGTACTATTATGCCAGTAAGCTCCTACTACCAATATGTTATGGTATTACGCAGAATGTATAATGGAAAGCCATCTCTAGGTTGAAACTTAATAAGGAAGTTATACTTCTTATCAAAGGAGTTTAGATATTTCCTCCCTCTAGAAACACTTATCAAGACCAAGGGGAATATAGTTGCATAAACAGTGCTTGGGGCAGAGAGAAAAAGCCATTCTTAGGATTAACAAATAAAACAAGCACCCCACATTTTATAGATGATTTTATAGAGAAACCAAGTGTTCCAGGTAAATCAGCTGGTTCTTAAAGACTCCAGTTCGAAAATGGTTTAAGCAAAGACTAGAACTTGAATAAGAAACAAAGAACCCTACAGAGCCAGACATTGCTGCTGAGCAATATGGGATGTATAAAAAAGGACCTGCATAACATGGAAGAAGGGGCATTTAGACGAGGCCAGACAGACTCTGTTCCATTACTAACATGAAGTTTTTTTTTCAGCTTTTATTTTAGATATAGAGGGTATATGTGCAGGATTATTACATGGGTATATTGCACCCAAGTAGTGAGCATAGTACCTAATAGGTGGTTTTCCAGCTCACTCCCCACTCCCTATCTCCCCTCTCTATCAGTCCACAGTGCCCATTGTTCCTGTGTTTATGTCCACGTGTGCTTGAACGTTTAGCTCCCACTTATAAGTGAGAACATGCAGTATTTGGTTTTCTGTTCCTGCATTAATTCACTTTGGATTTTGGCCTCCAGCTCCATCCATGTAGCTGCAAATGACATTATTTCATTCTTTTTTATGGCTACATAGTACACCATGGTGTATATCTATCACTTTCTTTATCCAATCCACTGTTGATGGGCACCTGCGTTGATTCCATGTCTTTGTTATTGTGAACACCACAGCAATGAACATGTAAGTACATGTGTCCTTTTGGTGTAATGATCTACTGTCCTTTGGGTATATACTCAGGGATTGCTGGGTCAAATAGTAGCTCTGTTTTAAATTCTTTGCAAATTCTCCAAACTGCTATTCACAGTGGCTGAACTAATTTACATTCCTTCCGACAGTGTATAAGCATTCCCTTTTCTCTGAAGTCTCACCAGCATCAGTTATTTTTTGACTTTTTAATAATAATCATTCTGACTAGTGTGAGATGGTATCTCATTGTGGCTTTGATTGGGATTTCTGTGATGATTAGTGATGCTGAGCATTTTTTTCATGTTTGTTGGCTGCTTGTATGTCTTCTTTTGAGAAGTGTCTATTCATGTCCTTTGTTCATTTTTTAATGGGGTTATGTCTTCTGTTTTTTGATTTGTTTAAGTTCCTTATGGATTCTACATATTAGACGTTTGTCAGATGCATAGTTTGCAAATATTTTCTCCCATTCTGTAGATTGCCGGTTTACTCTTTTGATGGTTTCTTTAAAACTAAAGATAGAAGCTCTTTAGTTTAATTAGGTCCCACTTGCCATTTTTTATTGTCGTTGCAACGTTTTTTGGGGACTTAGCCAAAAATTCTTTGTCAATGCTGATGTTGAGAAGGGTGTTTCGTAGGTTTTCTTCTAGGATTTTTATAGTTTGAGGTCTTACATTTAAAGGGAAAAGAACAAACCAACCCCAAGTTAGCAGTATAGAACAAATAACTAAAATTAGGGGAGACCTTAATGAAATTGAGATGCAAAAATCCATATAAAAGATCAATAAAGCCAGAAGTTGGTTCCTAAAAAAAAAACAAGATTGATAGACTATTAGCTAGATTAACAAAGAAAAAAATGAGAGTATCCAAATAAATACAATCAGAAATGACAAAAATGACATTACAACTGATCCTACAGAAATACAAAAGATCCTCAGAGAATACTATGAGCAACTCTATGCACACAAATTAGAAAATCTAGAGAAAATAGATATACATTCTTGAAAACACAATCTCCCAAGATTGAATTAGGAAGAGACTGAAACCCTGAACAGACCAATATTGAGCTCTGAAATTGAATCAGTAATAATAATTTAAAAAAAAAACTACTAACCAAAAAAATCTTCTGGACCAAATGGAGTCACAGCAAAATTCTACCAGATATACAAAGAAGAACAGATACCAATTCTACTAAAACTATTCCAAAAACTGAGGAGGAGAAATTCCTTCCTAACTCATTCTATGAAGCCAGCACCACCCTAATATCAAAATCAACAAAGGAAGAAAACTTCAGGCCAATATCCCTGATGGACACAGATGCAAAAATCCTAAACAAAATACTAGCAAACCAAATCCAGCAGCACATCAAAAAGTTGATCCACCATCAGCAAGTAACTTTATTCCTGGCAATATGGTGTGTCTCTGTGTCCCCACCCAAATCTCATCTCAAATTATAATCCCCATAATCCCCATGTGTAGAAGGAGGGACCTGATAGGAGGTGATTGGATCATGGGGATGGTTTCCCCCATGGTGTTCTCATGATATTGAGTGAGTTCTCAAGAGATCTGATGGTTTTATAAGTGTTTGACAGTTCCTCCTTCACACACACTCGTACTAGAGGGGTGATAAGGTTTGGCTCTGTGTCCCCACCCAAATCTCATCTCGAATTGTAATCCCCACTTGTGGAGGGAAGGGCCTGTAATCCCCATGTGTTGAGGGAGGCAGGTTGGATCATGGGGCAGGTTTCCCTATAGTGAGTGAGTTCTCACAAGAGCTGATGGTTTTATAAGTGGTGGTTTCCCCAGCTCTTTGCCCTCCTGCCATCTTGTGAAGAAGGTGCCTGTTCCCCTTCCACCATGATTGTAAGTTTTCTGAGGCCTCCCTGGCCATGTAGAACTGTGAGTCAATTAAACTTCTTTTCATTATAAATTATCCAGTCTTGGGCAGTTCTTTATAGCAGTGTGAATATGGACTAATACACCTGGGATGCAAGGTTGGTTCAACATATGCAAATCAATAAATGTAATTCACCACATAAACAGAATTAAATGCAAAATGACATGATCATCTCAATAAATTCAGAAAAAGCTTTCAATAACATCCAACATCTATTAATGATAAAAACCATCAACAGACTAGGCATTAGAGGAACATATCTCAAAATAATAAGAGCCACTATGAGAAACTCACAGCCAACATCACAGTGAACAGGCAAAAGCTGGAATCATTCCCTTTGAGAATGGAAACAAGGCAAGAATGGAAACAAGGCAAGAATATGCAGCATAGTACTGGAAGTCCTAACCACAGCAGTCAGGCAAGAGAAAGAAATAAAAAGTACTAAAGTAAGAAAAGAAATCAAACTATCTCTCTTCACTGACAATAGGATTCAATACTTAGAAAACCCTGAAGACTCAACCAAAAAGCAACTAGAACTGATAAACAATTTTAGCATGGTTTCATGATACAAAAATCAATGTATAAAAATCAGTAGCATTTTTATACAGCAATAATGTCCAGATTGAGAGTCAAATCAAGAGTACAATTCCATTTACAATAGCCACCAATTCAAAGAAAATGAAATAATTAGGACTATAGCTAACTAAAGAGGTGAAAGGTTTCTACAAGGAGAACTACAAAACACTGCTGAAGGAAATCAGAGATGACACAAATAAATGGAAAAACATCCCATGCTCAGGGATTGGAAGAAGGAATATTGTTAAAATGGCCATACTGTCCAAAGCAATTTACGGATTCAATGCTATTTCTATCAAACAACCAATGACATTCTTCACAGAATTAGATAAAAATTTTCTAAAATTCATATGGAACCAAAAAAGAGCCTAAATAGCCAAAGAAATCCTAAGAACAGAAGAAGAAAGCCAGAGGCATCACATTACCTGGCCTCAAACTATATTATAAGGCTACAGTAACCAAAACAGCATGGTACTGGTACAAAAACAGAGACATCATCCAATGGAACAGAATACAAAATTCAGAAATCCACACATTTACAACCATCTGATCTTTGACAAGACTGACAAAAACAAGGAATTGGAAAAGGAATCCCTACTCAATAAATGATGCTGGGATAATTGGCTAGCCATATTCAGAAGAATGAAACTAGACCTTTACCTTTCACCATACACATGACAGTTCTGAAGAGGAATTGGAAGCTTACAGCTTTGTAGTATGTATGTATTTATTATAAGTAATTTGGGTTTAGAATTTCAACAATTCCTTTCATAGTCTTAATAAAGTCCTCTGTTAAAGAACTCCTCTGGCATTATCACATTCCTAATTTATGTTTACTCTATTAGGGCATCAAAACCAGATATACAGCAATGTGCACTGTACTCACCCTGACAATACTGGCATTTTAATGTGGTGGGCTACATGTTATGTTCTGCCAGGCTAGGCAAGAGGACACAGGGACTAGCATTTACCTTAGGAAATAACTATCTGAAGTCCATACTCCTGAAAAATCTGTTGTACTAAACCCCACAGATATCTCAGCTACCTATGTTTCTTTGCATCACAAATTTCTACCATCTACTTATTGATTAGACATGAGAGGTGGGCCAAGAAAAGGTGAATTTCAGAATGATGATATGTGTGTCACCAGCTATGGAGAGATGAAGAATAAAGAATTACAACCATCTGGAGCCAGATCTGTCTCCAGTTGGAAAGCTGGAGCATCTGTTGGCACTGGAATGTCCAACACAACTTCTTCACTGGCATGACGAGTGCCTGATCTATGGTGGCTGGAACAGCTGGGCTAGCCAGGATCTCTTTCTCCACATGGCTTGTGCAAGTGGCTAAATTGGGCTTCTGCATAGCATGGTGGTCTCAAGGTACTTGAACTTCTGCAGATAGATGGCTTCCTCCAGAGCAAATGTGCCAAGAGGCATGGATCGAAGTTGCAAAAGTTCTTATGACTTAACCTGAGAAGTCCCAGAATGTCCCTTCTGGCATATTCTTTTTTGCCAGTCAAGAAAGGCCTTAAGGTCAGCACAAATTCAAGGGGAGGTAAATAGTTTCTACCTCTCAGTGGAAGAAGTAGCAAAGAATTTGTGACCATCTTTAATCTACTGCAGTCATATAGTGGATGAACTCAAGAAAATATATAAGTTCTTTGAGTTCTAGGCCAAGAGTGACAATACTCTAACCAGCTTTGTTAGCCTCCTGTTGCACTGGTCCCTGAAGCTACCAACAAGGTATGCATGAGGTTCACTCAAAGTCAGAAGGTTAACTTGACAAGCTCAATGAATCTCAGTATTCACCTCACAACAGAATTATCTGGGAAGTTGTCTTAGTCCATTTGCGTTGCTACAAAGGAATATGTGAGGCTGGGTAATTTATAAAGAATATATGTTTATTTGGTTCACAGTTCTACAGGCTGTACAAGAAGCATGATTTCAACATCTGCTTCTGCTGAGGGCCTCAGACTTCTTCCACTTATGATGAAAGTTTAAGGGGAACTGGTATGTGCAGACATCACATGGCAAGAAAGGAAGCATAAGAGAGAGGAGAAGGCTGTCATGCCCTTTTTAACAACCAGTGCCCACAGGAACTAACAAAGTAAGAACTCACTCAATAACTCAAGTGTGACATCAAGCCGTTCATGACCCACATACCTCTCACTAAGCCCCATCTCCAACATTGGGGATCAAATTTCAACATGAAGTTTGGAGGGTCAACTATCCAAACTATAGCAGAAGGTTTGTTTTGATTTGATTTGTTTTGTTGTGTTTTTCATATAGATGTCTGGGTATCTCCTCTACAGAGCCTGATTAAATTGGTCTGTTGGATTTGGGTAGTGTTATTTTTTAAGTTTCCCAGATGATTCTCAGCCCAGGGTTGAGAATGACTTATGGCTTCTTCTTGGACTCAGGAGACTGCATAGATGGGTGCTATGGAGTGAGGAGCACCTTCTGGGGTTGTGGTGGGGTCAGAAGTAACTGAACAGGATCTAACAGGTTTGGGAAAGCCTCTTATAACACAATTCACAATTTTCTAACCTGTTTAAACACACATAGGCAATATATTTGTGTGTGCATGCATGTGTGTATATATATATCTTTATAAATTTCATTATACATGTAATATTTGTATAATAATATAAAAATATATATTTATATTTATAAATGTAACTTTAATCACTGTATAGTATATTAGCTTGTAAATTACCTAACTATTCCCATCTTCTCAGATATTTGTGATTGTTATTGTTGTTGAAATAAAACTAATATTTTTTAACACTTAGCCCTTTGCTTCTCTTGAATTATTCTCTGAGGACTCATTTGCCAGGGTAGAAATCTGAGTTTTCAGAACTCTTGGTTCTGATGCTAAATTAACCATGTGATCTTGGTCAAATTAGTTCACCTCCTTTGGTTTATATATTGAAGGGATTGAGACATATGGTCCTTTCTAGATCTAAAATGCTTTGACCTCAGGGGTACATCAGCAGGGGTGCCACATTGCGCAATTCCAGGACACCAATATTGAACAGCCAAGCAGACACATGCAGTTTTAGGAATTTTCCTTCCTAAAAGTCTTACCCTGTAATGCCCATCACATGGCTGAGACACCTGGGTTTTACTGCAGATTGATGAAATCTCTGGTACAACAAATACCCACTCAGTTAAGTGACTGATGTTTTCCTTTCAGGCTAGCTGATCTTTTTTGTTTTTTTTTCCCAGAGGATGATATCTGGGGCCTTTCCCTTACCAGTGACCTTCCACACTCCCTTCCCCACCCCTACTCCCTACCCACAGCCCCTTAGATTTACCAGTGTTTTAGGAAAAGCCACAGGGATGACAAGGATCCGGAGCAATGCCTTTTAAACTTGAGAAAATGCCCAGAGAGTTCTTTAAAATACAGATTCATAAGCCTCCATATCAGAGGTTCTGACTCAATAGGTCTGAGATATGGCCTCAGAACTTGTACTGTTTTTGTTTTGTTTTGTTTGTTTGTTTTCAGACAGGGTCTTACTTTGTCACCTAGGCTGGAGTACCAAGCTGTCCATTGAGGCTGATGCTACATTTTTAGTATAAGTAGGCTAAAGCAATCTTAATCAGTAAAAAGTGACCTTTTGAATTCATTGTTTGCTTCTATTTCCTACTCATCTGCTCTCCCACTTGGCCTCCAGGTTTGCTATGTATGCAAAATGTCTCTACTGAGTAGGGAAAGTGGGATGGCAGCCATTTCCCTGCTCCTGAGGTCAACATGGCCTAAGGACTTCAGCAAGCCCAAATATGTACAACAGTATCCGGCCCACTCGCGCCTGGAGGGGGCCATGCTGGTAGACTCAGTCCGGGTGCCCAGCAACAGTGATTCTGGCTAATGGCTCCCCGTTGGAGCAGTTTCCTGAGGTTCCTGCTAATCCTGTTATTTGCAAAGAGCCAAAGCCCCCATAACAGCAGTTTTAAAGCTTGCTTCTGGCTGTATTAAGTTAGACCTTGCAAGGGAGATGAAGGCAGCAGCATCCGACACTGAAGAAATGGCTCCAGAGGAAAAGAGCCAATATCCATGGGTCCTCTGTATTGATCTCTTTCTTTGCCTCTCCTGGAACACCCACTTTGCTCTCTTTTGGCTGCTTTAAGTCTATTCCAAATACCACCAGAGAACATATTAATTCCTTTTTAGTCTGAACTGGGGTTGGGAAACTTCCTTATTCAGAAGAAATCAGGTGTGGTAACTACTATTGATTGCCTTGTATTTATTTTCCACTTCATCCCTTTCCTTCCAAGGAATGTTGATATTATTCCAACCCAAGGAATCCTGAGTTTATTTCTGTTTCTGCTCTCTTCCATTCAGTCACATGCTTCAAGGGTGGTTGTTCTAAGTCAATCATGGTGGTCTTATTTTCCATATTAGTGATTGGTTTAGGTATGAGCATGGAACATAATTCTGGCCAATGAGACCTGAAAGGAAGTCCACCAGGAGGCTTCTAGAGATACAGAGGAAGAGGTATACAGGAAGAGATCTCTTCTTCCTTTGCATGTTGACATGTCTGGTGTGATACCTGGAACTGTGGAACTATCTTGTGACCATGAAAAAAGCTGGTCTGAGAACAAAACTGACGTACTGAAGATGGAAGAGTATCAGAATGGAAGAACTTAGGTCCCTAAACAATTGAATGCCCTACCTCAAGACTTCCTCTTGCATAAGATAATAAATATTTTATTAGTTAAGTAACTCAGACTTGTGATTTTTCTACCACTTGTATCTAAAGGATATATACATATACATGCATATATGTGGAAAACACTTACTAACATATGAGAAAACAAAACAACACCCAAAACTTATACACAGGCAAGAAAGAACTTTACAGGGTTCAGATATCTGATTCAAACTCTAAAGGCAGACTTCATGGCACAATTCACAGGACATCTAATTCTACTTATCATTTCTCAGCCATCCAGACCATTGACCCAGGAAGAGAAAGGCTGGTGCAATGCCAGTGTGTGGCATCTCGGCTCCTCGCAGATCCAGCTTCCTAGTCCTTGCTTGGTGTAAATTTCCACTTGGCAGTGGGTTTTGCTCAGAGGGTGTCCTCTTCAGCCTTCGTGGGCCCTGCCTGACCCCAGCACTCTGAAGGAGGATGGGATATGTATCTCTGGCTCCTAAGGATTCTTCTTTCTGGGCTTCAGGTCAAT
This sequence comes from Homo sapiens, assembly GCF_000001405.40. Taxonomy (NCBI): domain Eukaryota; kingdom Metazoa; phylum Chordata; class Mammalia; order Primates; family Hominidae; genus Homo; species Homo sapiens. Next base: position 112,709,248 of record NC_000011.10, read on the forward strand.
TGCACTGACTTTGAAGAGAGCTTTGTTCTGAGCAGTCTCTAAAAACATCTGAAGACTTGCTGTGACGTATTACTTTCTTTCCTATCCAAATTGACTAAAGCATATATAAGAAAAGCAATGATCTCTTTTTCTTTTTCCTTTCTTTTCTTTTCTTCTCCTTCTTCTTCTCCTTCTTCTTCTTCTTCTTCTTCTTCTTCTTCTTCTTCTTCTTCTTCTTCTTCTTCTTCTTCTTTTTTTTTGAGTCTCCCTCTGCCACCCAGGCTGAAGTGCAGTGGCATGATCTCAGCTCACTGCAACCTCTGCCCCCATTGCCCCGCTACTCCTACCACCCCACCCCGCCAGGTTCAAGCAATTATCCTGCCTCAGCCTCCCGAATAGCTGGGACAATAGGTATGCACCACCACGCCTGGCTAATTTTTGTATTTTTAGGAGAGATGGGGTTTCTCCATGTTGGGCAGGCTGGTCACAAACTCCTGGGCTCAAGCGACTCATCCGCCTCAGCCTCCCAAAATGCTGGGTTTACAGACATGAGCAACCATGCCCGGCCATCTCTTTTTCCTAATGAAAGTCAAACCCAGATATTCAAAGTAGCCCTTGGATGTAGTGTTGAACCTGCATGTGAAAAGCAATCACTGTGCCTCATGTCTCTGACTCAGGTCACCACAGAGTCACCTTTTTCACTGCCCTGGCTGCCACCACCACACTGGGCTGACTGGGTGGTGGCATTCCCCCTTTAATGAAGATAGGACCCCCTCTAATTATTCATAGCCCCTGTGAAATTGGGCTAGAACACTTGAGTAGGCTGTTGTAAAGTCTCCAAGATAACAAAAACGAAACAAAATAACAACACTAGAGTACCAGTTTGTATGGCATAGTTTGTTCACCTTCGGTTGGGTTCCTGCCCTTGCAGTCTATGTGTATCACTGAGAAACAAATATGTACACTAAAAATGATAGTATTGGGAATTACATATAGAGTCATGAAATAAACCAAGGAAATTTGGTGTTTGTTGTTTTCCAATAGTCTACACTCCAGTAGTGGACACAACATGAGTTATTTCCCAGAAGCCTTTCCCACTAAATTCCCCAAAGTATAAATACATACCTGAACTACTGACAGTGAGCAGGAGGAGGCTTTGATTGCAGGTGCCACCTCTAGAATATTCCTGAATCAAGGCTGCATGCAATAGGATTATGTATAAAATATTCTAGGAGAAGACAGAAAGGGGTAGGAATTGCTTAGGGATAAAGACGATATTAACACATATAAGGCAATTAAGTTTAGAAAGGTAGAGATAAATCTTTTTTTTTGGCAGAGAAAAAGACTGTAGTCTTGGAGGATAACAGAAGAACAGTTTATATCAACTAATATTTGAGCTCCTTGAATAAAGGACTTATCCATTTTGTCTGCTTGACAGTGAGTGAATGAATACATGGCAGAAGGCTTATAAAACCTAGAGAGAAATCAGGATATAGGTGAATATAATCATATTTTGTTGCAAAATTCAAATGAGATCCCATGGTGAAATTGGAGGGGTAGTTTCTAGTAGTTAAAAACAGATTTCCAGAGAATAAAAGGAGAGACAGTTCAACTTGTTTTAGGAGACTAGTATAATCTTGGTATCTAAACAGATAAACACTGTATAGAAAAAGAAAATTATAGATCAGTCTTATTGAAAGCATGCATATAAAGCATGCATGGAAGCATTCTAAATAAAATGTTAACTACTTAGATTCAGCAGTTTTAAATAATATAAACTAATCAAATACAGCTTATCCCTGAAATTCAAAGTTGTTGTTAGAAAATCTATCAATAAAATTTGCATTAAAAAAGGAGCAAAATCATAATCATTTTAATAAGCACAAAAATACTAAACGTTCAAAAGAAATCATTATTTTATAAAAACTTAGCAAACTAGAAATAAAATGGGACTTCTGTTTGCAAACTTTTGATGCAATGAAGGGTATCTAATAAAAACTTAAAACAAATGTCCACTATTCAGTGATATGCTGATGGTCTTAATGCAATAAGACAAGAAAATGAAACTAGATATATGGTTTGGAGATGATGAGAGAAAATGTCATCATTTACAGATAATGTGATCTTTTATATAGAAAATCCATAAGACTCTGCTCTTATGACATATCAAGACTGCATGTTTTTGAAAATTAATCTGCTGGAGTATGTTAAACTTCCTTGTGTATATATTTTAAAAGAATAAAATATGCCTTTAACCATGTTCTTAATTTTAAGAGAACTGCACATTTCTTTTACAGGATGAGATGGAGACAGAGAAGGAATGTCATAGTGAATCACTCATCACCAAAGTTGTTTATAATAAACATCTTTACAAATTTAGTTTTCCATAATAAAGATATGCTAGCTTCAAAGTTACAAGTCAACAGTCCTTAGAACAAACAAAACAAATATATGAATAGTGTAGGAAAGCTTTTGGTCTTTTTAGCAAACAGATTTAGGGAGAAGCTCAACTTTATTCTAGCAAGATTTAGATTAAATATAGAATTAACTTAATTTTTAAGACAATCAATTTATAAATAAATATCAATCTCTTATTATCTAAGAGTATGTAATAACTAGCTGAGTATTTGTCTTTTGAAAACATATAAATCAATCTTCTACTTTTCAAACATTCTATTTAAGTTGTCATCTGAAGCCTGTACTTTCTATATTCCACATTATTTCAGGCCATGTCTAAATTAAAGAATATGGAGCTTAACATTCATGTTTCCACACATCAGAGAACCCATTTAAAACTATGAAAAGAGCAAGAAGTTTGCTGGATCAACATACAGAAATCAATACAATGCCCATACATTAGTAATGATCAATTTGAAAAAGGCAATAGGCAAAATTATCTCAACAGCAAAAACAGCTATAAAGTTGCCTGGAAATACAACAAAAGATGGATAAGATCTATGGAGAAAGACTCATAATTGTTATTGAAGGACAAAAAATAAAGCATGAGGAAAAAAAGAGATATACCACTGACAGGGGTTAAGCTGTATCTCTCTAAAAAATATGTCCAAGTCCTAACTCCAGTACCTTGGGATGGGGCTTTATTTGGAAATAGGATCATTGCAGATGTATTTAGTTAATATGACATCACAATGGAGTAGACTGGACCCTTAATCCAATATGACTGATGCCCCTATTAGAAGAGAGAGAGACACAAGGAGGAAGATGGCATGTGAGGTCACAGACACAGAGAGAGGAAGATGGCCATGTGAAGATGGAGGGAGAAATTGAGAGATTAGAGTCATGCTTTCACAAGTTGAAGAATGCCTGGAGCTATCAGAGGCTGAAACAGGCAAAGGAGGATTCTCCCTTAGAGAGAGCACAGCTCTGCCAACACCTTGATTTCAAACGTTTAGCCTCCTGAACTGTGAGACAATACGTTACTGCTCTTTAAGCCTCTCAGTTTGTGACACTTGGTTAGGGCAGCCCTAAGAAACTAATACCACCACTTACAATGAAGGGAATAGTTTGATATCACAAATATTCATTCTTTCATTCAACAAATATTTATTGAGCTCCTGCAACACACCAAACACACAAATAATTCTTCAGTTAATAAAAAAAAGATTAAAATCTTGTTACCAAGCAATCAATGGGCTCACTGCTCCATGCACTTAGAGGTCGATACCATGGCACATGCCTTTGAGAAAAGAAAAGCTTCATTGCAAGTAGACTGGCAAAGAGACAGGAGGAAATGCTCAAATCTGTCTGCCTGAGCTCAGGGCTGGGGTTGGTTTTATAAATGTAGGGTAATGAAGCGTAATCTTATTGGATCCTGCAATTAGGTGATGCTAGGAGGCATGATTTGACTGGATCCTGCCATGGGATGATGCCTGGGCTCAATCTCATTGGATTCTGTGTCCTGCCATGCAATGTCAGCTTCTTAACTCAGTTCCAGCTCCTCAGTCCCAGCAGTTAGGTTCCACTGGTGGTTGCACACTTGGTTCATCTGAGCATGCTCAGGTTATGTGACCTTAAACCCAGGGGTCCATGGCAACTTAAAAACAACTCACAATTTTGCTACAGAAAAGTTGAACCAGATTGATCTGGCACAGTTACAGTCTCAGACCTCAGGAAGCTTCTATGTTAATTTGAAAAACTGATTCTGAAATTTTTATGGAAAAGTAGAGCTCCAAGAATAGAACAAAAAGATATAAAACTGTGTGGCATTGGTACAAAAGAAGGCAAATAAATAAATGGAATTCAACAGAAAACCAAAAACAAACTCATGCATATATGGTAACAATGTGTGATAGATATGTAATAGATTTGTCAGTAAGAAATAAATGAACTATTTAATAAATGGGGTTGAGAAAATTTATTATACCTGATAAAAGATATACACATAGCTTAAAGTGTGCAATTTAAATCCATTGATTCAAGAAAATATCATAAATTATTTTTAGGACATTTGCATGAAGAGGGATTTTCTTAACACACACACATCCAATGTTTTTTAAAAGAACAGAAAAATATGACTATAAAATGGAAAGTTTATGCCAAAAGACATTACAAAGTTAAAAGATATAAGCAGACTAGAAGAAAATATTTATAATACATATAATAGAGGAATGGCATCCAACATACATAAATAAATTTTTATTAATCAATAAAACAATAACCCAACTTAAAGAATAATTGAATGGCTGGAATATACAATTTACAGAAGATAAAATATAAAAATCGAGGTTTAACTCAATAGTGATCAAGGAAATTCGAATTAAAGAAGAAACCATTTCACCTATCAGATTAGGAAAATGTTAGAGTATGATGATATTAAATGCTGGGGTAGGAATTGTGTATTAGTTTTCTATTATTGCCACAAATTTCGTGGCCTAAATTGTTTATCTTATGGTTCTCTGAGGCAGAAGTCCAGTAAGGGTCTCACTGGACTAAAATCCAGGTGCTGCAGGCAGGGCTGCATTCCTTCCTGTAGTCTCTAAGGGAGATATTTTCCTCGTTTTTTCTAGCTTTTGAGGACTCTCCCTGCTCCTTGCATATAGCATCTCCATTTCAGAACTAGCAACAGAGCATCAAATTCTTCTCATGCTGCCATCTCTTTCTGACCACAGCTAGGAAAGGTTTTCTGCTTTTAAGAACTTAAGTGATTTGGCTCACTTGGAAAATCCATGATAGTCTTCTATCTCAATGTTAGCTGATTAGCAACCTTAGTTGCATCTGCAAACATCTTATTTTGGTTACTGCAATATGTATGTGTGTGTGAAAGTGTGCATAGGCACAATGAAACCAAAAGCAAAATATGGGCTGGGTGCAGTGGCTCACAGCTGTAATCCCAGCACTTTGGGAGTCCGAGGTGGGCAGATCACTTGAGGCCAGGAGTTCAAGATCAGCCTGGCCAACATGGAGAAACCCCGTCTCTCCTAAAAATATAAAAATTAGCCGGGCATGGTGGTGCGCACCTGTAATCCTGGGTGACAGAACAAGACTCCATCTCCAAAAAAAAAAAAAAAAAAAAAAAAAAAAAGCAAAATATGAACATATCCATCAACCCCAGAAGCCCAGAGTCTTCCTTGTGTGCTTTTGTAGTGCCTTTCTCCCACCTTCTTACTCCCGCCTTCCTCCTCTCTAGATAACCACTGATTTGCTTGCAGTCACTGTAGACTTATTTGCATTTTCTAGACTTTTATATAAATGGAATCATACAGTATGTGCTCCTTTTTGTCTGGCGTCTTTCAAACAGCATAATGATTTTGTGACTCATGTTGTGTGAATTGATTGTTCATTCCTTTTTATTGCTGAGTATTTTTTCATGGACTACAACAACTTGCGTTCGTACATTAATAGACATTTGGGTTGGTTATTTTGCCATTGGAAATAAAGCTTCTATGATTATTCATATACAAATCTTTGTATGGACAAATGCTTTCATTTTTCTTGGATAAACATCTAGCAGAAAAATGACTGGATCATATGGTAGACACATGGTTAACATTTTAAGGAATTTCCAGTTTTCCAAAGTGGTTGTATAATTGTACATTCCTAGCAGTGATGTAGGAGAATTCCAGTTCCTCCACATCCTCCCAAATACTTGGTATATGTGGCATGACTAGGCTTTTTAATTTCAGTCACTTAAATAGATTTATAATTCATTATAGTTTTAATCTGCATTTCTCCAATGACTAATGATGTTGACTTGAATCTTTGTAAATTTATTGAAACTTGTCTTATGATCCAGAATATAATTTGTCTTTGTATATGTTCCATGTCCACTTAAAAATAATGTGTATTCTACTGTTTTTGGCTGGGTGTTCTATAAATGTCAGTTAGGTGAAGATGCATGCTAGTATTATTTTTCATCCAGTTTGACTATCTCTGCCTTTTTTTGGAGTAAATAGACCTTGTTTAATGTGCTTATTGATGTGGTGAGGTTTAAATTACCATCTTGTTCCTACTTTCTATGTGTCTATGTGTCTCATTTATTTTTTCCATTTTTCTTCTTTCAAAGGCTTCTTTTGATTTAATTATTTTTATTATTCCATCTTATCTCTTTTATTGATGTTTTAGCTATAACTATTTGTTTTGCTTAGTGGTTGATTTAGGTTTTATAGCACACATCTTTAATTTTTCTCAATCTACCTTCGCTTATAGGATACCATTTTACATATAGTATAATAACCTTCCAATAGCATCCTTCCATTACTTTCCTTCTGAATTTTGTCATATATTTTACCTCTGTATATGTTATAATCTCTGCATTATATTATTATTGTTGTTTAACAGTCAGTTACATTTAAAGAGATTTAAATAATAGCAAAAATCTTATATGTTTATCCATGAAATTACTATTTCTGTTGTTCTTTATTTTTCTATGTAGGTACAGATTTTCATCTGGTATCATATTCCTTCTTTCTGAAAGATGGTCTTTAATATTTCTTATAGTGCATATCTGCTGCTGAACTCTTTCAGCTTTTGAATGTCTGAAAATATTTTCGCTTTGCCTCTATGTTGGAAAGATATATTTCCCCTCATTGCCTTAAATGTCTTTTCATTTGCATTTTTCAACAAGAAATCTGATGTCATGCTTATTTTTGTTCCTCTGTACATAGGTGTCTTTTTTCTCTGGCTGCTTTTAAGATTTTTTAAATCAGTAGTTTTGAACAATTTGATTATGGTATTCCTTGGTGTAGTTGCCTGCATATTTTCTGTGCTTGGAGCTCATTGAGCTTCTTGAATCTGTGGTTTCAAATTTTCACCAAGTTTGGAAAAATTTTGGCCATTATTTTTTCAAATACATTTTCTGCTTACACCTCTCTTTTGGTGACTCCAATTGTATGTGCATTAGGCTGCTTAGAGTTGTCCCACAGTTCCCTGATGTCCTTTTCATCTTACTTGAGTCTTTTTTTTCTCTTTGTGTTCCATTTTGGATAGTTTTTATTGCTAGTCTTCAAGTACACTAAACTTCATTTTGCAATGTCTAATTTGTTGTTAGTCCTCCAAGTGTAATTTTTTAAATCCAATGGCTTGTAGTGTTCATCTATACAGGTTTTATTTTGGTCTTTAAAAAATTGGGGTCTTTCATGTTCCCGCTCGACATATTCAAGATTTTTATAGCTTTTTTTCTTATTCTATCATTTTGAACATGTGGAATACAGTTCAAAATACTGTTTTAACATCCTTGTCTCATAATTCTAACAACTATGTTAGTCTTGGCTCAGTTTCAATTGATTGATTTACCTCCTCATTATGGCCTAGACTTTCTGCTTCTTTGCATGCCTGATAATTTTTGATTGAAAGCCAGACATTATGAATTTTACCTTGTTGAGTGCTGGATATTTTTGTATCTCTATAAATATTCTTGATGTTTCTTTCTGGGATTCAGTTAAGCTATTTGAGCATAGATTAATGCTTTCTGGTCTTTTAAGATTCATTAGATGGGACCAAAGCAGCATTTAATTTAAAGACAGTTATTCCCCACTAATGAAGCAAGACTCTTCTGAATATTTAAACCAATGCCCCATGAATTATGAGATATTTAGTCTGGCTGGTGGGAATGGGGTTCTATGCAAATGCTCCTTCAAAACAAGACCCTCGATCCATTTCTAACCAGATTTCCAGCTCCTAGGCAAATTCCTATCCTACCTAACAACTATACTTCTCTGGCATAACACCTTACTCATTTGTATGATTGGACTCTTGGGTCCTCATAGTAAACTTCCCAAGGGAGATAGAAATACTATGTCATGAAACCCTGTTTTGCTTTGTTTTACAGGGTGCGTAGCAGATTAATAAAGAGCCAGCATTTATTAAATATGCTATTTATAGCTCTATGATAAAATATCAATTGTCTTTGTCCAACAGTAGTTTATTTTTAAAATTTGAGGTGGGTCTGGGGAGGCTGATGGAGATGGGGCTGAAGACCCCCAAGCCATCCAGTAGCATTGCCACTGACTACAGGGAAATCAAGTGTTCTGGAGCCACAGAAGACAGGAGAGACAGCCACCAGAGACATATATGAAGATGAGGTTTCAATAGGAAATAGGCAGGAGGGTTAAGAGATACTTGAGGACTAGCAGCTGTCAACATCAGAACAGTTAACTCTTTCATGCTTGGCTCACAAGGAGACAAACTTGAGGTAACACATTCGAGTCAGAGTGGGCAAGAAATGCCCCCCCCCAAGGGAAGAGGAACCACCCAGAGAAAGCAAGGCTATGTTAACACCATCACAGATAATTTGAGCTGTGAGAATCTCAAAGGGCAGGCAGAGAGAGAGATCTCTCTTTCTCTCTAAAGCTAAATATTCTTTTTGTTTTCTAGTCACAGTGCAAAGTTTCATGTTGAAGTTGATGGTGTTTAATTAGACAATTGAGCCTGAGGCTAAAGTTACAACTGAGCACTAACAATGAGCATCTTCTTTATGATATGTAGAAACCGCTAGCTATAATTTTAGGAATGGAGATCATTGAAACTACAATGAATTAATTAATTTCATTTATATTGATTGAGTGACTACAACATGGCCACTCTCCTTTCTGTCTGGCCTTTGCCTAGAACTTCACAATGGCTTTCTTGGAAAAATCACCTTTGTATTAAGACAGAGTTATGGTAGAAATGACAAGATTTCACAGGGCCCACTCTCCCTTCTAAAGTCAGACACCCAACTTGACAAGCCACACTAAGTTGGGGTAAAATAGGGTTACCAGGATTTTTCTGCCTCTTCACCCTCTAATTCTTTGGGAATTAGTGGAATTCCCCTTTAGTACCTCCTAAATACTTCTAGGATTCCACAGGGGACATCTCACATGTCTCACAGGGGTTCCACAAGCAGGGCCTCCAGATCTCAATCTTTCTGTGGAGTCAGCTGCTTCCCTCATAGCTTCATCCAGAGCTGCTGCTGGAAGCCATCCATGTCTGTTCAGGCTGGAAGCCACCACCACAGCTGCTACTGGTCCTGGGTTGCAGCAGCCCCCTTTCCCATACCACAGAAACTTGCTACCAGTACTGGCAACCTGCCTTAAATACCAGGGCAGATATTAGTGAGGCTGTGTCACATGCGTCATCATCATCATCATTTTGACTTTCTCTTTTATAATAGGCTTCATGCCCCAGAGCTCAGGCATGGAATCCTGAGGGCAGATACAGATCTACTTCCAGAATCACTCCACCCTTCTGATTTCAGAAATGTCATCTCCTCTTGACTCTCCTTTCTTTAGGGTGAAATTTTTCCCAAGGGGCTCTTGGTTCCATATAAACTGACCCCTGGTAGTCCTGAGGGTCTTTCAAGATGCCCAAACATGCCCACATCCAAGGCATTATGTTCAATCGTTAAATAATTAAAATCCTTAAACAAGAAGGATACTCACTGGGGAGGTGGGCAGGAGGTTTTTTGAGACTGGGGAAAAGAATGATGGGTCAGAGTTGGCAGGAAATCACTGATGCTGAAGGAAAGGACAGAGCTAGGATGGAAAAAAAGACAACCACTGGGTGAGTAGGGCTGGTTCTAGAGGGCTGGTTCAAATTGTAAAGTACAGAAAATAAGATTTAAGTAGCCTTGTTCCTCAAACTCCTCCCCTTCCTTTTCCTCATTGTGCCCATCCAACTGGGCTTTCTTCGTCACTCTGCTACTTCCTCCTCCAGACCTTCCCCGAATCCAAGCTCCTCTTGCTCCAGGCCTTCTAAGAGCTTGCTACCATGAGAGAAAAGTAGTTGATTAATTCTCTCTATAGTGTTAATGACTAAGGAAGCCCTAAAATATTCCCTTTGGAAGGTGAGGGGGGCAACTTTCAGTCCAGCAGCAGGCCTGAAGGGAACCCATTTTGGCCAGTGGTGCTTCTGGAAATGTTTCTGAGCAGATGCTTGGAAACTCAGCTCTGTCTGCCACTGGCCCTTTTCTCCAGCAGAACCTTTCCTCAGGCTCTCCCAGTGGTCCGCTCCCCAGGAACGCAGTTTCAGGGGATTATGCAAAGCTAATTGCACTCTCCAGGAAAAGTTCATAAATGTTGTTATTTACTCCCTTAAATAACACCCCTTATATGTCCTAAGTGCTTTGGAGATATGCAGAAAAAGCACAGCAGGTTCTAGAAACCCAAGAGATTCTTTGCCACTTAAAAAAAAATATTTTTGTCCTAACAGCTGTTTATTATAATCTCTTGAAAAGCCAAAAATGCAATCAGCTTCCCTGCTGGACTAGCTGCATTACTTGCCACATTGTGTGGAATGCTTTATTCAGTGCCGGGCCTGTTTGGTTTTGTAGGCCTGAGCAAAGAGTTGGGCAGGACTTACGGGGTTGGAGAAAACTGAATGTTACAATCCACCTCTTAATGGCCATGATGCCTTTACCCAAATAGAAGAAGTAGCCTCTCTTTTCCTCCAGGGATCCTCCGTCAGGGTCTGCCTTGGGTGACTGGCTCATAATGGATGCCGTTCGCCATTCTTTTGGAACTATCTAGTGGTGATTTTTTTTTTTAACTTGTTTAGAAGTGTGAGAAGCCAAGAAGGAAATGACTACCTCTAGAAAGCCTTTCCTGAACGCTTCGACGGAGCTACAATGGAGATGATGTGGTCCACCTTTGGGGTAGGCTCGTAAGAACTGCAGTGGATGTAAGTTTTCAAGCACAGAGTAGGTGCTCAAAAATGGTCATGTGCCTTTCCTCTTGCTTCCCCTGGGAAAATCCCCATTCCACTGAATGAAAGTGTGACATCACCAGGACTCTACTGAGCTTGGTAAACAAGCCTCAATTTAATGATTGCCGGGCCAGGTTTCATATTTGCATGGGGCCGGTGGCTCCTTTTGTTTTGGCCAATTTCTCCCATTTGTAACCAGAACATTAACCCAATGCCTGTACCCCCATTGTATTTTGGAAGTAACTGACTTGTATTTTGATTTTACAGGCTCATAGCGGAAGGGACTTGCATTGTCTCAGATGAGACTTTGAACTTGGACTTTTGAGTTAATACTGGAATTAGTTAAGACGTTGGGGGACTGTTAAGAAGGAATGATTGGTTCTGAAATGTGAAAAGGACATGAGATTTGGGAAGGGCCAGGGGCGGAATGATATGGTTTGGCTCTGTGTCCCCACCCAAATCTCATCTTGAATTGTAATCCCTACGTATTGGATTACACGAAATGGTCCAGTGAAGTCAACTTGTCACCAAGTTGGTTGAAGGTGATTGAATCATGGGGGCCTTTATGCTCAGCTTTCACTGGATATTCCCCTACCAGGGAGGCTGGGATCTCAGGATCTGGGTCCCTGAGGACCTTTTGTAAAGTTCTCATGCAAAATAACTCACAGAGTTGAGGTGCAGAGATGATTGAAAAATGATGTCTCCTCTGGGCTGTCATGGGGCAAACATCCAGGAGAACATGTGTAGATGGTCCACGTGGAATTTTCTACCTACTGACTCCTCACTGGCAGATGTTGTTGCCAATAGAATTCATTTGAAATGATTGCCGACATGATGTCATAGAGAAAATATTGTGAGTTCCAGGATGGTGTGGGCAGGGTTGGTAGGTAAGAATGGGATAATGGAAAATGAATAAGTAACAGGGCAGATTTGAAGGGGAAGAAAGAGGAGAGGGCAAGAAGGAGGAGAAAGAAAAGGAAGAGAAGGAGGAGAGCTAATATTGCTTTAGCTCCTCCATACACAAGGCTCTGTGCTAAGCGCTCCAAATACCTATCTCATTTAAACCTCATGGGGCCAGTACTTATAATCAGTATATTACAGATAAGGAAACTGAGCATCAGTAACTTACTCCAAGTCACATAGTCACATAGCTTGGAAGTGGGTTTCATATCTTAGAATTCAAATCCGAGTCTGTCTATTCCCAGAGCCCTTGAACTTATCCATTATAGGTATTTAAGACCAAATAAGAAGGTGGCAGGAACCTTTTTTAAGGTTGGACTCTGAAAGTTAGCTAGGACTTCAGCAGATGAAGGCAGAAGGGACATTTTAGCTGGCAGCAACGTCCGCGTGAAGTCAGAGAGTTGGGGCGCATGGGTGGAAAGAGCTGCTTAGCCAGGAGGCAGAGTGGCTCCTTGTTTATAACACAACCTTTGACGTTTTAAGTTTCTATGGAGTGGAAACAGCACTGAAAAAGATACTCTGAGAATTAAATGAGATGAGGTGCCAGGCAGAGAATCTGGCATTCAATAAATGGTAGTTCATTCACCTGTCCAACAAATATTTTCTAAATGTCTACTGTACATTAGGCAAGGGGAGGGGTCTGTCCAAGCAGAACTGACCTAGTCCTTGCCCTTTTGAAGGCTATATTCTAGAAGGGAAGAGTGACATTTAATCATTTATGACATGGTTTAGCAACAATAGTGGTAAGGCTTCCTCATAAGAGAAGTAGGAAGCACTATAAACCTTTACGACAAGGAAGTTGAGCTAAGAAGGATGAGTAGGAATTACCTAGACAAAGTAAGTGTGTGTGCATTTGTGTGTGTGTGGGCCACATTAGGGGTCATTTTGAGCAATAAAAAGCCCTGAATGTCTTAGCAGGGGAGGGATGTGGTCATTAACTGACATGATCAGATATTGGAGAGAGGATAACTAGGCTCTCAGGGAGCTACTGAAAATGCTTGAGTGACAGAATGATACCGTCAGCACAGCACAGCCATCTTAATAAACTTATTCTTAGAGCCATGTACATGCATAATGGGCAGAGAGACTTAAGGCTGAGGGGTCAGCTGGAAGCTCTTGTCAAGGCATGAGCTGATAAATGTCTGAACTAGACTGCAGGCAGTAGGAACCTACAGGATAAACAAACGCAAGACACATTTTTCAAGGAAGGAATGACAAGGTTTTGAGCTTTCTTGGAAGTGGGAGGTGAAGGAAAGGGAAGAGTAAAAGATGGCTAGGAAGTTTCAGATCTGGATGATAGTAAGAATGAGGATGTCACAGCCAGAAATAGAAAAGTCAGAAGGAAGAGCTGCCGTAAGGAGAAAGATGGGCAACTTCCATTTTCAGCACACTGAGTCAGAGAGGACAGCATTCCCTGGGAAGAGCGGAGGGTCTTGAATACACATCTGAGAAATACACATTCTGCTGATTAAGATTGTAAACAGGAGCTGCTGAGTGAAGGTGGCTAGGGGGTGGCCTTTGGTCAACTTCTGACAATGGTGTGGGTGAGAACAGAGGAGTAGACACTGTCAGGGGAAGAGAGAGAAGAGTGGCTAAGGCACAGGGCATTGAAGGCCACCCCCACTTAGGAGGTCGATGCAGAAAGTCAGCCAGGGAGCATGCAGAGAACAGAGACGGGAGCAGGGGCTGGAAGTCAGGAGAGGCTGGTGGAAGATGGAAGGTGGCCAGGTGCCCTCAGAGCCCAGGCAGGCAAGGCAGAGAGAGGCAGGGGACTGAAGCTGTGTTGGAACCCTGAGCCCCCACATTTCACTGCAGCACTGGAGGTTCCTGTGGAACCTGGCCCTTCTCAGCCACAAGACCCGGAGATGAGTACTGGTAAGAGGTGCCGTTCTGTCTGGCTACCATAATTTCTGAGGCCTGATGCCAGATAAAAATACAGGGCTTCTTATTCAAAAGCAGGTAAAAAGTACTGTTATAAATTCTAAAATATAAAATGTTTGCCTTGCTTTTGTGGTCTCTCAACCTGTCATGGTGTTTTCTCATCTGCTATTTAATGTTGCTTTTTCTGAGGCATGGGGACAGTCCTGACAAGCACAGACCCTCACAGGTGCCCAGACCCCGCCTGGCTGTGACTTGGTGTGTGGGCAAATGATCTGCCCCAGAGCCAGGGGCAGGGAAATTGAGGCAGGCATCTCCCCTACCCAACTCATGGTGGATAGGTGACCCCAAAGGGGCTGCAACCTCTGTGCCAGGACTCACTGAGTGCATGTATTGGAGGTGCCAGCCTGGGGCCGGAATAGTTACCTTCATGCATGACCCCAAGATGCTGCAGAGCCAAATTGCCAAGTGCAACCCTCCCTGAGCCTGCATCTGAAGCCCTGCTCCCAGTGGCAGGGGCTGGTGAATACCAGGAAGGGTAAGGGGAGGGAGGATGGGCAGGGGTTGGAGGGTGGATGGTGAAAAAAACTTCCACCCCCAGGGGAGAAAGGCAGGTGGCAAAGGGTGAGATTTCCTAGGAACTGAAATTCCAAGCCCCAGTGCTCGCTTGGACAAACAGCCCATCAGACTTCACATACAAAACAGACATTCAAGGATAAAATTGTCAAGAATTTCATTTTAAGACAGTGATAGCAGAGCATGAAGCTGCAGGCATGGGATCTGTGTGACTGCACTGGACATCCGCCTTTGAGGCTGGTCTCGAGTGAAAGGCGACCTCAGAGCCCACTGCCTGTACGCACAGTTGCTGAGGATGTGCTAGGGAAGCTTTCTCTTTCTCTCCACCGCATTCTTATCTCTGTCTCTTAGTTATCTCTATGAGCACCCCAGCCCCCAGCACAAAGCAAACACCAAATGAACAGTGCCCCCTGGAGTTGTTCAGGAAGTGCACTTGTTTCTCACCCCCCACCCCTTTCTTTCTCCTTCTAACACTGGGGCTCGAGCAGGCTCAGGGCGCTGAGAGTCTGCAGCACAGTCTTTATTAGGTTTCCTATTTTCTGTCACAACAGACAAGCCTCACAAGACAAAAGAAAATCGATTCTTTATCGACCACAGTCCAGCTGTTGGCTCCAGAGCCAAGGGAGGCAGCCAGGCACGCAGGTCTGACCTGTGTCCTCAGAGCCCACCGGTCCCTATGGGGCAGAGCTCAGCCTGCCTGCAGCCCGGGGTAGCTGCCCAGGGAATGGCAGCTTTCCTCGAGTTAGCACAAGGCCTTCTGTGGGGTAGGCCTGGCATAGTGGGCATACAGCCAGGAAAGGCGTGAAGTGCCTGGTGTTGGTGCTTCTGCCTCCCTGCTCCGCCCCCACCTCCTCTTTCTCATGACTCCCCCTCCCTGGGATTGCCCAGCTGTGGGGTTAGCCAGGCTTGTGGGGCAAGGGTGGGGTTCGTGCCATGGTGCACTCTCTGCCTGGGGCTCTCCTTCCCTGCACATCCATTGGCTCCTAGAAGAAGCCCCAGTCAGGGTCCTCCAGAGTCAGGAAAGTGTTGAGGACCCACATTTCCATAAAGACCAATAATGAAGTGATCTGATTGGCTTCGGTTCTTAAAGTGGTGAATTTACATGCACTGGCAGAAAAGGAACACAAATAGGCCCTGCTTTTCTCTAATCCTGTAGACTATTCCACGTCTCTGTCCCAATGAACATTTCCATTTCCCTTCTTCCCTCCCTCCCTCCCTTCCTTCCTTCTTTCCTTTCTGTCTTCTCTCTCTGTCTTTTTTTTTTTTTTTGAGACAGAGTCTCATTCTGTCACCCAGGCTGGGGCGCAGTGGCACAATTATAGCTCACTGCAGCCTCAAATTCCTGGGCTTAAGCCATCCTCTGGCCTCAGGCTCCCAAGTAGCTGAGACTGCAGGTGTGAACCACTATGCCCGGCTAATTTTTAAAAATTTTTTGTAGAGATGGGGGTCTTGCTTTGTCACCCAGGCTAGTCTTGAACTCTAGGGCTCAAGTGATCCTCTGGCCTCGGCCTCCCAAAGTGCTGGTATTATGGTCATGAACCATCCCCCCAACGAACCAGCGAACATCTCCCTTTCTAAGTACCTATAAAATAAGCATTATATCTCAAGCCAGTCAAAGCTGTAGGGCTGAATTAAGCCTCCAGTTCTACATTTAAGCAGATGGCTGTGGACTTTACCAAGAGGCTAAAGAAACGAATGAACAGGGAGCAACATGGGGGGAGGGATTAGACCTTCAGAAGCTTGTGGGGTACTGGTGTAGGTGGCTACTGAGGGTTGTGACGTTACCTCCAAAAGAGTTGTCCTTACTCCACACCCAGAATGGAGGTCAGCCCTACTTGAGAGTCAGCTTTGAGAGAGACAGTCCTTAAACAACAGAGCAGAATTTGGGGGTGATGAAGTGCAAAGGCTTTAGAAGATGATCCAAACCCAGATGAGCAGATATGTGGTAACTGTACTGGGCTGGCCAGCGCCAAGTGCTTCAGGGAGCTCAGGAGGGCAGGGTCCTCCCTGTCCTCAGGGAGCTTGCAGGGGAGCTGGCAATCAGAAGTGGGAGTGGCTGCACACCTCGGGACTGGTGTGCTGAGGCAAGGCTGTAATGCAGAGGGGAGATGTGGGAAGAAGGGAATGGGGACACAGAGACAGAGTGGTGGCCAAGGGTGGGCGGTAGCATGGACTCTGGGGTTCCAATCCCAGCTCTACTACTTTCTGGCTCTGGCTTCAGGCAGGTCACTTAACCTCTCTGTGCCTCCATTTCCTCATCTGTAAAATCAGCATGACAAAGATCATACCCACATCATAGGTTTGTTGTGAGAATAAAGCCTTTAGAACTATGTTTGCTGCATCATAGGGACCATATTTTTTTTTTTTTTTTTTTTTTTTTTTTGAGACGGAGTCTCGCTCTGTCGCCCAGGCTGGAGTGCAGTGGTGGGATCTCGGCTCACTGCAAGCTCCGCCTCATAGGGACCATATTTTATAAAATGATTTGTTGAATACTGGAACTAGTCTCAGATGCAATCATATTGGAAGGGGCACAGTCTAGGTAGCCAAAAATCATAAAAAGGGAATTCCCAATCTATAACTTCTATCTCCCAAGAAACACTAAAGAAATGATAATTTGTAATTTCCAACAATTTTTATATTCCCAACCATCCTGCTCTGCACTCTCTCCTTCTGCAGCTCCTTCTACTAATGCATGCCCAGCCTCTGCCCACAGCTCAGTCTGTCTCCTTCCTTCGGTGCCTCAGAGACCTCCTTTTTCTGATTATACCTCAGTGATTGATTGGGGCTCTAGCTGCTGAGCTTTGGAATCCATGGCTGCCTTTGCCTGGAACCCATGCTTCCCAGGAGTTCTTCCCACCAATGACTGAGTGCAGCTGGAGGCTGAAGTCGAAAGATAGGGTACCCCTCTGTCCACTGGCTTTGGCTCAGTGACTCTCAATGTCTTTGCCAAACCTTCCTTAGACTTCTGTATCCCCACCTGCCCAGCCTTGTGGTCTGACAGCTCTCCTAGCTTTCCCAGCTCACTTCTTATTTCCTTTCTCACAGGCATTTTCTTAAAATCCATGCACATTTGATTTCTCCTTGGTGTCTGCTCCTCAGAAGACCTGGACTGATCTCCTCTCCCCTTCTTCATTCATTATATAGATCAACTCACCCTCTCTGGATAAGTCCTTCCTCAGCCTCCCTCGCATCAATTCAGCATCAGCAAGGTGCAGAACTAGTCTGGTGCATAGAGATTGGTTCAGAGGTCTTGAATGGGGTGAGCATGTGGGCAGAGAGGGCCCCTCTTACTCAGTTAATGGAGGAAGGGTTTACTCAGAATATCTGCTCATTGATATATTTTATCCCAGAACTAATAACATCCAAAAGCATTTTTAGTTCTTCCTGTGTGCCAGGCATTAGGATCAGAACTTTAGCTGAATTATTTCACTTAATCCTCACCACAGCACTGGGAGGCAGATATTACCATTTGCATTTTACAGATGAAAGTGAGGGAGGCTAATTATTGATCAAGGTCCTATAACTAACATGTAAGTGGTGGAGCCAGCCTTGAACCCTGCCTGTCTGACCCCAGTGCCCACGATCTCTGTGAGCACAATATTGCCCACAGCATAGGCAGTGGTAGGCTCTGGGGCTCTGGGACTAAGAGGAACACAGAGTGGGAGGCAGTCTGGGGACAACCCATCCCACCGTGTGGAATCAACTTCCTCCCCAAAATGGGGAAGAAGTTGCACTCAGGGCATGAGTTTTGCTGCTCACAGGGGCAGCCACAGCTTTGAGGGAAAGGGGTAGAAAGAAGTGGGGAGCTGGTGGGAACGGGGCAGAGGCATCTGCTGGAGAACACTCAATGTCATCCTAAATTAGATCATAAAAAGTAAGTGCTTTTTAAAAGCAATTTTACTGAGCAGGGGATGTGCTGTCAAGTTGCCTGGTGATTCAGAGGCTCTCTGCCTCCCAACCCCTTCTTTGGAGGTGGGGGTAAGGATATGGCTGTGGGGAAGAGTGGCTCAGCTTCTCTGTTGTCTGCTAGAGGTTGAAGTGACCCAGCTATGGCTGAATCCCAACCTGGCTGTCCTTAGCTCTTCCTGTACCCCCTTAGAGTCAGACAGAGCTGGGCTCCAATCCCAGCAGGACTACCCACCCAGAAGAGCTGTGTGACCTGAGAGGAGTTGCTAAACCTCTTTTAGCCTTAGTTCTACCCTCTCTGAACACAGAAATAATGCCAGAACCTTGGCTTTGGCTTCTTGTGAGCATTAAACGAAATAAAATCTGCACAGTCTGGCAAATAATAAGCCCTCAAAATTGGGACCTCTTTTTATTATTTATTTTTGTTTTTATCATTAACACCTGCCTGAGAGATTAAGAGTGGAGGGTTCAAAGTAAAAGGAAAGAAAGTCATGCCTGCTTCCAGAAAGTAACAGAGATTGCTACTGCTCACTAATGTTGAGTTCCTCCTCTTCTTCTTGGACCTCCCTTGCTCTATGATGAATCCTGACCAATGGGATGTATGCAGGAGTAATGTCCACCCGTGAAAACCTCCACCTTGTCTTTATGTCTTGTGATGACCTTATTGGAGATGGCAGCACCAAAGATGGTTAGAGCCTGGGTGCCTGCATGACTGCATGGAGGAGAGCCCTCTCACTCCACCACTGGTACCCCCTAATGGACTGCTAGGTGAGTGCAAGACAGCTTTGTGTCAAGTCACTTAGAATTTGAGGGTGTTTGTCTTAACATTTAGCCCATCTTGACTTTAGCAGTCAGCCAAACCACCACAGGGATTTTGTAACTTTCTGTGGCTTTAGATTGTTTGAAAGTTTCATGAAATGAGAGATGACCGGAGACAGTCTCTAAAGCCCTTCTCAGCTCAGACATTCAAGGTGGCTCACTGCTCACTAATATGTAGTTAAGAAATGCCCTGTACCCTACTGGGAACCTATGAGCCAGCAGTCCTAGAGAAGCCTTCATAGGGTCCTAGGAACACCACCTATAGGGTCTCTCTCATCCTCTGGGTTTCCTACCCTGGGCCAGCCCTGCAGCAACTCTCCAGTTTCCCACCAGGTCAACATTTAGGGGACAGAGTGTGAGAGAGTCACTAAAGCCCAGATCATGTGAGTGAGCCGGAGTGACTGAGTATGTGTGCGCCAGTGTGTAGGGGCTGCACCTAAGTTGCTTTGCAAATATTTATTTGTAGATTTTTTTTCTTAAACAGGTGTTGGATGGTTATAGCTATGGAGAGCCGAAGCTAATCTCCATATTTCTGGGTGTTGGCAGGCACTATGTCAGTCAGAAACCCCTGCAGTGATGGCTGGATTCTCTGTCTCCTGCGCTCTCTCTCCCTGTAGGCCTCTTTCCTTTTACCCTGAGGCATCTTCCCAAGTGCTGACCCAGGGAATGTGCTTGCTATGAGCCATTGGATGCTGTCAGAGATGGAAGGGACCTACTCAGGGGATCATCTTTCTGGAGATGCAGAAAAGGAGAAAGGGAGAAGGGAGAAAGTGAAGTTGGGGAGAGGAGAAGAAAGGAGGGGAAAGGGAGGCAGGGAGGAGAGGAGGGACATTCATGTGGACTGGGTCCCTGCAGGGTGCCTTAGCAGATCCCATTCACTACAGCCAAACAGAAACGGGTTCAACTCCTACTTAAGCCAACTACTGAGTAATGTCAGAAAAATTTCAAAGCTTTAGTTACACATCTTAAAATGGAGATTGCCCAGGAATGGTGGCTCCCACCTGGCTCACTCCTGTAATCCCAGGAGGCTAAGGTGAAAGAATCACTTGACAGAAGTTCAAGACCAGCTTGGGCAACAAAGTGAGACCTCCCCTCTGCCAAAAAATAATAATAATAAATGGGATTATACTAGCTACCTCTTAGTGATGTGAGGATTAAATGAGATAATGTACGTAAAGCCCACGTTGGCCGATAGAGATGCTTAACGAAGGGCAGATACAGTTGTCCCTTGGTATCCATGGGGGATTGGTTCTAGGACCCTTCATGGACACCAAAATCTGCAGGTGATCAAGGCCCTTATATAAAATGGCATAGTACTTGCATATAACCTATGCATATCCTCCTGTATCTCTTAACAATGGGGATATATTTTGAGAACTATGTTGTTAGGTGATTTTGTCATTGTGCAAACATTATAGAGCAAGGATCCCCCACCCCCTGGGCCACAGACCAGTACCAGTGTGTGGCACGTTAGGAACCAGGCCTCACAGCAGGAAGTGAGCAGCAGATGAGCTAGGGAAGCTTCATCTGTATTTACAGCCACTCTTCATCATTTGTATTACTGCCTGAGCTCTGCCTCCTGTCAGATCAACAGTGACGTCAAATTCTCATAGGAGCACGAACCCTATTGTGAACTACACATGCCAGGGATCTAGGTTGCACCCTCCTTATGAGAATCTAATGCCTGATGATCTATCACTGTCTCCCATTACCCCTAGATGGGACTGTTTAGTTGCAGGAAAACAAGCTCAGGGCTCCCACAGATTCTACTTTATGGTGAGTTGTATAATTATTTCATTATATATTAATATTATAATAATAATAGAAATAAAGTGCACAATAAATGTAATGCACTTGAATCATCCTGAAGCCACCCCCCCCACCCCATTAGTGGAAAAATTATTTTCCACAAAACTGGTCCCTGGTGCCAGAAAGGTTGGGGACCACTGTTCTAGAGTGTACTTACACAAACCTAGATGACACATAGCCTACTACACACCTAGGCTGTATGGTATAGCCTATTGCTCCTAGGCTACAAACCTGTACAGCATGTTACTGTACTGAATACTGTAAGCAACTGTAATACAATGGTAAATATTTCTGCATCTAAACATAGAAAATGTACATAAAAATATGGTAATATAATTTTGGCCAGGCACGGTGGCTCATACCCATAATCCCAGCACGTTGGGAGGCCAAGGTGGGCAGAACCCTTGTGCCTAGGAGTTCAAGACCAGCCTGGTCAGCATGGCAAAATGCCGTCTCTGCAAAAAACACAAAAATTAGCCGGGCATGGTGACACACACCTGTAGTCCCAGCTGAGGCGGGAGGATCACCACCTGAACCTTGGAGGTTGAGACTCCAGTGAGCTGTAGTTGCACCACTGCACCCCAGCCTGGGTGACAAAGTGAAACCTTGTCTCAAATCATCATCATCATCATCATCATCATCATCATCCTCTTATGGAACCACTGTTAAGGATGAGGTTCATAATTGACTGAAACATCACTGTACAGCACATGACTGTACTTTAAATCATCTCTGGATTACTTATGATAGCTAATACAATTTAAATAGTATGTAAATAATTGTAATACTCTGTTTTTAAATTTTCCTATTATTCGTTATTTTGGTATTGTTATTTTTTATTAGTTTAAAAATATTTTTGATCTGTGATCGGCTGAATCTGCAGATGTGGAACCTGCAGATACGGAGAGTGACTGTATTAGCATTGACCTGTTTTCCACTCTATCTGAGTTGAAAATGTCTTCCAGACACCGCTCCCAGGCTGCCTTTCACATGCCCCTGGGAAGCCTGGAGAGGCTCTTCGGTGGACAAGGTTGAGATGGAGATGCTGTGTTCACAGCTATCGACAGAAAGGGAAATGAGAGGAGAGTGGTTTCTGTGCCTCCACTGGGCCCAGACTGGAGTCTGAAGTGAGCAGAAAGCCCTGATTCCACTTCAGCTGTCGAGGCAGTGTTGCAAAATGGTTAGAGCCCAGACCCTGGGGCCAGATTGCCTGGGTTGGAATCCTGTGGCTACCACTGACTTTATATGTACTCCTGGGCAAGTTGCTTAATCTCTCTGTGCCTGAATTTCCTCATCGTAAATTAAGAATAATGATAAGTCAGTGTCATTTAACAATCTAATAAGTTAATATACAAAGCATACTTAGTAGCAGGTACATAGTAAGCCCTTTGTGAATGACAGGCATTCTTATCTACAGCCCGGAACAAAGCCAGAGGCAAAGCTGCTGCTCTTGTTGGTGCTGTGTATAGAGAATAAAGGCAGTATTTATACTATACCCATGTCCCCTTCTGTCCCACATTCAATGTACTTGGGACACAGACTAAACAGACTTGAACTACCCTTTCCAGAATCACAGGGGCCTCTTCCCAGGTGCACTTCCAGGTTCATCACTGGTCTGCATGCCCCAAGGCCTGAAGGCTGGCCAAAGAGTGGCTATTGAGGGGATGGGACAAGTGTAGATGAAGCTTGAACTTATGGCCAGAGAATCTGCCCCTCTGTGCATGTGGCCATCAGTGGTATAGGATGGCGCCCAGGTGTAAAGAGAAGGAAGCTGGGCAGGAAGCCTCTGTACCTTTGCATCAGGCTTTGTGAATTTTAGGCAAGAGATTGCATAAAGATATAGGGTCTGGCATCCATCTCTAGTTACCCATCCTCTCTCAGCATGTTTAGCAGATCATAGTCTTGATGCCAAGGCAGGACAATGGCACATGCATGGGCCTCCCTAGTTAACTAGAACGGATGGGCAAGGGCTGGGCTTGCACACCTGCTGGCTTGTGTGAACTCATTGTTATTCTGATGGCGAGGACCCTGAACTGGGCTCAGGAACAGGAGCTTCAGCCATTCAAGGCCAGCCCTTCCAGACTGTAGGGCCGAGCTCAGCTGCCCCAGCTTTGCTAGACAGACAACCTAGGGATGTGCCAACGACCCTAGGCTCTGAGATTCAAGCTGCCAAATCCCCAGCGGCAGCCTATTTGCTTAGATTTTTGGATTGCAAGAAGCAGAAACCCAAACAGCGTTCCTCAAGTAATGCAGGATTTTTGGTAAGGATGCACATAGGAATAAGAAAATGAGAAGGCCAGCCACAAAGCCCAGCTTCCAGGGCACTCTGGAGAAGCTGAACAAACAAGCTCTGGGAGGAATTGGCTCTAGGGTGAACCAGGATTGGGGAGGCTGAGAGCAGAACACATGGCAGTGGCATTAGGGCATTAGTGGCATTAGGGGCACAGTCCTGATGGGTCTGGGCTCCTCTCCTTGTGTTTTCCTCTCTCCATGTCTGCCCACTTCTCTTCTTTGCTCTCTGCTCTGACTTCTCTCTATCTCATGGTTTCTTCTTGCTCAGAACTTTGGCCCACCCATGGCCCCTCATGCTCCCCTCCCCAGCCTCTCTTTACTTCATGACTTTTAGTTCCTCTGTTCACTGCTGATATGCTTTGGCTGTGTCCCAAATCTCATCTTGAATTGTGGCTCTCACCACTCCGATGCATCATGAGAGGGACCTCGTGGGAGATAATTGAAACATGGGGGTTGTTTCCCCATACTCTTCTTGTGGTAGTGAATAAGTCTCATGAGATCTGGTGATTTTATAAGGAAAAATCCTTTTTGCTTGGCTTTCATTCTCTCTTGCCTGCCACCATGTAAGACATGCCTTTTGCCTTCTGCTATGATTGTGAGCCCTCCCCAGCCATGTGGAACTGTGAGTCAATTAAACCTCTTTTTCTTTATAAATTACCCAGTCTCAGTTAAGTCTTTATCAGCAGTGTGAAAATGGACTAATATAACTGCTAACTGCCCTATTCTTCCCATATTCTTCTAAGTCATTAACCCTGGGGGAAAATTATCATGCCAGGCCAACTCCTTGCCCACTTGCCAGACTATAGATTAGATTCTTGGGTCAGATGCCTATCACTCAGCTGTAGTCAGTTGAGGGGAACTTACATGATCTAGAGCATGGCTGCTGTGGGCTGTGGGGAGGACAGGTTTTCTGTGACATGGACAACCACTGTTATAAACAATCTGTCTGGAACAGTGAGGACGGGAGCCTGGGTAAGAGCCCTTCCCAGGGTTCACTCACTTGCTTCCCTGTTCTGCTCTTTCTCCTGCAGACCCTCTCTAGACTCACTGCAAGGGAAAGGAAGCAGGAGGATCAATGTGGAGGCAGCCGAACAGAACTGCAGATCTACACAAGGTCTGAATCTCTAAACCTGCCTCCTTTCTCCTCTTTTTCTTTCCACTTGCCTCTGACTAGAAGGGACTGCGTTTACTTAACTGCTTTTTTTAAACAACAAAATCAACAGTGCTCCAGCAAATATTTGATGAGTAGCTTCTATACTGAAGTCTCACTACTCAGCAACGAAATTTCATCTGAAGCCAGTAGAAAACCAGAGATGTGAAATATTTATCACAAATTATGTTTTACTATTTACCCTCATATACATCATCTTGATTTTATTAACACCATAGTAAAGTCACTAGGAAAGCTATTACCATCATACTAATTTTGTGGATAAAGAAACTGAAGTTCAGAGAAGCCCAGTTGACTGGTTAGGGTCACATAGAGAGCAGGAAGGAGCTCAGTACTACAGCTTGGGTGGCAGCACCTCCCTCATGGAACTGTAGCATGCTTTGTCCTATGGGATAAAAGTCACATTATGGCTAGGACATTTCCCTGTGTTGCTTGTATTGTCCCACATGTTGTTTTTGTTGACATTCTTTTTTTTGATCCCAGATCCCTAAGAGGTATCATCTCTTCTTTGATAGGTACCATGCCTGAGGTGCTTTCACTCAGTGCTAACCACCCAGTCTGGGCCATCTACTCAGGGAGTTATCTTCCTTCTCGTCCACATGCTTCTCGGGCCTGCTCTTCCCTGTCCATGGTCCTGGACTCAGGGTCTGCCACTTTGCCTCTCTGGGGAATGGCCACGGTTTCCTCTCCTTAGAAGGCACTCCTCATCCTGAGGTCTCTGCTTGCAAGGAGCCCCATTTCTAAACTCCAAGGCTACTAAGCTTGCTTGGCCTCCAACTTCCAAGCAGCAGTGGTGCAGGATTCTACTTGAATTTTACACCAGGGACTTAGGTAGGAGCCCCCTCCCTACAGGTGGTCAGCTGAATCATGGGATTTTTTTCATCTTCTGAACTAGAAGGAGAAACTTGTGGGTTCAGAACAAGACAAAAATATGAGCCAAGTTCTACGAGAGAAGATAGGAAAGGTGAAGTCTACAGGAAACTTTAATTGCTTTATAGGAACAGGAAGAGAATGTAAAGGAGGAAGCTGGCGCTCAGCCTTCCTTGGAGTGAGGAAGGTGGGTGGAGAAGTTCTCTCTTAATCAGAGCCTGGTGGGAAGCCAGGAAAACTGTGGCTTTAGCTGATTGCTGCTTTAATGGTGACTGGGACAGGGAGAACTGTGCAGCAAAAGTGTGTGAGCTGTGCATGTGTGTGCATGTGTGTTTACAAGCAAGCAATTGCTGGTGCCTTTGCCTTTCCTGACCAACGGTTGACAGTCCAGGCCTCCAGGTGATAATCAGATTTTCCTTCTACTCCTCAGGCATCTCCATGGCATTTGTGAGGGTAGGTAAGATAGAGGTGATGTCTCTCTTACGTAACTGTTCAAGGTGGATGTTCCCAGTTGGCAGGATGATCTGCTTCATACAGTCATCCAGGGTCACAGGTTCCTTCCATCGTGTTTCTGTGGCATCTTCTAAAGCAGCAGTTCCCAAACTTGGCTACACATTGACTCCAATAGCAGCCAAGTTTAAGAACCACTGTCATGGGGCTTTGCCCTCATCTACATGGTGGAAGTGGAATCACAGGTGCACAGGCCTGGAAATTGCACAAATGGCTTTCATTGACATTCCACTAGTGAAAAATTTGGTCATGGTGTATAAGCCCTTAATTATAATGCTATGTGGTAAGTGCTAAGATCCTTACTTGAGCCCAAAGGAGAGGCATCTAAGTCAGCTCTGGGAAGTCAGAGAAGCCTTCTTTGAGGCCATGGTCCTTGGTAGCTCTGGATGACTCTGGGTTGCTTGGTTTGTTTACCTGTTTAATTTCTAGGCTTGGTTTCTTCATTGACAAAACGGAACTAATAACTGAAACTGCCTCAGAGAGTTGTGAGGGGTATGCAAGGTAAGTCTCACAAAGCACTTAGCACAATGCCTATCTGTGGTTAGCACTGAATACATGTAAGCTGTTCATTACTCTTATTTTCTGGGCTACGTGAGAACTCTGGATGTTGCAAGGCTTTATGGGGCTGAGGCACAGCCAAGTCTAGGACTGGATTTTAGTTTCTTCCTTTTGGTTAGTAAATAGGATGAGGCAGCCTGGTATAGCTGCCTGGCAAAAGCTGCCGCTGCTGCTGGTCATTGTGGTGGTAGTGTTGGTGCTGTGTGTGTGTGCATGTGTGTTTGTGTGTGTGTGTGTGTTGGGCTGCAGGCAGGAATATGGATAGCAGAACTCTGCCTTTTAGGAAGGAAGGGAACACAGTGATGCCTCCTTTGCCCAGAATCTGACAGTACAGATTGTCTGGTTGAGCTTGCCTGAGGCCTCCTTGCCTGCTTGGCTCTGAGGGTAGCATGAACCCTCAAGGCAGGCAGGAGCAGGAGGGCATCTTGAGCTTGGGCTGCCCTGATGTCTGCAGTAGGCGTAGCTGGAGTCGGCTGACATCTGTCAGCTCTGGCTTCATTTTCAATAGGACTCAGTGCTGAACTTCCACTAAATCCTTGTTCTCTCTCTCTCTCTCTCTCTCTCTCTCACACACACACACACACACACACACACACACACACACACACACACTTGATGTCCCAGACAAATGTGCTTCTGTGTTTTCTGTACTATGACTGTGCTGTTCTCTGGAACGTGTCTCTCTCCCTGCAGAGCAGCTGGGTCCAGCAGTTCCCTTCCATTCCCAGCACTTTCTCAGTTTTAGGATTTCTCTCCCTTTCTCTACTCTCTTCATCTATCAAGATCACACATGAAGAGGAAGGCTTGGGTAAATCGGGGCAGAGTCCAGGGATCCATATGCATTCACTGTGCTTTAAGGGTCGAAATAGTAACTTCTAGGACCCTCTAGCACCTGAGACATGGGCACATAGGAGACCCATCCTGCTGAGTAGCTAAAAATGTCTATTGGAGGCTCTACAGGTATCAATTCCAGGAGAAGCAAATAAAGAATGGGGTGTGCCTCAGGTCATATCTAAGCCACTTTACTGTTCCCCAGGTCCAGACAGACCTGGCTTAGTTTTTACTTTATTTTATTTTATTTTATTTTTGTCCAGAAAGATTTTTAGAGGCAGTGAGAGGGTCTAGCTTTCCCAGACTCTGCTATTGCCTCTGACAGATAAGAAGATGGCTTCTCTCCTCTCTCTCCTCTTCCTCCTCCCCAATCAAAGTGCCTCCATAACTGCAATTGTCATCACACTGGTAACAGCTATGGATGCATTAGTGGCTCTTCTCTCAGTCAAAACACCTTATTCCCAGCTCTCTCCCTCTCCCAAACACCTGCCTGTCAACCCATTTCAGATGGTTGTCTTCAAAGACTCACAAACCCAAAGAAAAAATTGGGGGGGGGGTGGGGTGAGGAGAGAGATACTTTATCTATGTCTGTCACAGCACTCTCCAAACTAAAGAAAGAAATATAAATCATGTTTCCTCTCCATTTGTGGTCACAGCAGCCAGCTCTGCAAGGAGGGAAAGCAAAGGAGAGGGGAAGAAAGTGCCAGGCTAGATCAGGCCAGGGGCCACCTGTGCACCAGCTGTGGGCTCCTCATTTATTTATTTATCATCAGAAATCCTGCCCAGATTTCCCTGCCAAGGGATCACATCTCCCTTGCAAAATGACCCTTGTTAGGCATTTTTGTTCTGTGGGGAAGGAGATGTGTATAAAGGGGTAAGCAAGAAAGACACAGTACCTGCCCTTGTAGAGCTCAGAGTCTGATGTGGGAGGCCAGGACCTAACAGTGAAATGTGGCTGTTCCACGGTGTGATGGCATCAGGCGGGGGAGCTACCTACACCAGGGAAAGCATCAGAGGAGTTTCCCCAAAGGAAGTGGCAATCAAGGTGAGGTTCAAGGCTGAAGCCAGGAGGAGGCCGCCAGGCAGAAGTGCACATTTGAAAGACTACAAATGCATCAGAGCATGGTTGGTGGGCAGCTTGGAGGTGGTAGAACAATGCGGGATTGTTGGAGCAACCTAGGCAACAGACAATGGACAAGGGGAATACCAATGGAACTTAAGAGACTGCGGGGAGGGAGCCAGCCCTTGGGCAGCGGAATTAGTAGGACTTGGTGGGTGATTGGATGCAAGGGGCAAGAGAGGGATGCCCAGATTAATGGCTCAGACAACTTTGTAGATGAAAGTGTCATTTTTGAGTCACAGGATACAGTGTAGGGGCAGAATTGCACATGGGGATAGTTGGAGGTCACAGGTGATGCCTTCAGCTTGGGCCACTGAGTTGCCTGTGCCAACCTAGTGCAGTTGGTCAGTGGACGATTAGATGAATGAAACCCAAGACCACCTGGTTGTTTCAGGAGGCAAACCTGGAGTCAGTTCATGTGTATCAGGGAGTTGGTAATGCTTACCTAGATCTCTCCTTGACCCTGCTGTCCCTCACCTCCCATGTCAGGGCCAGGTATCTCTCCTAGTGTCCTACAGATTCTTCCTCCCTTTCTACAGAACCACATCTCAGGTGGCTGGAAGGCTGGAAGTTTGGGTTTAGTGGTCTGTTTCCTTACTAGATTGTAAACTCCATAAAGGTAAAGACTATGTCTGTCTTGTTCGCTGTTGTATCCTCAGCACCTGTTACACGATAAAGTTTTTACTAATGATTTCTTAGTGAACAAATGTGTGAATGAATGAATGAATGATACCTTGTCAATGGGGTGTGCCTCTCAGAGGGTCAGAAATTATGCCAAAGCTACCATGACTCCGGCTCTCACCTGCACTACACCAAGAGTGTCCTGATCAGTGCCTGCGCCTCCACTCTTGCTCATAGTCAACCTGTTTTCCTTACAGGCATCAGAGATCTTGTAAAATATGAATGGGATCATGTGACTCCCCTACTCAAAACCCTCCAAGGCTTTTCACAAGCCTAAGGAAAAAGGCAGAAGGACTTAACAAAGCCTATCAAGATCTGCAGGCCTCAGCCCCTCACCCCTCCATCCTCTGGAAATGTCACTCCTCCTGCTCTCAGGTTGCTCCCACGACACTGATGTCTTTCCCATCTCTGAGCACTTGTGTGCAA
Source organism: Homo sapiens (assembly GCF_000001405.40). Taxonomy (NCBI): domain Eukaryota; kingdom Metazoa; phylum Chordata; class Mammalia; order Primates; family Hominidae; genus Homo; species Homo sapiens. The sequence goes on from NC_000011.10 coordinate 112,738,773, forward strand.
ATGTGTGCAATTATGTGTGAATTTACATACGAGTGTGTGTGTGTGTGTGTGTGTGTGTGTGTGTGTGTGTGTGGGTGCGCACATGTGCCTGGAAATCATCTTCCATCTTTTTGCCAGGTTCAGCTTTCAGTCTTGGCTGGCCCCCCATTCTAAAGTAAACACCAGCACCCGCTCTCTTTCCTCTCTCCTAGTGCTCTTCACTTTTCCTGCACAAGCCATCAGACAGATGAACATAGCATGTGTCTGCTTATTTGTTTAAAGCCTGTCCTCTCCTGAATTGTGAGCTCCACGTCTACCTGATGTCTATTACAGTATCCAGCACACACTCAGTGTTCACAAAGTATTTGAAGAATGAATGAATGAACATGTCAGTTCAGGTGTAGGGAGGGAAAAAGGCCATGTCAGTCCAGTTGTGTTAGGAGACAGAGGCCCTACCAGTTCGGGTATATTAAGGAGACAAAGACTTTTCAGTCATGCAGTCATCCCTTAATGCACTTAAACATTTATCAAGCGGCTACTATGTGCTAGGGGCTGTGCTAGACTATGGTGACTTAACCATAGACAAGACAGACAAGGTTGCTGACTCTTTGAAGTTTGCATTCTAATATCAAGAGAGGGGATACAGACAATACACAAACAGACAAATCAAATTGTTAACTGCTTGGGTTAACACACAGGAAGAAAATAACCAGGATGCTGTGTGGAAGGATATCAGTGCACAAGTGTCAGGGAGTTGGAGGTCTTGCTGGTTGAGATGTTTTGGGGCCTATGCAAAAAGCACAGACACCTTGGGGACAACTGAGTCCCTCTCTTGCTCTTGGCTGACAGGCCTCTCCTGTAGGGCAGACTGTGGGCAGAAGGTGGAGCAGCCATGGGTTGCAGAGCCTGTGGGCTTCTTCTTTCCCTGAATTGACTATGAGGAGCGGAGGATGAGGCTGGGGGTAAATTGTAAGAGAAGGTGGCAAGCTCACACCTCAGTTCCTTTACTGTTTCCTTCATTTTCACTCTGCTCTTGACATTTTAAGAATAAACACTTTTAGTTTCCCATAAAGGCGAAATGCTTTTCAAATCAGAGGCAGGCATTCTGTGAAGCTTGAGGAAAGGACCAGAAGTGACAGATGAATGGGTCTGCTAAGCATCGTGCCCCTGCCCTTGTCCCCACTTTCCTGCACACTTGGCGCTCCCCTGCCCCCACTCCCAGGACAGCTGCCCTGCAGAGGCTTCTGTGCCACCTCCTTCAGTGTAGAGGAGCAGGCAGGAGACATGCCCAGGGCGGCAGGATGGCGTGAGAAGAGAGCCGCACACTGGGCTGCAAGAACAGGCAGCCATCTCGAAGGCCAATGCTGCCTGCTCTGGAGATGGAGGGAGGCCGCACAGCATGGGGGAATCGCTGGGTCAGATCTCAAAGTGCTTACCTTTTCTGGGCCTCAGTTTCCTTCTTGGCAAACAGGGCTGATGACACAAATAGCAAATGTTTGCTGATTCCTTCTAGATGCTGGGGCCACTCTAAGGACTTTGCATGAGTGATCACAGTTTGTCCTCACAGCATCCCTGGGAGATGGGGACCAGGCCTCCCCATATGGCTGGTGAGGGGATCCAGCGTCACACAGTTTGAAGCATGTGCCCCGGGTCCCTTGGTTGGTAGGTGGAGGAGCAGTTTGACCCCAGAGCCTACACTCTTAACAAGGAACACCTCCCTTAGTTGGTGTTTGTGAAGGAGAATGGAAGTGAGATATTGCAAGGAAAAAGTCTGCTCAACAAAGGTCACCACCTTGTATCACCTCTAGTCAAAAGCATTTCCCCCTTTGCCCTCCAGTGCTGCTCACATTTTCTTCATTACAGGCACTTTCCTTGAGTTTGGCCATTGCTGGTTTTAGAACAGGAACCCTCAAGAATTTTGGCTCATGAACTCCTGTAAGAAATTAGAAAAACCCCTTCGTATTTTAAGTTGATGCATAAATTTTGTCATTAGGAGTTTAAATAATTTTATAAGGTGTTTTTCCCAGGTTATTATAAATGTTACCACTTCATAATAAAATTTCTACAGCACTGTTTTAGACGTGTCGGAAGGAAATTCAAAACCATAGCACTTTGATACCTACCATCATCTATATAAAAGCAACAGCAACAAAAAACAAGCTCTTCTTTAACAGTTGGGGATTTTACTATTCTTTTTTCCTCCTTGAATTCCATTTGACTTTCCTACAGAATTTTAGTATACTACTATATATTCCTTTTTTTTTTTTTTTTTTTTTTTGGTGAGACAGAGTCTCACTCTGTTGCCCAAGCTGGAGTGCAGTGGCATGATATCAGCTCAGTGCAATCTCTGCCTCCTGGGTTCAAATGATTCTCTTGCCTCAGCCTCCCTAGTAGCTGGGACTACAGGTGCGTACCACCACCATGCCTGGCTAATTTTTCTACTTTTAGTAGAGATGTGGTTTCACCATGTTGGCCAGGCTGGTCTTGAACTCCTAACATCAAGTGACCCACCCGCCTTGGCCTCCCAAAGTACTGGGATTACAGGTGTGAGCCACTGTGCCCAGCCCCACTACTATATATTCTTATGCTTTAAAGTCTTTCATTGATTATCCTATCATATATTAATATATAAGAAAACTAATTTTAAAAAACAATGTCTGTGACCATAGGCTCTAAATGGTAAAGTAGTTTTCTACTTGAAATACTGTTATACTAATTAGTATTACATAATTGATCAAAACAACATAATATATAAAAATTTTGGTGAATATATTGACTGTAAAGTAAAATATTCTGGAAAATGTCTCTTAATGAGAGACATGAGGCTTCTTTTTATAATTAATTTGTGTGTCCATGGATGAATATTAATTATTGCTACCACATTCATAACAAAAGCTGAGAAGCCATATTGAATCGCTAGTAAATGGGAGTCTTATCATAGAATACTTATTGTTGTTAAGTGCATTATTTACAATAGAATCCACAAGATATTTTCATTAAATTAATCTAAATCTCATAAGCTTATGGTAGGAATGAATACATGAGCAGAGATGTGGCCCAAGGTAGGGAGGAGTTTGCGCCCAAGTGAAAAATGAACATGGATACATCTCACATCTGTGTTCCTAGGACTTGGGGGTGTAATGTTGAACATCTGGAAGTAAGTGTGTGACTTTTCACCTTTTCTTCCTTGAAATCTTGCAAAATACGTAACTGAGACAGGGGGAGACAGGGGGAGCCATGGGTGAATAAGCGTCACCCACCAAGTTCTTGCTCGTTATTGCAAAGGGTGAAAATGAAGAGTGTGTGCTTCATAGGAGACTGATGCTTCCCAGCTAGCTTTTTACACATCTCCAACCTTCCAATTCTAACTTACATGGAACCTTGTCATGAATTCGCTACCTGGATGAAATATGCTTCCTTCAGCATTTCTTCCTGGTGCTCTTGATGCTCTCTGCTTGCACACAGGAGTTGAGAAAGGGAAAGGTGGGGTTTTAAATTAAAGCTCATTATTCCCCTCAACCCATGAACTTAGAATATGCCAACATGCCATTTCTTATCATTAACAGAAATGTGGTGAGACAAGGAAAGTTGGGAACATGTGCAGATTTACAGTGACTTGAAATTAAGGTGGCTTCATGGACACTGACTAGGGCAGGTACTTGGAGTGGTTCTGCAATCTGCATTTCATGCTCCTATTTGGAGAGCATGGAAAGCTAACTATATGTTCGGTGCTCCCTTGCATGTAGCATTGGGGTTACAATTAATCTCTGCTACTTGACACACCTGTGAGAGATTTAGGAAGGGTAAGTGAGACAGAAACGTCCTTCCCGAGCCCTCTACTGGCTTCCCCTGGTCAGGAAGGTTGGAATTTTCCTGCAACACGTTCCAGTGTTTATCCTCCAGCTTTCTGTGTGACAAGGAACAGTCACAACATTGGCAACTTTTTGATGTCACTCTCTAATTCCTGGACCATGGTTTTAGGTCTAATCTCCAGTTTCCTGGTGTGCAGGGGCTGGTCAGCAGTGATGAGCATGGCTCCAAGGGTGGATCAGAGGAGCACCCTGTGGATGATGAGACCTCTACTGCTCTAGAAATCATTCCCAGGGCCGCAGCTAGAACCTGCACTTGCAGCCTTTCTAGTAATTTTGTGAGTACCTAGTTCCTTGCAAAAAATCATTTTGTGCTTAAAATACCTTGAAAGGTTTCTCTTCCCTGCACTAAATCCTGCCTGGTATATTGATATTTTGCATCATCTCTTTTCTTGATGTTCACAAGGTTTTTTTATCTTTGTGCAAATTATGTGTGATAGAAAGATTTGGAACAGGTGAGGGGAATGCTTTTCTTTTTTAAAATGGGAGTAAGATGATTATGAAAGGGGTAGTGGGAAGTTAGGAACAGCTCAATGGAAACCTGCTGCATGGCAGGTCAGTTCTAGGAAAAAGTGTGTCAGATGTGGAAATTGATTCCCTTCAATGGGCAGCCATGCCCTCTATCTCTTTGGAAAGTCTTCATGTATCTCTAGATGTACCCTAGCTTGGAGACTTGATGTTCTTTTAAAAAAATTGCAGAAACTCTTACAGGAAAACCAAGACACTCAGCTGTCAGTCAATAACCCTTCAGTGTGTATTGGTGGATTACTGCAGTTTCAGAGGAACAAATGGCTTTGATTTTGATTTGGGGGGTTGGAGGGGAGCAAGGAATAAGGGTAGAGTTTGATGTATGCAGAGGGAGGCTAGGTAAGCCCTAGAGCAACTAGTGGGAGGAAGGGAGCTTTTATTAGAACTATATTTGACTAATCAGTGTACCACAATATTTAATGTCCATCTGGTGCCTGGGACATACTAGTGCTCAGTCGGTATTTGTTCATTGAATGCATGAATGTTTCCAAAGATTGGAGGAGGCATTAAATAATGAGAGGCCAACACTGCCCATTTCAAAACCACCTTTAGAAGACACTTAGTGAGTGACAGCCCACAGTAGTGGAAATAAAGGCTTTGGGGCCCTAAGGTCTAGCCCCAGCCTAGCTTACAAGCAGTGCAGCACTGAGGAGTTACTTAACCTCACAAAAGTTCTTTCCTTTCAATACAGAAAAAAGAGAATGCTAAGGTATTTGAATTATGGAATTGATGTGAAGAGTAAATGAAACAATGTAGGTGGAAGAAATACTTAGTACATTTGGAGGCACAATATATATACAGTGATATAATTTTGTTCAAAAATGTGAATCTTAGTGTGTGCATTTTATTTTTAAAATGTATATGTTATTCAAAGATAGTAGAATATGTTGATGTGTAACTGTTCAAATAGATTTTATTTTTATAGGAAGAGCAACATTGAGGTAGAACAAGCACAGGTGGGCTAAAGCAAGAGCAAGGAGGATTGAGGTTAGACAGCAAACAAATTCTTGGCAGGGATATTATAAAGCCTGGGGCAGGTGGCAGAGAGGCCTGCTGGCTTTACTCCTAGGGGCCAGGGGTCCTGTCATGGTGCCAGGAATTGAACTGCTCAGCGGACTCCTTAGTGTTCATCTACCCTCAGGCTTCTTGCATGAGAGGTTTGGCTATTTCTCTGCTAGGGGCTGGAGCCAGTTTCCTGGTTCTGAATTTTCTCTTCCATTGTGTCTGTCATTCTAACACGTTGCACCCACTTGCTCCATGACAATCAGTATAAACTATTTAATGTTTGATGCAGGGCGGACACCCAAGCTCTTGGCTCTCTGGAGCCACTTATAAATGCTTGATGGTTTTCCAAATTTATGTCATTTTTGGGTTGCTTTCTCTGTTTCGTCCAGATAAGCCACCTAGGCTCTGTCTGGCCAGTGTTTGGACAGTGGAGGCAGGGTGGCTGCTCCTAAATTCTGCACATCCCTTGGCCCACCCAGTGAAAGAGAGACAGACGGACAGATGGAGAGGCAGGCATACGGGTACATAGGTGTCTGTCATTTCTACTTATCTGCATCCTTAAAGAGCAACTGAGAGCAATGTTAAAATTAGATTCTACTAAAGGCAGTTGGAGTTGAGGAAATTAGTTGAATGCTTCCTCGGTAATTGTCGGTGAGGATGTGAAGGGTGTGCTGTACCTGAGAAAAGCTGATAATAAACAACATGGCAAGCCAGAAATAAACACCCAGCCCTGTGTTTTCTTCTTTCTCTCAGAGGCTCCTTTGCAAGCCTGTGTTTGTCTTTTTTCCTGCTTCATTTCATTTTTTCCTGAGGACAGTAGCAAAGATGACCACTGATATCCACTAACCCATGACAGAAGGGAGTCCTTGGCTAGGAACAGATTCTATTATATTTACTGAGTGTCCAAGTCTCTGAGCTCAGCTTGAGGAGCCAGATGTGGGTCCTGACCCTTTAGGTACAAAGTAGGCATGGTAGATATGCACATAAATAACTGTAATTCAAGATAGAAAGTGATCCAAGAGGCAAAACCAAAATGCAATGGGAGTGCAGAGGAGAAAGCCATCAGAGAAACCTCCCTCTGGAGGTGTCCTCCTAACTGGGCCTGGAACAGTGGGGAGGGTTTGGACATAATAGTTTTGAATATAACACAGTGTGAACTAATCAGTGCTTCAGTTTAGATGGTTTCTAGAAGCATAAAATGGAAATAAGGCTAGAATGAAAGAGGAAACTGAGGCATGGGGGCCTTGAATGCTGGGCTAAGTCATGATAAGGAATTTACTGATGGGCAGCGGGGAGCTCTTGAAGGCTTCTAAATATGAGTGACAAGTTTAGAACTGGGCTTCAGGAAGGATTGTATGGTGGCAGGGTTCTGGGACGGCTGGAAGCAGAAGAGATAAGAGGCAGGGAGAATAGAGGTGATAAACTTGAAATGGGCAGTGGCACGGGCCTGGGGACAGGGCATCCCATCTAAGGGCTGGGCAGAGAGTCTTGGCAGCTACCAGGATGTTAGGCGACCTACAGCAGCCAGAGGATCCTGACAGCCCACGGAATAACATGACCACCACTTGGCCGATTCTCCAAGCACTGCATGATGCTGTGTTCTGTTTCAGGGATGTGGTCATCTCAACATGCACCACTCAAAATGCAGATCCCCACATGCATTATGTCACCTCCAGGTGCTTCACTGACTGTATCTCCAACCTTTTGCCCTGCCCCAGCCTCTATCACCAATATAGGTACTTTATAATTCCATCTCTAAACGAGATGACAGTTGAGTAGAAATACTTGACAGCCCCAGAGGATGAGGCTTTCAATTCTGGTTCTGGAGTTCTCTGGGGAAAGGCTTGCAGAATCTATGCAACAGTGTGGCAGCAGAGGGGGGATTAGAAAGCCAGGCTTGCCCCCATGAAGGCAGAACCTGAGGGCGGGGCTTGTGTTTGCTGTAGTGTCTCCCTTCCCCTCCACCCCTCCCTAAAGAGATTGTTCATAATGCTGTGCTAACAGAAACCACTGCTCACCGCTGTTGGGCTTCAGCAGATGATAAAATGATAGGAAGATTGTACCACGTTCTCCAAAAAGGCCCCCTGGGGAGGCTGTTGAGCGAGGGTGATTGATTCGGTTAGATTGTGATGTGTTATTTAGGCAGAAGACAGGGGAGCTAGGAGAATGGAGGAAAACAGAAAGCGAAAGCAGAAAAAATAGTAGAAGAGAAGAGCCCTTTTTCACCACGTAGACGTGGGCTCTGGTTGTTCTAGATTGGGGTTCACTTGCCCATGACCGGGAGAGAGGGCAGGGACCTTGGTCAATCAGCAGCCCCCAAGAGACCTGGAAGACAAGGAGCGCGCGAGTGGTGGTATCATTCTGGGAGGCTCCGATGCAAGAAACTCTGTCTGTGGACACTGCTGTCCTGAAAGGGTTAATGCACTTAATTAAGAGGGTGGTGCTGCAGATTCAAATGAGGAGAAATCAACTATGCTGAACAAGAAGCTGGACTAGAGGGCCAAAGGCCTGGGCCGGGAAAGCAAGCCCCTGGTACAGGCAACACCTGCAGAGCGGAAGGGAGTGGGAGTGAGGAGGGAATCGAGTGCTTCCGGCAGTGCTGGCTAAATGGTGGAAGGCGCAATGGAGCTTCTTCCTCTTACCCTCAGCAAGAACTTCAGGAACTGCTCCAGCTGAGATCGGGAGTGGAAACAGAAAGACAGAGAGGAAGGGAAGGAGGGAGATGGAGCATAACTGTGCTAATAAAAAGGGAGCCCTGAAAAGGTAAGGGGCAGGTGAGCATGGGGGCTCACTTTGAGTAGCCCCAGGTTAGAGTTTTATTAGGGTCTTTCCTTTCCCTCCCAGGCTACACTGTGGAGATATTGTTTGGAGAGAGGATGGCTGATGTAGAAATCTTGTTCAGAGAAGAGTTGGGGACAGCAAGTGCCATGTCCCTTCCCCATGGGGGATCTGAACCAGAGACTGTGGCTTAAGCTCCTCAGGGAGCGACTTAGAAAGAAAACAAAGAAAAATACAGTGGCTCACGCCTGTAATCCCAGCACTTTGGGAGGCCAAGGCGGGCAGATCACGAGGTCACGAGATCGAGACCATCCTGGCTAACATGGTGAAACCCCATCTCTACTAAAAATACAAAAAATTAGCCGGGCATGGTGGCGGGCGCCTGTAGTCCCAGCTACTCGGGAGGCTGAGGCAGGAGAATGGCGTGAACCCGGGAGGCGGAGCTTGCAGTGAGCCCAGATGGCGCCACTGGACTCCAGCCTGGGCGACAGAGCGAGACTCCATCTCAAAAAATAAAAAAAAAAAAAATTGCTTCACAGAGATAAAGCAAGATTCTGAGAGAGAGAGATGTGAGGGAGCCCCTGGGAACACATCGGTAGAGCCCTTGCCGAACGCCCAGACATGCCTTGCTGCAAGGACTGGGTTGGAGCAATGGCAGAGGACAGGACCAAATGGTCTTCTGTTGCAGTAGTGAGGTTGCTTCTTACGTCTCCTCTAGATTCTTAAATTTTCTTCTTAACAGTGTCAGCTCCTAGAGTCTCTCTGGGTGAGACAAAGATAACAATGTCACTTTGTAAGGAGGACCCTTTGCTACTGCAGACCTGCTCCAGGCTAATGGTGACAACACAGGATAGACAGAGACATGGAAGGATCTGAGGTTAAACTCATAGCCTGCAGAGAGCATGAACTCCCCTCCAAAGAAAAGATGGAGGTGTGTGGGTGTGGGAGGTGTATGTGTGTGTGTGTGTTGGAGAGGGGAGGGGAGTTGAGAGAATGCGTTGAGTGAGAGAAATGGAGGAAATAAATTAGGAGAGCCAGAACAGTCTGGAGATTTTTGGGAAAAGAGTTGGAAAACTGGGATGAGAGAAGCGTCACATACTTCTGCCACTACCCACATACACCATTATGCAAATCAAAAGAAGCCATTCCTTCTTCAAGACACTTGAGTAGCATCTGCCAGAAGATTCCTACAATAAATATATATCTGTTATGCTACAGATGTGAATGGCGTCCCCTGGGTTGTGCAGTGCACAACCTGCATAGCTGTATACTGCACCTCTGCCGCTGGATGTGGTAGGAATTTGTGGAAACAGACTAGTAAACAGGGCTTTTAGAATGCTTTTCTCTGTGTGATGTGATATATGTTCCCCTTTGCCATCTCTTCAAGAACCTTTAGGGGAAAAATTACGCTGCTTTTTCAAAGCGTTTGGAGTTAGATTTGTTTTTCTTTTTAATGTGTCACTGTATGAAACCAAGCCTTAGGGCTGAAGCAGTATGGCTGAGATATATTTAGATGACACTCATTTGCCCACACAGAAATGAGTCTGCATAGGGTGTGCCCTCGAAGACTGACCACCATTTGGTCTCAGTGTTACAATAATCAGTCTCTAAAGCCCAGGGTTCCTCTTCTGTCGGGAGGCCATCAGGTAAGGGAGCGCTTCAGGGTCTGTCCTCCAGGATCTCTTGTCCACAGTTTCAATGTCAGAAGCTAAATCACAGAGAACAGAAATCATGATGAGCTGAGCTTCTGAGGCAAAGTTGGGGAGCTGCTTCAAACCCTGGCTGTCAATTCAGGGGCTGGGGGGAGAGAATCTGAATTACACAGGCAAAGTGAGTGTGGGAGGGTCTTGAATCCAGAAAAGCTGCAAACCAGGAGTAACCAGGCAGGTGGGCAGAGGGTGGCTTGCATTCTGGAGCTGTCGGCTGCTGCCTGCAGCAATCTTTGGAGCAGTCCCAGCATGGGCGAGTGTGGGCTGTGCAGGGACAAACAGGCAGAGGAGAGTGGCAGGGCTGTGCATGGCCCCCTCACTGCTGCTGAGACCTGCTTTCTGCCAGGGAACTCCTCGGGTGGTTGCAGGGGGCAGGCTGGCTAGAAACACTTTGGGAGCAGATGTCTCGGGGAAAGGCAGCATTTCTCAAAGTTGGTTGGACGTCTGCCAGCCTGCCTCCTGGCCCATGTCACAGCCCCCTAGGCTCTGTGACCTTTCACCCTTGGCCCCCAGTTCCCCTGCATGAGGCCAGGGAGAGGAGGGAGCAAGGGAAGGGGTCAGAGCTATGAATCTTTCCAGCTGGCTAGGAGGGATTATCACCGCATAATAAATCCAGGGCCAGGCGTGTTTATGAGGCTCTCGGAAGCTGCAGGAACAATATCATTTAGAAAACATTGATGCTCACGAGGCGAAGGCAATCCCACCCCCTTCCCTTATTTATGAGGCATGTTGGGTAATTAAGTGAGAGCTGGGAAGGGAGGTGGTTGGGAGAAGATCACCCCTAAATAATCCTGCCTGGTGAAGCCACCATCTGGGCTGTTGTGCAGCAAGGATGGCCCCCATATGGTTGGATAGTTTATGAGCAGAGCAGTGATCCAGGGGCTAAGGAAGAAATACTTAAGAAATATAAGTAGACTCACACAGATGTGGTCTGAGCTCCAGGAGGACAGAGACCACAACTTATTCATTGTTATAACCCTGGAACCCATCACAGTGTCTGGCATATGGTACTTGCTTAATGTACATTGTTGAATAAATTCATTCATCCATGCATTGGAGAACAATTTGACGGGTGTCTATATGTGCCAGATTCTGCACTTGATACACACTGCTTTGTAACAATGAACAAGACAGACACAGCTTCTGCCTTCATGCAGCTTATGATTTACCAGTGGAATCAAACATCAAAGAAATAATAACTCAAACAAATATTTCACTGCGCTGGATTTGCCTTTCCCCACCACAGCAGTTAAGGAAAAAGGGGGAAAATGAATGAATTAAGGGTAATTGGGCATAACGCCTTGCAAAGCCAACCTTAACATAAGGTTGCTTAATAACTAAGTCAAGGTCAAAACAAAGGCACTCTTTCAGCATAAAAAGATTGAAAAGTTACGTTGGCAGGAGGGCTATCCCTCATGGGTAGACCTGATGAAAGCCTTCAGCTAGTTAACTTAGTGTCTGATTTGTTCACATTTTGGTTTGTTTTATGATATTTCTCCATGAACAAGAAAAGGACAACTAGAAAAGGGAGGTGGAGGTGGAAGCAAGCTGCCACCGGAGTCATTAACTGGTTGGATGTTCTCTCTGCAATCCTCTGCTTCAGGACTCAAAACTTCCTCCTCATTCCCATCCTGTCACTTGCAGCAGAAACTATTGCCTTGGGACTTGCCAGAGACCTGAAGATTCCTGAACTCAAGGTGGGGCATTGCCTTTGAGGAACTGAAGCCACGTAACTGAATAGGCTAGTCTTGGTTTTCAGAATGTGAGCCATAGAACCAGGATAATGCATTAGTCATGGTCCATTGAGCTAATACAAAAGTACTCAAGTATATTCCAAAATATATTTTTCTATATCTGAAGATAATTTGAGTCTGTAGACACCCATTAAACCTATAAAGTATGCACCCACTGCCAATGCGATTGACCTATCGGAAAGATGTGTACTTGGGAGCGTAGGCATGCATCTTTGCAAGTGTGGAGGTGTGTTGGTTATCATGAGTGAGAACTGGTGAGTGGGATTCAGAGCCTGAGTCCTACCTGAGTAACTGGGAGACTGTGGTACTGTGCCTCCAAGGTGGCATCCATCAATGCTTCCTTCCCTGTGTGCACATCCAGAGATGAGATTGACGCCTCCTCTCCCCTTAGACATGGCTGGACTTACCAACATGCTTGGTAAGTCCAGAATGCAGCTGTGTGACTTTGGGGATTTGGAGGCTCGGTCACAGAAGTCGCAGCTTCCCCACGTGCCTCTTCGTCTGCTTGCTTTTGAACATTTCCTCATGGGCACCAGCCTTGAGGGCCATGCTGTGAGAAGCTGAAGCCGCTGGAGAGGTCCCTGTAGAAGTGCAGAGACAGAGAGGAGCAGAGGACCCAGGAGGCACCGGAAGCAGGTGTGAGGAACCATCTTGTAAGTGGATCCTGCCCCACATGACACTGTGAGATTCAGAGATGAATGGCCCAGCCAATTTCTTCCCAAATTCCTAAACCATACAATTGTGAGCTAAATAAAACTGTTGTTTTAAGTCACTATGTTTTAGGATAATTTCTTCTGCAGCAAGGGATAACCGGAAAGAGACCCACAAAGCTCAAAGCCCATTGTGCTAGGCTCCTGACCCATCTGAACACTGAGCGGGCACTGAGCGGGCTCTGAGCGGGCTCTGAGCAGACTCACTTGGCCTGAGGCTCCTCTACTGAGAAGCAGCTGTTTTAGCAGAGCCCTCCCAATTCTGGAAGAACAGAGGCCAACTCCTCCCACTCACGACCCCCTGGCCCTGGCTACTGCTGCCCCTCTGAGCTCACCACAGGGCCTCCGTTCCCTGAGCTCAGTTACCAGCAAGCTCGGACCTTCCAGGCCTGGCCTGGCCTGGAACCTGGATGCCTCCAGCCTTTGCTGCTACAGTGGGCCCTGCGGGAGGGTAAGAGGCCCTGTGAGGACAGGATGCTGGGCTCAGTGCCATCTGCAAGGGCATGGCTGGGGAGGCAGAGAGAGTCAAGGGGATGATGGACTGACTATCTCAGCAGGCAGGGGCCTGGGAAGGTAGGGGGATCAAAAAGCAGTCAGTAGGTATGGCTCCAGAGAAAAGTGTTTCATGCCATTAAGTATTACCAAATTGGGCTTTATAAGTGAAGTAGAGTCTATCTTTAAGACTTAAAAAAGACATTTACCACCTATTTCTGCTTAGTGTTTTACTTATGCTATTAGGCTTCCATTTCATGCACAAATGAATTATGCAGAGAATGCCATAGCTTAGTTTCAGCAGGCAAACAGTGGCCGAGCTAGTGCCTTCCCATTACTCTAGTGTCAGTGCACAAAAGGATGTTGGATGCAGTTCTGGCAGATTAGCAAATTAGCTCTGCTGCTATTACCTCAAGTGTTGCCAAACTGTCAGGGAGATTCTAAAACCCCAGGATTCAGAGGTGGCAGGGAGGGAGCAGGCTGCTTTCTGAGCCATCCCGGCTTCCCTGACTCCTCTTAAGTTCCCAGGGAATCTTTTGCTCTCTGGGGACATAAGATGTCACTATCTGAGAGTCCGTGGTCCCTCCCTTGGCGGCAGCCCCCAGTTGAGGGCCCTCAGTTTCACAGTATCTGAGTAGCAGCTGATCAACTCCTAGATGTGGGACAGGTCCCAGCAGAACCTGTGATTTCTTAGGGAACTGCTTTATGTTCCCAAAACCCAGGAGCACATGCTCACTCTTCCAAAAGGGACAGTTTTAGAAGCACAGACTTATGATTTTGTCTCCACTCCTGACTGGCCAACTTGTCATCCTCAGCTTTCAGGTAACACTGGAGGCTTAAAAACCTGCAGGACCTTTCACCGATCTTATTCAACAATTCCCCTAGATCCTGGCTTATCTTACTGACTCTGGCTTTAGAGGAAGGCAGGTTGTGCAGGAGCTTTATGACCCAATCTTAGTGGCTCCAAATAGCTCCTCCTCTAGGCTTGCCATACCATCTGAAATTCCGTCATGTGAGAATTTGCTTTCTGGATGAAGGTTTGCATCTTCAGGAATCCTCTGTTAAATTTCAGATAACCCCAATCATGATTTTGTATGAATCCTTGGTAGTCACTAGCATTCCAGGCCTTCTCAGCAGTTGGGCCTTTCACACACCCACAGCTCCATAAAAACGGCACCACTCAAGTATTTCCCTGATTGACAGCAGTATCCACGCTGCTGTCTCTGCCTCTCCAGCTTTGCCCACTGCTTCCCACACCGTATTGAGTATTTCTGTCTTCTGATCCCATGCTGCCATTTCCCTGTTGAAGGTTTTTTCTCACAGCTCTGATTGATCCTTTGCATTCTTTCTCAATCACAGTCCAGAATGTTTACCCAGTGACCCTGCTCTAGATTATCCTGGTTAAATACCTGGCTGGTTACCTGGGATCGTATACTCCTAAATGCTTCTCATCTTTGCCTGGCAGGGCAGCCAGTACCTCTGGGTTGATTAGCAGGGCTCTCAGGGGTGGAAGAGGAACCCTGGGACAGGCTTTGCTGAGCAACAAGCCCTACCGAAACTGAATGTAGAGTACCCCAAAGGCAATCTCTAGTTCTCCATTGAGATGATTATAATCCTGGCTCGCAGCCCTTGACTGCTATGTTAGTGAACCCTAGGATAGTCACTGAATTACAGAGGATGACAGCTGGAAGGGACCTTTCTCTTGTAAGGCTGAGAGGTGAAGTGCTTTGACCAAGATCCCAACGTCAGTGAGTGGCCAAGCTGAACCTGGCCATCAGTGCCCCTGCTGCTGCCCCTCTTCTCTGTTACTCTCAGGCTGCTGGTCTTTCAGGACAGCATTATTTCCAGGGAGTAATTCATGTGGACAACAGCCCATGCTGGCTTTTTATACAACGACTATACAGAAAAAGAGTGACCTGGGCTGCCTGTACAGATGACACTCAGATGACACTCAGATGACAGAGGGGGCTGGACTCTACCAACATGTATAAATCAGTCTACCTAAGGGTGGGATCGGGAAAAGCTTTTGATTAATTGATTCCCGTATTCTCCGTGTGATTGCTACCTTGCTCAGAATAGCCCATGAAGCATTTCCTGCCAGGCCACCCCGGGAACCTGAGTTGGATCATAGGCATTTATTTGTCTACCTAATGAACATTTTGGGGTGCCAGCAGTGTGCCCAGCTCAGTACTAGGTACTGAAAATCCAACAGTGAATAAGACAGACGAGACGCTTGTACTCAGAGGCCTTTCAGTCTAATGAAGGATACAGATAAATCATTTATTACACAGATCAGTGAGTGCTATGATATGGAGAAGTGCAGAGTATTATGAAAGAGTGAAACCAGGATACTTAGGAAAATGAAAGGGAGTACTATTGATGATTACATCAGGACAACAGGTGCAAACTAGGACTGTCCTGGGCAAACTGGGACACCTGGTCACCCTAGTTATAGAAATAGAGAGGGAGGAAAAAAATCAGGAAGGGAAGGGAATCAAGAAAGGCTTCTTAGGGGACTTACAAGCTGATTTGCAATAACTTTCTTACAATGAGAATTCCCACAATACATATTGATAAAAAAAATTATGTATATGTGAGATTCAGACTTTAGCTCTATTCATTTTACCCATTGACCATGCAACTGATTTTAATTTATCATGTGTCACTTCCTTCCCCCAGGCAACTCACACCCACAATCAGAGATCTCTCAATAAGCTTTCTCCACCTTCACCTTTCAGGAAGCAAAGCCATTTCCAGTAAGTACCAGGCACAAACCTCAGTTGCAGAAGCAGCCCCTGACTCTCTGGGATGGTTAAAATTTCCTCCCTTTATCCAAGACCAGGAGTGTTCAGAACAAAACCTCTTTTCCAAGTACCAGACAATGTCAATTTTTCCAGCTGCTCAATGAAGTTTATGCCCTTGGTTGAATCAATGCTTTCCTGTAAGTTTTTTCTAATGTGACTTCTCACCTCTTTTCCTTTCTTCTTTCTTGTCTGGTCTTTATGTCGCTTGTCCATAAGGCATGTCCCAGATGTTTTTCTACTGTTGTTCTATTTCCTGTCACGCATGTTGTGACCTGTTGCCATATTAGTATTCTCCAAGCTCACAATGGCATCATTCATCCATGAGATATCTTCATCCATAGCAAAAAAGAAGAAAACCAAATACAGGTACCAATGGAGAGAAAGGGCCCATTCACTGCAATGCCCTGCTGGGTATTAAACAGAATTATTGATCAATTAAGTCCCTCAAAAGGCAACATTGGGTGGGGAGCTGCTGGTTATGGCTATGAGGTAATAAAGAATTGAAATGAGAGTCCTCTGAGATGCCACATAAGATAGGGTCTGGTGGAGAAAGCCAGTGGCCAGTTGATGTGTTGAGAAGATAATTATGACACCCAAGATCTCTCAATGTCTTGTGTAAACTCAATCTGGGCCATAATGCCTTGTTCTTCCAGAATGCTTTGATCTAAGGAGGTCTAGGAGGCTTCTGAGAGCACTAAAGTCAGAAATAAGCAACTCTATCATAACAGTCTCACTCAACCCAAGCGGATTTTTAATTTGCTACTTGTAATTAGTCTTGCCCTAATGATTGGCTTTATACATAAGTGAGGTAGGTTCCCATAGCATTTCATGGTAACTGCCTTCATACAATTGAAATTAAGAACAAGTAGATAATAAAGTACTAGCGAAGTAGAATTTGTTCAAAGGGATAGATTTTCAGCTCAGCCACTTCATCGAGGGTTTGTGCGGGGGGTAGATGGGAAGGAGAGAAGACAGAGATGGTGGAATTGATTCAAAAGGAGATAAAGAAAACAACTATAGAGGAAAGGGCTTTTGAATAGAATGGGAAATCTTCCATACACATCATTAAACCCAGAAGGTAGGCAGTATCCTAACCAATACCTTAGGAGATCCCAAAAGCCCTCCCACCACCAACGAAGACATGACAAGCAAAAAAGATTTCGCAGAGGCTTTCCCATTTGGGAGTTGTCCCCTTTGAGGATTCTCTGGTGTGGGAGTCTGTATCCTAACAATTAGGGGTGAAAATTGAAGATGAAAGAGGAAAGTGATATGATTGATGGATTCTATTTGGTCAAAGCAAGTGTCTTACATACATTCAATATTGAGCAGTTGCAGACAGACACTGAGAAATCCACAATCTGCTATCATTCCTGATGCCCAAAAGAGGCCTTTCTGGTGGGTGCCAGACTGCGGTACAACAGACTCTGCATCAGAATTAGAGGAAAAGGAAGAGGCACCAAGTCAGGCCAGATCACAGACTGTCCCCAGCCTCTCCTCTTCCCTCCCCGCCATCCTTAGAAAGAGGGATTGGAGTTAACACAGCCCTAGAGGGCCATTATAGCCGAATATTCTTTGTAATTGGCTGTATTGAAGCTTTGTGTCTGCGCACAGTTTATCCTCAAATGTGAATTCAGTTTTTCTCAACTAATCCTTTTGAGTGTCCTACTAAAATCCTATTTATAAATTATAAAGAGAAGTTGCCCCAGTGGAATAAACCAGGTTTTTATTTCACTTGCAAGGTGGTGTCCAACACAAATTGCTCCCATAAGGAGCCCCACCTTATAAGGACCCCTCCCACATTTATGGCAAATGCAATTTACCTTTGGTTCTGTGTCAAAAGCTCTGATGCTTTTAAAATGACCACCATGAAGTAGGATTAAGATGAGGAACAACTGGCAGTGGCGTGACAGCACTGGGGTGGGGGTCGGCATAACGTGAGCCTCCGAGGCCGGGTGTCTCCAGCTGGCATAGGGACACAGCAGGAACAGGCTGCTGGTCCCTAAGCCAACGTCTGTGTCAAACTCTGGGGTCAAACAGGGTGATTGTGGCCTAAAATATGAAGGATTTAAAGCCATTCATACCATCATTTCTGGTTTATTATCCAGGCTTGTATTTTCTATGGAAGGGTTGATAGCTTTGGTTTATGAGAACCAATTAATGCATGACAGATTCCTGGAACACTATTCTTATTCTCACTCTCATCTCTTCTCTTCCCCACCATCCATCTCTCTCTCTCTCTGTCTCTCACATGTGCATGCGTACACACACACACACACACACACACACACACACCACAAATTTTATGTCTCTTGCCCTAACAATTGGAACATTATGGACTAGAAAATGGGTGTTTGAAGCAGGAACATAGCAGGACAGTGAGGACGGGGTACACAGGCTACTTGAGCCATTCATCACATGTCACAGCCAAAAGACACCTTGGAAACTGTCTAGCTGGGTAGTCTTCTCACAGCTGAGGAAACTGAGGCCCAAAGATGAAAGTCAATAACATGGGTAGTCTATGACTTTCTTGTCAAACCTACAAACAAACCCAAAACTGATTACAAACCCCTGCAGTGCTCGCCTAAATCTGTGCTCAGGACGACATCCTTTGTACCTGTGCACTACATACCTAAAGAAGACTACCACATCCACTGTGGATTCATCCTAAGCCATGGTTTTCCTTAAAAGACAAGGGGAAAGGATGAGACCACTCATTGATCCCAGGGTTAACTTTCCAAAGTACTTCACTAAAGGTCATCTGGCCCTTCACATGACTGAGGAGGAAAATGGGAATCTGAAGCTGTGATAGGGTCTCAAGAGAATCCCACAGCCAGCTCTGGAAAGCCAAGCTGTAGTCAGGTCTCCTCATTCTTGAGTCCTTTATCTATCTATTCCAGGCCTTCCTGCTCCACCATCTGGGGGAACCCCCAGCTCCAGCCCAAGCTCCATTTTAGCTTCATGGTGATGAAACCAGAGTTCTTGCTTCAGGCCAGATTGGTTATTGAGATGGAAGGAGAGGGGAATGGAGGAGTATGTGATTGAAGGCCCAGGCACCAAGCCCTGACCCCAAATCTCTCTTCCTTCTGCTTAACACAAACCCAAGCCACAGAAGAAAGCAATGATGAGGTCACTACATTCCTGATGGATACAGAGCGTCTTTGTCCCAGCCAGCCAGGCCTGTGGCTCCACTGACTCAGGCTGGCAGGATCAAGCTGAACATTCTCTCCCCACTAGAAAATGAGCATTCTCAGAGTCTCAGGACACAGCCATGGAAGAGTATGAACATGCAGACCCACGGAGGCATTGCACACACACACACACACACACACACACACACACCACAGCTGGGTGGGAGCAAACACTAAAGAATAAACATACCTGACACACAGCCCAACCTGATCTCCAGAAGGAAAAGATTCCAAAAGTGCTTGAATCCATGAAGAGCAATGTCTTGGGGTTTGGTAATTTCTAATTTCCTTAGTTTTCTTCTCTGTAAAATGGGAATGGCAATACTTACCTGGAATGATTGCTGTGAGAACTACAGAAAAATATAAAACCCCTAATTTAGTATCTGGACCAATACATTAACGTTTATGCTATTATTATTTGTTGGGGCAAATTTCCAGCTCACAATTATTCCCCCTTTCTCTGATAATTTCCTTCCTATCCAGAAAGACGGATGCCCCCTTCACTCCGGAACCCCACTGGCCAACTCTATGGGAAAAGGGATGTCATTAGGAGGTATAGGACCTGAAATGGGACAGTTGGAGGCTCTTCTCCACAAATTTGGAAATGGCACTAAGAGAGAAATTAAGCTTCACAGGTGTCTGGGACTGTAATAGGCAAACTCGAGGATTCTGGGCAGCCACATTGTGTGGTATGGACTGGGAAGCATGGAAAAGAAGTCTTAGGGAGACAAGCAGAGAGACACAGAGAGGGAAGACAGAGTGTGCTGGCAGCACCTACCTCCCTTCCTGGGGCCCAGTGCATTTTTTTCTTTTGCTTTCTAAAGCGATCCTGCAGCCATGTGGTACATTTCCCTTGTTTTCCCTAAGCTAGCCTGAGGTTGTTTCTGTTACTTGCAACCAATTTGTTCCCAATTGGAAATGATGATGATGATGATGATTGATTATGATGATGATGAAGAAGATGACACCACTGCAATAATGATTATATGCCGATAAAGATATCTTTATCGGCATATAATTACACTGCATATCTGTGTGTCAGGTATATTTATTCTTCAGTGTTTGCTCCCATCTAGCTGTGGGGTGTGTGTGTGTGTGCATGTGTGCGTGTGTGTGCATGTGCAAGATATCTTTGACCTCTGTACCCCTAAAAGGTACAGATGTGGATGTGGCTTTGTGTCCCTCTTAAAAAGATAATGAGGCCGGGCGTGGTGGCTCAGGCCTATAATCCCAGCACTTTAGGAGGCTGAGGCGGGCAGATCACCTGAGGCCAGGAGTTCAAGATCATCCTGGCCAACATGGTGAAGCCCTGTCTCTACAAAAAAAAAAAAAAAATAGCTGGGCATAATGGTGGGGTGCCTATAATCCCAGCTACTTGGGAGGCTGAGGCAGGAGAATTGCTTGAACCTGGGAGGCGGACGTTGCAGTGAGCCAAGATTGCGCCATTGCACTCCAGCCTGGGCAACCTCAGGGCAATCAGCAAACCTTTGCCTGGGTAACTGTCACTAAATATAAGGAGGGAGGTTGATTGGAGTGAGGACAAAGACAACTGTCTGATTCTCATCTTCCTGCTTCAAGTCTGCTTTGGAACTTACCTGCCTTACTAAACATTGCAGGGCTCTTTGAAGCGCTATCATTTACCTTGGGAAAATAAACTTTCTGAGCTTCAGAAATGTTTAATAATACTATCATTGTGAACAGTTGTATGAAAAACCCCAGACGCACAGTTGAGTACTATATGGGTGGTAGCTGTGATTACTAAGCTTCTCCCACTTTGTGATCAACACATATGGAACCTCCTAGTACCCATTTCCAGGGTTCCTTTCATACTCTTCCCAAATGTAAAGGGAAGAGAACTTTTAAGCAGAAGAGTAAGGGGAATTTTCTCTCCCTACGACTGGTGTAATGCAACCCTGCGGTGAGAGTGTTGATAGAGAAGCCACAGCCTTCAGAAGCCCTGATTTGGCTCAGTGGAAACCATCCTTGGCCAGCACTCTCCTTCCTCTATCTTTGGGCAGCCACATTACTGGTAGTCAACATTTTACTAGGTACTCTGGGAGGATATAAAAACAAGCCAAAAATAGAATGCATGGTCCCTCCTACTCTCAAGAAGCTTATAATGAGTGATATATTTATAAAGCAACATAAGCACCAGTTAATGTGGCACAAATGAAGTGTCTGCCCACTACAGAGGTACTGAGGAGTTAAGCAGATTAGCCATGTTCTGTACCCAGGTTTGAATGGATAAAAGAGCTCAGAGTGATGAGAAAGAATTGGGAGGGAAGAAACAAGAGTTCAGCACAAGTAACATTCTTCACATGCCAATCAGTTATTCAAGAGAGGATATACTTAGGCAAGGAGAAGCTCAGGACAGAGAGAGAGTGAGTGTGTGGGGCTGGACATAAAGGTTCTCAAGTTATCTAAGGGTGGTTGGAGTTGTGTGAACAAATGAATGCCCTAACACTGAAGGTTTCAGCCTTGGTTGCATATTGGCACCACCTGGAGGGCTTTAAAAATACATGAATGCTTGGTCATATCCATAGAGAATCTGATTTCATTCATCTGGGGTCCTGCCTGGGAATGAGCATTTACCAAAGCTCCCCAGATGATTCTAATGAGCAGCCATGCCTGAGAACCTGAGAACCACTGCCCTCCCCAATGAAAGTGAGTGGGATAGGGGCAGGCAGCTTCGTGCTTTTTCTCTGTCGATGTGAATGAGCTGTGTGTGGGAATTTGGGAGGTTTGGAGCCAAAGATGAAGGAGATATTCCCATAGTGACCCATCCTCACTCTTCCCTGGAGTCTAAGTTCACTCCTACGAAGGACCTGAGCTGAGGCATTCCTCCAGCACCTTCTTTGTTGCCACACTGCTTGGACCCCCCAGGCTGACACCCATGCAGTCAGTGCCCAGAGGAAACCTTTCAGTGCCTGTCGCCTGATAGACCATTCACTGTGAGAAAAGGGAGATCAGCCCAGCTGAGTGGGCAGCCCTAGCCTCTGCTGGCTATCGGGACAAAGAGACTGTTGGTAACTGTGGATTTCCAAAGTTCTGGCTACAATTTGAGCTCATTAATGCTGCTCCCCGGGACCAATATCTTGGCACATGGCAGAGGTGGGGAGGGCAATACAAGGAGAAGCAGGAAAAAGCACTGTTTCCTTGCTTCAAGTAGAAAGGAGTTCTGGAAACCTCTCAGACTCTAATTTATTCCAAACTTTAATGAGCAACCCCAGTGAGCTGCAATCCTGGTATTTGGAGTCTACATCTCAACTCTGGTTAATCTATAACCGGTACCCGCTATGTGAGGCATCCTGTGCTACATGTGAACTAATACAGGACAAGTATAGAGAGCCCTCTGCACTTGTAGAAGGCACAATTTGAAGGGCCAATGGGTTCTTTTCTCTCAGTAACCACCCCCACATGCACACAGCACTCAACAACAAAGCCCCTGTGGGCATTTTGTGCAACGTGGCCATGCCTTGCCCCCTTGGGCAGAGTTGACTGGATGAAGGATGAAGCCCTGAACCAAACTGGGCCAATCAGAGGATTTCCCTAGGAAATAGTGAGGAGAGCTTTATTCTCTCCATGCGACAGGTAACTCGGGAGCTACGGGGGCTGTGTTTCCTGCTGGGGGATGAAGCAGAGGAACTTGATTCTCACGAATCATCAAATTTCCCATCTGGCGTCAGTACCCACCGAGGCCCAGACGCCTCCCTGCCCTTGGATTCTATTAACACAAGACATTTGTATAACCTTCTGTATAATAATAAATTATCCTTTGAAGATTTTAGCTGTCTTGAGTTTTTTTCTGTTATTTGGAACTAGTAATAAGAAAAACTTATATTTGTATAGTGTTTCCTTATGTACCGGACACTGTTCTAAGTATTCTCACCATATTGACTAATTTTCACAACACCCATATGCATTAGGTGCTCTTATAATCTCCAATTTATGGATAAGGAAACTGAGGCACAGGGAGATGAAGTGAGTTGCCTAAGATTGCACAGACTACATAGTATAAAATAATACAGGCTCCATGGATTCATATTCAGGTTGTGTTGGTCTATTTGCATTGCCATAAAGGAATATCTGAGAATGGATAATTTACAAAGAAAAAAAGGTTTATTTGGCTCATGGTTCTGCAGGTTGTACAAGGAACATGGCGTCAGCATCTGCTTCTGGTGAAGGCTCGGGAAACTTCCACTCATGGCGGAAGATGAAGGGGGAGCACGCGTGTCACATGGCAAGAGAGGGAGCAAGAGAGAGAGGGAAAGCTGCTACCCTCTTTTTAACAACCAGCTCTCACAGGAACTCAGTCATTATCATGGTGAGGGCATGAAGCCGTTCATGAGGGGTCTGCCCCCATGACTCAAACACCTCCCACAGGGCCTCACCTCCAACACTGGGGGTCACATTTCACCACGAGATTTAGAGGGGGCGAAACAGCCAAACCACACCACAGATTCTATTTACCACCTGGTTATGCAGACTCCGTCAAGAGCCAGGGCACTCAATGCACAGTTAGTATTCACACAAGACATGGGACAGTGTGCCCAAACAGCCACAGTTTAGAAGGGGGCATGAGCAGACTGAGTGGGCCAGGGAAGCTTTCTGCAGGAGGTGGGGCAGACCAGAATGCAAAGCCTTTCCAGGAGGAGAGGACACCCAGCCAAGCACGTAGGAGTGGAAGTGACCTGGCATGGGCCAGAGTGGTGAAGAGCCTGGCCTGATTGGAACAGAGGCTGTGAGGGGGTCAGGTCCCATGCAGCCCTGGAGGTTTTGAGCTGGAGAGACACTTGATGGCTGTGGCATTTGGGAACATCCTTCTATGCTGGGAGAGGATGGAGGAAGGGAGCCCAGTGAGAAGATCTGGCAGCCTCCCAGGTAAGACCAGGAGGGTCAGGTGTGGGGGCAGCAGGAAATGGAGAAGCCTCTGACCCCTGTTTCGGTTCCATTTCCAGACATGCTCTGGTTTGCCTCAGAGGCTCAAAGACTGTATTTTTGTTTCTTCTCTCTTTCTACTTAAAGAACCTGCAGTTCAAAGTAGGGGAAAATCTAGTCTGTCTGTCAGTTGTCAGTAGGTCATGTAATGGGGCTCATGGTGAGCACAGAACTGGACTGCATTCCCTAGAGAGTTACAAAAGCAAGAGAGGAGAGGCCTCTGTCCCCGGCAAACAAGGCTGCCGGTGGATTCTGAAATGCACCCTGGATTGCATGGCTGCATCCCCAGCCTGCTTTCAGAAAAATAAATACTCATCTCTGAGAAATACAGACAGGGACAAAAACCTCATGATACTTCAAAACCTTTTTCTGTGGTGTTTGCATAATGTGAACCGTCACGTGCTCAGGAGCCAGAAGATGGGGGGAGGAGGGAAACATCCATGGCTGAGCCTCAAGCATGAAAGTAAAAAATGGATTTCAATAAAACATGATATAAAAACAAGAAATAACTGTAAATGGAATTGAAAGCAAATGACATAAAACTCCAGCACAAGGCTGCTCATTGCAATTCTGGAAACTTTACTTCTAGCAGCTGCACAGCCATCAGTATTCAGGGCTTTTTTTCTTTCCACTCCTGTGAATTTGTCACTCGTGGGGATGCGTGGCAGCTCTCTGGTTTCACATAGCTCCTGCTTCCTTTCCAAACCTCAGGCCACTGAGGCTGGGTGAGTGTCCAGTCCTACCCAGAAGACAGGCATGATCTGGGTAAGATCAGAGGGGAGGTCAGGGCCAAAGTTGAGGAAGGGACCCACTTGCTCTCTAGTCTTTAACTTCCTGTCCCATCAATACAGAGTCACAGCAGCCCCGTGTGACTCCTCTCCAAGAGGCCTCTTTCCCTATCAGCAAAACAGAAACCATGGTCCCAGCCCAGAGAAGGTTCCTGAGGAAAGGGCAGGAGAGAGAGTGTCCCCGGAGACATTAGCTCCATGATCATCCAGTTGTGAGGGAGTCAGAGCAGGATGAGGACAGGTCAAGGGCATGTACTTAAGTGGCAGAAAGCTCATAGCATCACTGCAAATGCAGCATGGATCCCCTCTAACCAGGATGAGTTTTGCAGGGGAATATAAAAGCTAGAAGCCTTGGGACCTGACCATAAGTTTTCCTAATACAATCCTCAAGTCCTGGTTGAACATCTTCACTTTCTGGAACATTCTGCGCTTCCCTCTCCAGGAAGTCAGCTAAGCCATGCCAGGCCCACACCAACTGCCTTCTTTTTGACTATCAGGGTTGAAGGAGGTTGGGAGTTGATGACCTGTAAAGTCTCCTCCCACTCCCAGAGTCAATGGCATTGCAACTTGGAATTGTTAATATGAAACGTTGCCTTCTGAAGTGACTAACAATCGAGATTTCTATTTGTTGGGGTCTGATATGTGTTATCGTCTTTAACTCCCATCTTAAACTTAAGAGGTAGGCATTATCAGCCGCATTTTACATCTGAAGAAACTAAGGCTCAGGGAAGTTAGGGGAAATTATGTAGTGAAGAGGTATAGTAGTTATAAGCATAGATTAAGTTGGGAACCTGACTTTAAATCCCATCTCTTCTTCTTCAAGCAGCAAAATCGTGAGCAAGTGACTTACCCCCGTGTGAAGAATAATGAGGTGGTGTCTCTGGTAAAGCACCTGGCACATGATAAACACTTAATAAGTGGTAGCTGGTGGTGGTGGTTGTTATTCTTACAGTAAGTGACTTGCCAAGGTTTAACAACCACCATAAGGCTGAAGTGGGATTTAAGCCCACCCTCTCCATCTCCAAAAGCTGTGTCCTTTCCATTAATTTACACCCTCTCCCAAGTGAGTGGTGCAATAAATGAATCATTTTCTGATCATCAACATTATGCTAAGTATTGGCTTGGGCACTTTTACACAAATGATGCCATTCAGCCTTCTCAACAACTATGAGGTAGGTGCCATTATTCTCCCTATTTACAGTTGTGGAGATTGAGGTAAAGCCTCCATACTACCCAGCTTCAGCTAGTAAGTAGCAGAGCCAGAATCTGGTCCATGAATTCTCTTAATTCTAAGGTCAAACTATTAACTTTTGTACATATTGCCTTCCAAGCACAATATTTTTTGCCTCCGCACTCAACACTCTATTAAATTCTGGGTATACTCAGAAGTGAAGTCATCAAGGCTTTCATAATGCATGGTCTATTCTTGAGTGGAGTGGAAGCTGGTCTGAGGATAGAGACTCTGGTAGCTTTGTCAGATTCCCACAGCTCTACAGGAACATCAGCATCTCAGAAGCTGGCCTCCTCCTCCAGTTCCCCAGCTCACTTAGCCTCTCCAGACAGGGAGGAAGGAGAAGCCTTTGCCCTTCAGAGTCCGGGCCCAAGGAAAGTTACCCCATCCCCTGGATGTGCAGGATCAGTGAGTGGCTGATTTCCCCAGTCTTCAAACCTCAATCCATGCTCATCTCAGCAGGAAGACAGCAGATCATGAGTCTTAATATGATAAATTGCCCAGCTAGGAGTATAGAGGCAAGTGCTGGGCTAGTGCAGGGAAGAGGGGAGAAAATGAAGACCCACCAGGCAGGGAAACGCCTTGCCAGAATCCTGTGATTCCCCAAATAAAAAGCATTGGGCATCTCTATATGTGGTTCAATAATACAATGCAGATGGAAGTGCTCAGTTCCTCCTCCAGGCAAGGGTACTCCAGACAGGGGAATGGCTTCTTCCTGGAGGGAGGACAGAGTCACCTGTCATCAGCAATGTTTTGCTAAGAATCAAACCTGCCCACTCTGCTGACTCACTGAAGATGGTGACCAGCAGGTGCCTGGCCCAGGAGACACATCTCCAAGGTGGCGCTGTACCCAGGAGGCCAAGAAGATTCTCTAGGATGGCCAAGGTGCAGTTCCTGCCATGATTGCCAAAGAGCCGGGTTTAGCACCCCAGACAGGCTTGGAAATGAGAAATGCAGCCCTGTGTCAAAAGAAGCGCTTTTGAAGTCTCTGCTTTCATCTCTCAGTGCTCCCCCAACCAGAACTGACAGGGAGGGATAAAATGCAATTTATTCACCAGCCCAGGAGGCTCATTTCCAAACACAATAGCTGTGCCAGGCAGCGGGTTTTCCCTAGAAGAGACGAAATGGGGGAAAAAAGACCAAGAAAAAAAGAAAAGCATCTGAGGAGAAGCAGGCCATTAGAGGAGAGCCTTGCAGGGTGACCGCTAGGCAGGTCTAGAAAGCATGGGCCACAAAGGAAGCCAAAGGCTCTGTGTGGTGCCCGGGACACCTCTGCCCCGGGCCTAGCTGGGAAAAGAAAATGGCAGCCTCAAGGGAATGGCTTTGTTGTGATGTGAGCAGTAAGACTATGGGTTAGAAATAAGGTCACATGGGCTGGGGCTTTAAGGAATCAGGCCTTACGCAAATTTGGGGCTCCCTCAGCAACTCCTCCAGCCTCACGACAGTCCCTCCCCTTACTGCAATTGTGGTAGTAGGTGAGTCTGGGGTACAGGGTGATAAGGTTTGGCTCTCCATCCCGACCCAAATCTCCTCTGGTAGATCCCATAATTCTCACGTGTTTCTGGAGGGACCCAGTGGGAGATGATTGAATTATGGGGGCGGGTCTTGCCTATGTTGTTGTTGTGATAGTGAATGGGTCTCAAGAGATCTGATGGTTTTAAAAATCAGAGCTTGCCTGCACAAGCTGTCTCTTTGCCTGCTGCCATCCATGTAAGACAAGACTTACTCCTCCTTGCCTTCCACCATGATTGTGAGGCTTCCTCAGCCACGCAGAACTGTAAGTCCAATAAACCTCTTTCTTTTGCAAATTGCCCAGTCTCGTGTAAGTCTTTATCAGCAGCATGAAAATGGACTAATAGGCTGGGCGAAGTGGCTCACGCCTATAATTCCAGCACTTTGGGAGGTTGAGGCAGGTGGATCACCTGAGGTCAGGAGTTCTAGATCAGCCCAGCCAACATGGCAAAAACCCATCTCTACTAAAAATACAAAAATTAGCCAGGCATGGTGGCACATGCCTGTAATCCCAGCTACTTGGGAGGCTGAAGCAGGAGAATCGCTTGAACCTGGGAGGCAGAGGTTGCAGTGAGCCGAGATTGCACCATTGCACTCCAGCCTGGGTGGCAGTGGCAAAACTCCATCAAAAAACAAAAAAAAGAAAGAAAATAAAAATAAAAAGAAAAGAAAATGGACTAATACATAGGGACATGGGCTTTTTTAGGCAATCCCCCTGAGGCTGGGAGCTTCTTTTGGCTCTCAAGTCTGCAGGACCATCACTTCCCCTCTCTGAGCTTCCCTCTGCTCCTCCACACAAAGGAGAAAGTAATACCTACTTCATTCCATTGGTTTAGGACTAAAGAAAATAACACATGTGAGAAACTCCATAGTGATGCCCAACATTCAAAAGGTATTCAAGACATTTCTTAGCTGTTTTCCTTGAGCACCCCACCCCACCTTGCTCTCTGGGCAAACTTTGAATTGATGCTCCTGGTCTCCATTCTGGATTCAATATGCAGCCTTCCCGGCCTCTCCCAGACACTTAGGCAGGACTTCATCCATGTTTCCACCATGTCTGTTAGAGCATCTACCACACTGGACAGGTGCATACTTACTGAAACCATCTTTTGGCCAAACACCAAATGTTAAAATCAATATTGGACCAGAGCCAAATATCACTATCATAAAAGGAACTTCTGGAATTTAGAAATAAATCAGAAATGCTACCAACAATAATTATTATTACAATTGTATAGCTAAAAATTTTAGCTGTACATTTCAGCAGTTTGGCACTGTAGTTCAGGAGCAATCAACCATACAATCCTGCCCCTGTCCCTGAACTTCTGATGGACACTTATTTTCAACAGAGGTTTGAGGAAGAGCAAGCTATTCAAGTTGTACCTCATTTATTTCCAATACATTTGTTTATTTCATACTCATATTTTTTAAAGTGTCGACAGAAGAAGGTTTCTTGTGGATATTGTTGGACATGACTTAATAGGGTTTTTTCCATATGAAATCCTGAGATTAACACATTACTTTTAGTTCAAACTCCAAAATGTGAAGAACTTACAAATAGGAAGGACTCATAATCTAAATAAAATTTAAAAATGAAACACTAAATACAAATTTTAAAGGTCATTTTGTTGAATGTGATGAATGCTAAAACCCCAGACAATTTTACAAAAGATAAGAATTGTGATATAATCTAATATCTATATTCGGCTTGTATTATTATTTAAATTTTTACAAACATTTCTTTGCTAAGAAAAGGATATCGGGTTCTTCCTAAAGTTATCAAGTCAACACACTTTCTATTTCTTTTTTCTTGTTAACTTTTTGAAAGTTCTGAATAATGTTTTGCACATAAAATTAACAGCTTTCGAAATAGGCATGAAGTATTGCACCATTTTAATCTCGTGATAATAAATATATATTTATTCCTCAACTGATTGATAAAATGTCAACATATAAAGCTTATGGGAGACTTTTCCCCTTCAACTTTCCTATATTTGATAGCCTCCATACCCATATTTCAAAGGGAATGTTTAAATAAGAACAACCCTGAATGGAATAACTTGTTTGGATCACTGATATTGCTATACTGACTTTGCATGTTAGTAACTTAGGTGATCACTGTAGTTATGCAAAAATCTAAGGATGTCAGAAGTGAGGCTGAAGTGAGCATTGAATTCCCATCCTTCCAAAGGCCTATGTCTAAGGCAGACCCACAAACCAGATTTTGGCCAGAGCTTGACTTCAGCGCAGGGTGCTACCCAAAGGAGCATGCAAGAGTCCTCGTGGCATTGTCTCTGTGGAGATGGCTTCCAGGGCACGGGGCTCTTCCAATTGTCTTCACATCCTTTATTTATTTATTTATTATTTTTATTTTTTTGAGACAGGGTCTCACTCTGTCACCCAGACTGGAGTGCAGTGGCGCGATCTCGACTCACCACAACCTCCACCTCCTGGGCTCCAGCGATTCTCCTGCCTCAGCCTCTGAGTAGCTGGGATTACAGACTGAAGTCATGACCTACCTGCCTTGGGCCAGAGTTCCTTCCAGGTTCTTTCACCCATTTTCCAGCCACGCCTCTGAGGCTGCATTGTCATTTATGATGACCTTCATAAAGTTAAGGCCTTCTATACTTCCTAATTACCTGCTTATCTCTACTCTCTGTTTTCACCTATTTTTCGAAGTTACCTCGAGTGGGTAGAGCTCACATTTTCACATCTCACTATGATGCTGTTGTTTCTATGCAGCCGGACCACCACCGTCATGGTACCCGTTTGATCAGCCATTAAGTATCACAATTATTTTCAGAGACACAAAGTAAAGGGCTGGAAGAATTTCAGCACAGAGTACACAGCACACATTGCAGATCATTAGCTGAGGGTGTTTTCAGTATACCTATTGGCCAAGGCACAAAGAAAGGTCTTTTGAGAAGTTTCCATTGGCTGAGAGCCTATGAGAACTTTCAGAATATAAAAAAAATTGATTTCTAAGAGAGTGAGCATTAAACAAACAAGGTATGTGTAGTAATTATCTGTTTGCATGAGTCTTTGTCTCCTCCACCAGACTGGAAAATCTTTGAGTTAAAGGGCCAAGTCTTTCTATCTTCCTAGGCCCTGCTCTTAAAGCAGAACCTGCTATGTCACAGGAGCTTAATAGACATGAGCTGAATGATTGAATAAACAAGTGAGGAAATTGTCTAAGAGAATCACAATTCTCCATCCCTAGATCATCTCTGCGGATAGAAAGGCTAGTCCAGAACGGCCTCCAGGCACCTGCTCCAGTTCTGCCCTGGCATGCAGCTGCCTCTGCAGCTGCCAGGTCAGTGATGCAGGAGTTCTGCACGCCGTGGGGACCCAGGGTGGAAGGAAGGTGTGCAGCTGGACACCAGTGGGGGCAGCAGGGTGGGGGAAGAACAAGATGCTGACTTCCCTCCCGCACCTCAGAGAGGAGGCAGTGCAGCCACAGCCTGTCCCCAGGCTGTTCCTGACTGAAACAGCCCAGCCTCAGTCTAGGGTCCCACTCAGCAAGAGCCCCTACAGTCTCTCCTTATCCGGAGTTCACACAGAGCACTAGCCAAGGCTGAGCAATGTGAGCTCTATGGCCATTCAGGTGTCAGACACTATGCTGGGCACTGTGGGGTCAGAGAGGCCTGTGAGACTGACCTGCCTCTGTGAGTTCCCGTGAGTGGGCGTGGATGTGTGAACAACTCTGTCTCCCTCCCTCCCTGCCTCTCCAGCCCACCTCTCCTGCCTTCCGTCTCCCACAGTTGGCCACTCTCCTGGATATTCTATATTTAACTCTCTAAGCCTCATTAACTACAGAATTCCTAACTTTACCACCAGACCAATTCAGAGGAGTTCTTTTTTGGCTACAATTATTCTTCCTTTTGAGTATTAATTTCCTTTAACACTTGCCCTATTAATCAGTTTAACAATGAAATTAAGACAATTATTTTAACAAGGTAATGGGTGATAAAGAGCAGCCGATACACATTTATTACACAGCAGGCCAGAGCGTCTTGGTAAAAGTCAGCCTTGTCAATAATGTATTAGGTGGGGATGTGCTTCATGAGGGTCAGACTGAGGACGGTTCTGTTTCACTGATTTAAGGACGCCTGTGTCTGTCAGTGCTGCTGCAAGCAGGCCCTCTAAAGTGGACTGCCAGTCACCAAGAGTGACGGGTTGTTATTTTTCTCTGGAATCTAGCAGGAGCACCAGAAGCTGTGGTCTGGGATGCAAGTTCCACCCCCTTCCCTTTCCCACTGGAAAATATTCTTATTTCTCCATTGCCTTCTTTTTCTTCTCTTCATCCTCTTTTACCTTTTCTGCTTCCACCTTCTTTACTTCCTCTATCTCCTATCCTTCTGCTCCTTCCCCATTGCCGTTCTTCCTGCCCTTCCTCCTTTACCGACCTCTGCCCCCTTCTACCTCTCCTTATCCTCATCTCTCCAGCTAAAATAAATTTGTTTTCTATTTAAAATTCTACCTAGTTCCTTATCTACAGAAGATGCCTCTCTCAGGTCTCTGCCATCTCCCACTTGTTCTTGTTTATTCTCTTCTTCACTAACAAGGGAGTTATTGTTACCACACCATGGTGGGGTCACTGGGCACAGAGAGCAGGAGCAGCATGTGAGGCCATGGCGCTGGCACAGAACCCAGGAATCCCTGGCTTCCGCTCCGCTCTTGCTTCATCTGCAAGTGACCAAAGCTGGAAGCCTCTCTCACTTCCTTGCCCCATTCAACCCTCTAGCATTCACCTCTCCCATTGGCTGGAATTCATGCAGAAATTTTTGTGAAGAGGAGAGGTCCATTCCTTTGGTTTAAAAGCAGAAGAAGATCCGACAATTCCACTCCTAGGCATATACCCACAAAAGTTGAAAGCAAGGACTCAAACATCTATTTGTCACCCATGCCCATAGCAGCATTATTCAAAAGAGCCAAAAGGTGGGAGTAATCTAAGTGTCCATCAACATGAATAAACACAACGTGGTATATATGTAACAGTGGAACATCATTCAGCCATGAAAAGGAATGAAATTCTAATACATGCTACAGCATGGATGAACCTGGAGAATATTATGCTAAGTGAAATAATACAGACACAGAAGAGCAAATATTGTACAATTCCATTTATGGGAGGTATGGCGAATAGGAAAATTCATAGAGAAAGGAAGTAGAATGGTGATTACCAGGGACCAGGGGTAAAAGGAACTCAGAGTTATGGCGTGATGGGCACAGCGTTTCTATTTGGGATGATGAAAAAGTTGTTGAAATGGATAGGAGTAATGGTTGTACAGCCTCATGAATATGCTTAATGTTACTGAATTGTGCATGTAAAAATGGTTAGATGGTAAAATTTTATGTTATGCATATTTTGTTACAAAAAATACGTGGGGAAAAAAGCAGAAGGGGAAAGGGAGTTTAAACTTTTTTTAAAAAAAAGTAGTTTCTAGGCCAGGCGCGGTGGCTTACGCCTGTAATCCCAGCACTTTGGGAGGCCAAGGCGGGCAGATCATGAGGTCAGTAGCTCAAGACCATCCTGGCTAACACAGTGAAACTCCGTCTCTACTAAAAATACAAAAAAAAAAAAAAAATTAGTTGGTCGTGGTGGCGGGCGCTTGTAGTCCCAGCTACTTGGGAGGCTGAGGCAGGAGAATGGCATGAACCTGGGAGGTGGAGCTTGCAGTGAGCCAAGATAGCACCACTGCACTCCAGTCTGGGCAACAGTGCAAAACTCCATCTCAAAAACAAAAACAAAACAAACAAACAAACAAACAAAAAAAGTAGTTTCTAGATAGTAAAATCTAGTAGTAGATTTTAACCTTTTGTGGAATGTAACACACGTTCAGAGATGTCTGTGAAATGGATGTATGCATGCAGATGACATCACAAAACAAATTTTGTTGTAACCATTCTCGGTCAAGAAATAGAACACAACCAGCCTCCTTTCCTCCTTCCAATAACTTCCCCTCCCACCCTCCAGGGACAACCACTACTGTGACTTTTGTGGAAACCACTTCCTTGTTTTGTTTTAGAATTTTACTGTCTCAATATTATACTTGGGTTGCTTATCTTTAAAACTTTATACAGATGAAATCATGTGTGCTTTTCTGTTGCAGTTTCATGACTAAGTCACAAAGAAAAAGGGAAGAGCTTGGAAGACCTCAGCATAGTAAAAGCTAACATTTATTGAGCATTTACCATATGCCAGGACGTTTACCTATATTATACATTTAGGCCCCATGACATGGGTGCCAGGACTAAGCCTACTTTACAAACAAATTAAGTGGATATAGAAATGCTAAGCCACTTTACTAAAGTTACATTGCCTACCAGTGGACCAGGTGGAATTCAAACCTGTATACTGGTTTAGCACCTGTTGTCTAAATGAGCATGCCCCCTTGGTAAACCAAGATCGGAGGTCAGGTCAGAGGAACTTAAAAGAGTTCTTGGGGCCCAGAACAGACAAGAGCCTAGTGGGATGAGTGTTCTGGGAAAAAGCAAATGGATACTGTGGAGTAAATTTCAAGTGACTGTACAGACAGCAGTTTCAACCCAAAGCCGAAGACACTCCTGCAGGATTCAGAAAATACCTCTCCCCATCACACATCTATACGTGTAGGGTCCTGGGAAACTGAAAGACAGAAATACACCTCTGCCTGGGCAGAGGAAAAAAAAGGTGTAATAGGGAGTGAATGAAGGGTGCATGGGCAAGATTGGGCAGGAACCCTGAAGGTCTTGTCTAGAGGCACAGCGGACTAGAAAGACGATGAATGACATAGTGATAGATGGATACTTTTAGTGAGAGCCAGGTTAACTGAAAATGGTGCAACCTGGTCCTCGTAATCACACAATCTGTATTCACCTTGTACCATACAACCTAGTGAAATAGATGTATCCTTAAACGAGGGGATGGGATCCACCGCTAAAACAGTAGCAGAGAAGGACTCAGAGACGTGCCTGGCTTCTTACTGAGCGTCTTCATAGTTGTGAAGAGAAGACCTCCACATTGTCTGCATCAGGCCACTGAGGCAGGAGACCCATGCAGCATGTGGGGCACATAGCCAGCCTCACAAATCCATGGATCCATGCTCTAATACATGGTTTGCTATTCACAAACATTGAACATCTACTGTATGCTCTGTTTGCTCTGGAAATACAACAGTCAGTCCTGCGTCAGATACAGCTTCTGCCTGCACAGAGCTTTAGTCTGGTGGGAGGATGAAGAGATGAGCACAATTGCTGGAACATGGAGCGTAGAGAGAGCACCATGCCAGGGACACCTAGAAGGGCACCTAGCCCACGCTTGTGGTTGGGGAAGACTTTCTGGAGGAGGTAGTATCTAAGCTTTGATCCGAATAGGCTGGTGTTCAGAGTGAGGTGTGGGGAGTGTTCTGGACAGAGGGAGTAACACTCCCAGGGAGTGTCACATGGAGGTGGCAAGGTTCCTGATGCATTGGAAGCAGTAAAAGCGATTGGCTGTGACTGAAACCTAGGGAGTGGAGTGGGAGGAGAGGAGAGATGAGGCTGGGAGCTGGGAGGAGCTAGACTGCACAGGGCCTTACATGCCAGGTTCAAGAGACAGTGGTGGGAAGTCATGAAAACATCTGAAATGCTGTCAAGCAGGAGCTGCCTTGCTGTGATTTATGTTTAAGGCTGCTGTGTGCAGAGAAGAGGCAGGAGGAGTCAAGGGCGCAGGCATCAGAAGCTACTGCAGAATTCCAGGGAAAGACAATGGTTGGAGATAAGGAGTGATGATGGGAAGGAGAAAAGGGGTCCAGAAGGGAAGGGGCAGTGAGATCTTTCTTTCCTATGCAGGAACTGCCCCTCTGGCCCACCCTTGCTCTCCTCTTCTCCCAGCAGGGGCCTCCGAGCACCCACCTCAGCAGGACAGGAAGTGTGGGTGCAGCCTCAGGGATAAGCCACTGTCCTCTGAAAGGAATCCCCTGCTTGGTGGCCAGCGTTCCCTACCTCCACTTCCTGCATAGCCCCTCTGCTTGGCCCAGATATAGGATTGCACTTCTGCCTCAGTTTCTCTGCCAAAATGTCCCCTTCTCCACCGGGAGTGAAAATCTGCCCAAAACCTCTTAGACTTGGCTGAATCCTGTTCCCCCTTCTGAACTCTCAGCCTCTTTTTCCTCTCAGGTGCCTCCACTGTACTCCACATCCAGGGCAGAGAAGACTGATCCCTCGCCTAGAATGACACTGCAGACCCCAGCAGTCCCCAGGCATTCCTGCCAGTCCCACCACCACCCTCCAAGCTGGCAAATCGCTGAGCCAACACACTGCTGCCCTCTCAAGGAGTCCCATCCTGCTGAGGCCAGCCTACTCTCTGCCCCAACCTGATGCTGGAGGTCCCAGCATCATCTGGTGCTGAATTTTCACACTTCAAGACAATGACATTTCAGGTTTTTGTGAGAAGGTATCAGGAACCATGCTAAGCCCTTTACGTGTTTTCACATTGGGTGGGGAGCAGTCTCAGAAGCAGTGTTGAGATGGAATATGCAGTGCAGATATTTATTAGGGAGAGGAGTGTGGGGGATGTAGGATGGGTGGAGGAAGAACTTGAACTGCAATATAGGCTCCATAAAGCCTCAGCCGACCTGGCAGAGAGCTCTGGAGTGAGTATACCCATCAGTGTCACTCAGCAACCAGGTAAATGCAGGCATCCCCAGGAATGGTGGGAATTCGAGCTGACTCTGCCGCTGAGGCAGAGCTGAAAGCTGGAAGCTCTCTGCTGACTGTACTCTGCCTCAGAGCTAGTTCTTCCTGGAAGGAGTCTGGGAGAACATGCCTGTGTTCTCCCCCGGGGCCACTTAGATCCACTTCCCCATATACTTTCAAGGAGCAGCTCCTCCAGGATTCCCACAGGCCTCTCTTCCTGAGGGAAGATCAAGACAATAGAGGTTAGTGGCGCCCACTCTGCATTTGCCTTCTTCCTCTTCTACTGTCCATTCTAGATTCCCCTCACCTTCAGTTACTGATATGGTTTGGTTCTGTGTCCCCACCCAAATCTCATCTCAAATTGTAATCCCCACATGTCAAGGGAGGAACCTGGTGGGAGATGATTGGATCATGGCAGCGGTTTCCTTCTGTTCTCATGATAGTGAGTGAATTTTCACAAGATCTGATAGTTTTATAAGAGGCTCTTCCCCTTTTGCTCTCTCTCAACTGCTGCCATGCAAGACATGCCTTGCTTCCCCTTCCACCATGATTGTAAATGTCCGTACAATTATTGAGGCCTTCCCAGCCATGTGGAGCTGTGAGTCAATTAAACCTCTTTCCTTTATAAATTAGCCAGTCTCAGGCATTTTTGTTTTTACAGCAGTGTGAAAACAAACTAATACAGTCACCAACTCTGCTACCTTTGTTGGCTTACCTGGTAGTGTAACCCAGATCCTTATCAACAAGGTTATGAGCCCTTCATCACCATGATCTTCTCATGCCTGGGTGTCTATACCTGTTCATTAACAGTAATAATTGAGCAGGGAAATACCAAGAGGTACCCAAGTGGGTCACCTGGGTTCCATACATATTCCTCCCTGTCCCCATTGTGCAATAACAGCCTCCCTTTCTTTTTTCTTTTTCTTTTTTTTTTTTGAGACAGTCTCACTCTGTCACCCAGGTTGGAGTGCAGTGGCATGATCTTGGCTCACTGCAACCTCTGCCTCCTGGGTTCAAGCAATTCTCCTGTCTCAGCCTCCTGAGGAGCTGGGATTACAGGCATGTGCCACCACATCCGGCTAAGTTTTGTATTTTCAGTAGAGACGGGGATTTACCATGTTGGTCAGGCTGGTCTTGAACTCTTGATCTCATGATCTGTCTGCCTCCCTTTCTTTTAAATACCGGGGTCAATTACTATTAAGATGGTGATGCCTTTTCTTGTCAATATGCCTGGGTGGAGGTTGCAGCATGTAATTCAATGGGATTTTTGCTGTGTCACCTGATGAAAGTGTACCCCTCATTGGGGACCAGGACTTCTTACCTTGCAGAGGTTAAGAGTTGTACAAAGTCTCCCAAAAGATCAGCAAGAGCATTGGTAAGTGGGGACATTCCTACTTCCATGTCTTGGTCTCTAGATCAGTGCATTCTTCCTAATCAGGACACAGCACCACAGAAAGATCTTTTGTTTAATGCATATAGAGGACAGCATCCCATCTTTCCAGAATATTGCCTCCAAGCTGGTGCTACAACTGTGCCATCAGCAAGCCATTCCAATCCTCCATCAGGCTGGCAGTTTTTGAATGATGCACCCTGGGATATGACTAATGGATCCCATGCTCATGGCCCCACTCCTGTAATGTCATTGCTATGAAGTATATCCCCAGGTCTGTCATGATTTAATATGGTACCCTGTGCCAATGGAGCAAACACTTTAAAAGTCTATCAGATAATGACGCTGGGTGTGTTCAGAAAAGACAAAGCCATACTCAAGGCACACATCGATTTCTATGAAAATAAACCACTGACCTTGCA
This sequence comes from Homo sapiens, assembly GCF_000001405.40. Lineage (NCBI taxonomy): Eukaryota > Metazoa > Chordata > Mammalia > Primates > Hominidae > Homo > Homo sapiens. The sequence goes on from NC_000011.10 coordinate 112,776,528, forward strand.
GGACAGAAGTCTGGCAAAGACAGCTTGTCATTAAATGGCTGGTTGGTCTCCTCAAGGTATGGTGCCATACTGGGGACTCAGTGTTGGTCTCTGTTGCTGGCAGTTTGGATATTCAGCTGTGGCAGTAGCTAATCAGCCTCAACTGGTGTGGGCTCCTGCTTTAGAACTGTGTATCACATTCATCCTCAGGACAATAATCCGTCACAACGGGGTGGTCCCCAGCAAACAGGTGAGGAAACTGAGGTTGTAGAGACTAAGTAAATTTCCCTGAGGTTACATAGCTAGTAAGCGGTCAAGTCAGGCGATTCAAGTGCTAAGCCCGCTACATAAAGCATGCAGGACAGTCTGGCTCTTGTAAGCACTGGCTAAATGGTAGCTCATTGTTTATCATTTGGGAAATAATTAGACTACACAATACTGAAATGTGACTGGCTATTTGAGCAAGGAGAACTGATTTGCTCTTAGACAAGGCACTGCAGAATAAAAATAGATCTTAGGTCATCGGAGGAGAGTGCTAGCCTGGGAGACTTGCTGATAGGAGCTGCCAGAAGGACAGAGCTCCCTCGGTTCCTCACCCAGGCTGGGACCCCCAGGTTTAGGGGTCCATCCTCTGTGTCCTGCACTCAGGCCATCATGGTCATCGCCCATGCAGGCTTGGCATCCTCAGAGGACTAAGCGAAGAAGCTCCTAGCCTACATAAGTGATCCAGACTTTCAACCCCAGGCCCTACAGGGGCACTTTGCCTGCGTCACGTGTGGCGCTGCCAGGGCCCTTTCTTGAAGTGGGTCTTCTGTGGATGAGGGAGGGTCCCTGCTGAGCTCACACTCATGCTGCCTTTATGAGTGCCAGGCAGGCATCCAGCACGCAGCAGACCTCCAGACAGGGTGCGTTTGTCTCCAGCGGTGGGAGCCCAGCCGTCTCTCTGCTCCTCCCACACACTCACTCCTGCTTCCCCTGGCCCCATGCCCACTGTAGCCCACTCCTCCTCTGTCTCACACCCAGCAGGGATTCAGAGGCACAGGCATTTTTCTTTCATGAAGGAAACGGCTCCCTCAGTCTGACGCCTTCCTGGGTCGATAAGATAGGGGACGCTCAGCCAGGCCTGGAGTCGGCTTAGGAGATGGGCTGCATCTCTCTGAGAAGCTGTCATGATGTCACTAGGCTCAGCCCTCCCAGACCGCCTCCCCATTAGGAGAGATGATAGGCAAGGAGACCGTCTGGCTCTGCTGTCTGGGCCCTGACCTCGGCATAAATGCTGCTTTCATTAGCAACAACAGCAACAGCTGCTTACCTTTACTAAGCTCTTACTGTTGGCCAGGTATTCTACCTGTATTTGTACACAAAGCATTGTACAAGCACTGCCTCACTTCATCTTCCTCTAAGGTGAGTGCTATCAAATCTCCATTTTACACATATGGCCAAATTAACATCAGATACCCAGCATGCTGTCTTAAGCTATTTGTATATACATATATATTTTAAATGTATATGCTTTTATATATATTAGTTCACTCAATCCTCATAACAATCCTATGAGGTAGCACTAACATAATTTCCCGGTTATGGATAGGACACTGGAACACAGAGATAAATAATGTTCCCAAGGTCACATAGCAAGGGCGTATCTGGACATCTGGCCCCAGAGCCCACTTTCTAAGTCACTGTGCTGTACTGCTTCTCACAGTCACAGCAGCCACAGTTCCCAGTGGCCTGTCCAGGGTCCTACTGACTAAGCCGTCAGTACTGGAACTCGGGCTAGCCTGACTGGACAGCCCGGGCTCCTACCACTACTGTCTCTCATTTGGATGAGAAATGTGCTCTCATGGCCTAGAAATCAAGCCAAATAGGCCCAAGAAGAAACACTTTTTTTTTTGGCAGGGCGGGGAGCGGGTGGGTTCTGCCCCAGCACGCTCTGCCCTCCTCTGCCCAGGCCCCATGCTGAGAACAGAACTGAGCACCCCTGCAAGTCAGCCCAGTTCACAAGCCCAGGGTTGAAAGGAAATCCAGCTACCAGCAGACAAGATTGGAATTAACATCTGAAATCCTTGCCACAGCCCAGAAACCAGCAATCTGGATTACTGTGGGAAATAAGACTTAATTTTCTTCCAAGCCCTGACAGGCTTTGCGAGTGTGCCTCTGCCATTCTCCCCAGCCTCCTCTCCTATCGGCACTGTTATCTGCATGCCCAGAAGACAGCACGGCTTTGAAGACATGTCTGGATCTGTTCACGGGCACCAAGATAAAGACGGTCAGTCTCCCTGCCCAGAGTGGCTGGATGGCACTATCAGAAACTCTCCAATATAACTCCTGTTACTAAAATAAATGATTAGGGAGCTTTGTCTCTCCTACTCTGAGCGCTCCATTAAGCAAATGAAATAGAAGCATTCAGATACACTCCCTTTCCCCCTTCTCTCCAGTGATTAACTGCATAATAAAAATGATATTGGTGAGAGTAAATTTCAAAGAAGCCCATCTAAGTGACAAACCACTCTAAGGACAACATAAACAAGGCTGTATATTTTTAGGACACCTTGATGTTTGACCTGACCTACTCCCTCTTTTGGTTCGGGACCCCCTCTGGGCTTTCTCAGCCACCTTGTCCTAGTCCCACTCAACAGACTCAGTCTTCATTGGAGGCATCAGTGGCTCGTGTTTCAGGAAGAGCCAAGTTGCCTTCAGACCCTGAGCTCTTCCTGGTTCTCAAGTCAGCCCTGGCTGCCACTTTGCAGGAAATTTTAATGAGGCTCTGCCCAAGACAGCCTTTATCTTGGAATCACCTTCTGCTCTGATGGCTTGCCGGGGTGCCTGGGTATCAGACATTCTCTTTTCTGCTCCTGATCTTCTATCTTCCCTGGGTGCCAAGCCTTCAGCTCTTGCCTGGAGCTCCAACCTCTTGCCAGTTCTATCCTGTGGGTTCAGCATATTCTTTCACCCCAGTCTTGACTTCCTGCTTCCTGCTTCCTGCTTGCCCTGACCTCCATTGGTCCCTTATGCCTACCTGGCTCTTTGGGTTCTCATCTCCAACTTGTGCCCATCCCACCACGCATGAGGTCAGTGTGACACAAGATAGCAAGGGCATCCAGCTCCTGGAATCCCTAGAGCAAATGCTCTCCAACAATAACTCCCTCCTTCTGTATACTTAAACTTCAGACCTATTACAGAGAATTCATCCCAGAGTTTTTCCTTAATTATTGGGGAAGAGAATGCACATGGAGATGCTCAAACTCTTAGACTTACCCACAAGATCATTTCTACTTAGACAAATACACACATATTGATGCATGCACACATGGGCTTATATATATGAATACACATATGCACACACAGCCACCTACACACAAAAGTCATCACCAAAATTATACACACACTTTTATACATGCATACACATTGTAATTAAAACCAAATTAAGATTTTTCTCAAATATGATTCATATCTGTAACCTCCATGTCTAGAACAATGCCTGGAGTAAAATAGCTGTTCAACTCATCTGTTTTTAATAAATGAATAAATGATTCACAAATCTGACCTCCTGCAAAAGCCACTTTGGTGACAAAGGAAACTTACCCAGTTCTCCAACACCTGAGCCAGAGTCCCTGGGGTGGGGAAAATCAGGCTTCTGCCTTCTGGAGGGGATGAAACTCCACATGGTGTGGCAGAAACGTTTCTCAACTGGCCTCTCCCTGTCCTTGGTGCAGTTCTTATCTAGGTAGCACCCAGGTGTCCCGCTGCACCCTGGTGGGTTTAGAAGTGTCTGTCCTGGAAGCCCTCTCTCTACCACGGCCATCCCTGATTCTTCACCCCCTCTGCCAAGACCCATCCTGCATTCCCCATACTACAAGAAATCGTATTCTGATATTTGCCCAAAGCATTTCCTGTTCTTCTTTATTTCTCAAACTCTGTGACAGATTTTTTTAGGAGCCATGTTGTGCTTGCTAGGCTGCCCCCACACCCCACCGTATGTCAGCTGCAGGGAGGTGGGGGGTGGCTTCCTCTCCACCAAGATGGGCTGCCTCCCAGCCCACTAGTCAGCACGTTGTGAGTCACCAGCGCAGGACGGAGCCTCCACGGCGTCTCAGCTCTGCCATCACTGGAACACACGCTGCACGGCCCTCCTCAGCATGGCCCCTTTGCCATGGCCACTTGAGGCAGGGTGGCTTGATCCCAGCTCTCATTTAACCTCACAGCCCTGTGTGATTCGAATGTTTGCTCCCCTTTTAACAAAACACTTGGAAGGCCCAAGTTTGCATAGCTAGTAAGAGACAGCATTTGAACATACATCTGTCTAGGCTCCTAGCTGAGGAGGGCAGCAAGGCATGTGTTCCAGCGTGATTAGAGCTGAGAAGCTGTGGAGGCCCCGCGCGGCTCCGGTGACTCACAGTGTGCCGACTAGCGGGGCTGGGAGGCAGCCCAACCTGTCTGGCTGGACCAAGGTTTATCATCACTACAGGGTGTTGGAATAGAATCTGCCTGACCATGAGCCGGGAGATACGGTGCTAATTCCAGCCCTATGCCAACTGGATCCTCAGGTTCCTCATGGGTGAGGTTGGGGTCTTCTGTTCCTGACTGACCTCACAGGCTTCTTATAAGGAGTGCTGACTTCTTATTAAGTTGTGCAGCGTGCAGCCTTCACAAAGGGGCCCAGTGAACTCCAAGGTGGGCTGAACTCCAGCCCAGGCTCCTCTGGCCAAACTCTGCATTGGCCCCAAGAGGGTGTCTCTTTCTAATGCACACAAAGGCTCAGTATAGGCTGAGGCAGCCTGGGTTTTAAGAAACAAAGAGCATTTAAATGCTTGGAAAGCTGGGGGTGAACTGCGGGCAGGGTGGGACATCTTACTGTAATCAAAGCTGCTGGGCTTCCAAGCCTCCTGCCAGCAGCTAAGAGGTTCCCTCTGGCTCCTGCTCCTATCCAGGTGCTCCGATCCAAATGGATCCAAGGGTACAGAAAGAAGTCATCAGGGGCTGCTCATGTCTGTGAGTTTTCACACTGAATGTGGGGCAAAGGAACAGGGTGCAAGGAAAGAAAGAAGAGGCTGGATAGCACATTATTTGGAGCACTGCATTTCAATAATATCTTTCATTTAATGATGCTGTTGCTGAAAATCTCACCTGTTAGGAAGAGGGTTGGAGGACTGCCATCCAAGTGTAATCATCCTCCTAAACAGCCCCAGGGAGCAGAACTGGGACTGAGGGGTGAAAGCGACAGGTAGACATATGTCAGCTCAGTGTTGGGGAAGATTCTCCAAAGGGCTTTTGGAGATGAGATGGGATTTCAGGAGAGGTATTCATGCCCCTGCGTCTCTCTCCAGCTTCAATCTTATCTCCATCACCCTCATTGTCTATGATTTAGCCACATTGACCTTGCGAGCCCTCCATCTTCCTTCTCATCCTTTTCTGGCTAACTCACAGTTGTTCTTCAGCTTCTTTAACCCCTAAATTAAGGCAGATGCCCCATACCATTGTATATGTGCTGAAACCTGCCCCTTTTCATTGCATGACCAGAGTCAAAATGTATTAACAGCTGACAGCTCTCTGCTCATAGATGAGAAGTCCTTTGCTTAGGAAAATACCTTAATGATCAGCTTCAGGTAGAAGGTGAGGACCTTGGGAACTGGCAGGAGCCTATGAAACAGACAAAAAAAAATAGCAAAACTCTTCTGTATGAGAAGAAAAGAGAAAATTATATTTCTCCAAGAGAAGAATAATATGGGGAGGAGTCAGCCAGATGCTGTGAAGCTGAGGACAATTTTGAGTAGATTTGTGGTAGGGTGGTGAATAACAATTCCTTAGTGCTGGCATAGCCAGAGGACATTTTAAGAAAAGTGATGTGTAATGTACAATTTAAAACTGTTAGGGTTGCTCTGATATGAACTCCTATTCTGATAGCTCCTTCCCACAGAAATCTGTGGGTAGGTCTAACAACACACAAATTGCCGTATATAAGCTGAATTTTCCTGGAAATTGAGGATGGGCTGAGTTTCACACCTGTGCCATATAGTGTGGAACTGTAACAACACACATAAATGAGTTAGGAGGGTCAGGTGCTGTGACTCACGCTGGTAATCCCAGCACTTTGGGAGGCCAAGGTAGGCAGATCACGAGGTCAAGATATTGAGACCATCTTGGCCAACATGGTGAAACTCTGTCTCTACTAAAAATACAAAAATTAGCTGGGCAAGGTGGTGCATGCCTGCAGTCCCAGCTACTTGGGAGGCTGAGGCAGGAGAATCACTTGAACCTGGGAGGCACATGTTGCAGTGAGCTGAGATCATGCCACTGCACACTGCACTCCAGCCTGGTGACAGAGCGAGACTCCATCTCAAAAAAAAAAAAAAAAAAAAAAAAAAAAAAAAAAAAAAAAAAAGTTAGATGGTCCAGAAACTGAGGAAGCAGGAATTGGCTTCCAAGCTGATGATGGGAACCTAAGACAACACACACCCCACTTCCTCCCACCTCCCGGCATCCCAGGAAGAGCAGAAAGGGGTTTGTTGGTGTGAGCTAAGTTTACCTAGCTTGTGAGGATACCCAGCTGACATGGGGCTTGCAATCACATTAATGACAATGGTAATGAAATATCTGTACTGCCACTTATTCAGGATTTGCCTGTCCCTGAGAAGCTTGCAAAGATGAAACCTGTGTGTCCTGGTCTCACTTGTATGTCTTTAGCATCAAATCATATTGTGGGCATACCCAGTAACCAACAACTATTCAGTGGATGGATGGATGTCACATCATAGAGAGGTTTAAATATATACCAGATAAGGCACTAGAGAAGATGTTGTAGAAATAGTTACCATTTGGGAGGATAAGGAAGAGAAAATTTAAGATTTCTTCTAACTCTGAGGATCCTTAATATACGGAGCAGAGTAGGATTCCAGCAGATATTCTTGTTAGACATGGCAAGAAGAATGGATTTGGTGCCCTCCAGGTGCAAGAAGGTCCTACCTTCCTAAAAGATCTCACTGTGTTACAGTGAGTTGTCAGGTGCACAGAGACACCTAATAGACTTAATAAAATTTCTGGGCATTTTAAGCCTTCTTCTAAAATTCAGAGTTCTTTTAAAAACTAATTATAAGGTTGGTGCAAAAGTAATCACGGTTTTCGCCATTACTTTTGCACCAACCTAATAATACTAGCTACATTGTTTTCTTAGAAAAAGGGTATCCTTCTGTCACCAAGGCTGGAGTGCAGTGGCAGGATCGTGTCTTACTGCAGCCTCGACATTCTGGACTCTAGCAATCCTCTTGTCTCAGCCTCCTGAGCAGCTGGGACTACAGGTGCTTGCTACCATGCCTAGTGAATTTCTTTTAAGGTTTTTTGTTTTGTAGAGACAGAGTCTCACTATATTGCCAAGGCTGGTCTCAAATTCCTGGCTCAAGTGATCCACCAGCCTCGGCCTCCCAAAGTGCTGAGATTATGGGCGCGAGCCACCGTACCTGGCCAGCTACATTTTTTGAGCTCTAATTTGTGGCAGGCATGATGCTAAGTATTTCACATAGACTAGCTCAGTTACTTATTCCCCACAACAAAAGTCCTAAAGATAGATGATATTTCTCCAGCTGGACAAACAAGGAAGTCGAGCTCAGCATGGTTAAGTAACTTGCCCAAGGTCAGCAGGTGCCAAGACTTGAACACAGCTCTGTCTGGCTTCCAGTGCTCTTCACCACATAAGGATTCCCAGGCCTTTTTACCAGCATCCTTCACTAGACCTCAAGTTCAACCAGACAGCACATGCTACCCCTTACCTGTGTGTAGGGGGAGGGTGATAAGCTCCTGGGGCAGACACAGGGTCTGGGCAAACCTCCGAGTGTGTCTTATGCTTCACTGATGGGCACAGCCCCTTGTGGGATCTTTGGAGCTGGGAGGATTGCCCTGGAACAATGGGGCTAATTCTCCTGGAGGATAACGCTCCACCCCTCCTCCTACTGGCAGAAGGCCGAAAATTCGGGGTCAATTCTTCAGCTCAGTCATTTCTGGAAACCATCTAGGTTTAAATTGCTGACAGATAAGCTAACCACGTCTCCCAGCCTTTCCGCACGACTGTGCTTCCATGAAACCCGTTAACTTCTCGAATGGCTTTGATCAAGGCACTCTGGAGTGCAGGAGAGGAAGGATAGGAGAATAGCCTGGATTCCAGGACTGAGACTCTTGGAAGGCGGCCAGCTCTGCTTGCCGAGTGAGGAGGAAGGCAGCACGCACACCCGACCTCAGAGCCCTGGGATGGGGATGAGAGGCCGCTGCTGGAGCCCAGCGCTGGCCCTAGACGCTCTCTCCAGCTCCAGCGTCCAGCCCCGCCCCCTGTTCTGCAGCAACTGTTCAGGAGGCTGGATCTTGAGGCGGCGGCTGGGGGCTGGTCGGTGAGCATCAGGCTGGAGGCAGTTTGTACAGTGATTAATCTGCTCAGCCCAACAGCACCTCAGGTGGGCTCTTCCTGGAAGCCCAGATGGAGGGTGGGCGTGTCCTCCTTCTAAGGCTGCCAGGAGGAGTCATGCCGCTCCATTCCAGCATGGGGCTTTATTGAAAGCAAACCTAACGGGGGAACCAAGATACCACTTTAGCCCCACAGTCCCTCAAGTCAGCGCAGGTGACATGCAGCAACCATGGAAATTAGAACTGTAGGTTGGGGTCTCCCCAAAGACGGCCTGAGATGGGGTGAATGCCCTCTCTCTGTGTGCTCCTGGGGCACATTGGGCAAGAGAAGGGCTCTCACTGGTTGATTTGGATGGTGACTCACCATCCAAAAATCCCGTCACCCGGATGCTGATTGTCTCTGGCTCAGGATAAAGTCCGTGGTTTGATCAGCCGTGGCTTCCTCAGGGTTTCTCTTTGCCTCTTACGCACAAGACCCAGAAACATCAGGTAGAAAGACTCTCCTAGACCACCCCTGAGAAGCAGGCTGTAGGGGAAGCAGGCACTTCCTGGACTCCTCCCACCACCACTCTAGTGCAGACTAGGATTCGAGTCCTCTCTGGGAGGTGCTGTTTTCACTCCAGACCCTCAGATCTTGCCATCTTCATGACACCATGTCACATCCTGCAGGACAGGACTATTGATTTTATTTCTTTCCTGTCATTTACCTCTATCCACAACCCTGGGGTAACAGCCCCAGGACCGAGTCCAACTGTAGTCTCAGCCATAGAAACTTACTATAATTTGAAAAGAGCATTATTTGAAGGAAAAATCTTCCTAATCCGCCTAAAGGCATTTTCAAAGAAGTATAGCCCAGTGAGGCGCTAAACTGCCTCTTAATTGCTCCAGTGGAATGTTTTCCAGCTCCAGGCCCATCAACACCTTCTGTAATCTTTGCTTTCAGCCCACACTTGTGGATACAACCCAGAAAGTTCTCAGTTCGTTTTGGGAGCTCTGAGCCACACTGTACTCATATTTGTTCATTTCTTACACCAAATTAATGGCATCTTCCTGAAGCAGAGACATGACTCAACTCTAGGAAGGCAGCCAGAGGCTTTCAGAGCCGCATAGACTCTATTTCACTTGTGTTCTTCTCCAGCCATGGCCTGGGGTCAGAGATATAGGCAGTAAGGCTTCTTATTTATTTGTTTGTTGTTTGTTAAGAAAAGGCAGGTGAATGGAAGACTAGAGGAAGTAGTCTCACTCCTCCCCAGCAAAGTTCCCTCGTAGTTGTCAGGTGCACAGAGACACCTAAGTGAACCTCCCAGCAACAACTTTCATCCCACCCACTCTGCCCCATGCCCCTAAATATCTGTTTTCTCTGGACACATGATTCCTAGGGAAATGCAGGCTGACATGGGAGAGAGAATGCTGGGAACACTGACTTCAGAGTCAAAGAGGCCAGCTCTGTCATGAGTTGGGTGGCCCGGGCCAACATCCCACCTTCTCTGAGCCTCAGCTTCCTGTCTATAGAGTGGCGGGGGAGGGGGGTATCCTATTGCCTTCACAGGGCTGCCCTGCAAATCAGTTCCCACACCACCGCTCACCCCTAAGGGGTTTAGTATTAGGTAGAGGCAGCCCTCCAGGAGCCCCCACCCCAGTTTTCTGTGAGCAATGCATAATTAAATTTGGTGTAAGACAATGTGTTTGTCTTTAAATGAGAAAGGAAATCAGATGAATGAAAAGAGAGGGAAAAGAGGAAGAGTTGGGAAGAAAGGAAAAGCAGAGACTGGCTGGAGGTTGGAGCTTTTGTGTTCTTGGATGGTTTGAGTGCATCTATTTGGCTCCAGAGTGCTGGAGCCTCTCCTTCCCCAGTGGCTGCCTTGTGGTGGCTAGTGGAAGGGGAAGGAGACTAGCAGGGGACAGGGACTGGTGAAGTCTAGGCAATGCCTGGGAAGAGGAAGATCATGAGGGTCATTGTAGAAGCCTGGCTTTTCAGCGTGGGTCCTGGCAAGGGTGGGTGGTCCCTCACTGGCTCCAGAAGCCATGCAAGATCCATGCAGGAGGGGAGGCCTGGGCTTCTCCAACCTAGGGCCATTGATGAGCTGTAGTCTGAAAGCCTGGCCCCATGGCCTGCCAAGTAGATTTCGTTTAAAAATAACTCCTTGCAGCTCCGGTTGAGAGTGATTTGTGGAATTAAGATGGTGTCAGAGACAATTTTATGAAAGCAAGTGTTGTCCCTGGTGATGGTGTTTCCTGAAAGATGAGCAGATAACTCACCACGAGACATCCAGTTAGCCCACATTACCCTCCCCCAAGCCAAACAAAATTGACCACTGTTTTTATCCAAAATGGGACTCATTTTTAGAGACAAAGTAAGCCCTATGTTGGGGCCCAACCATCAGAACTGTGTCCTACTGGGATGAAGAATGACACTGACATGGACTCAGACCTCCTTAAACTAAGCTTCCCCGCTCCTAAGAAGCACCCCCCAGGCCAGGAGGCCCTTCCAAGAGAGCTGCTGCCAAGAATTTCCCTCCATCAGCGTCCACCCTCAGGGAGCCTCTGAATCAATAAGGCCTTTCTATGCACTCCTTGGCTCAAGGAGGCTCTAATTAGCTTAAGGAAGAAGGAAAGTTATTGGCTTGTTTAATTCAAAAGTCTGAGGTTAGTGCTGGCTTCAGGCACAGTTTGATACAGGGGCTCAAATGACGTCAAAGAACCCAGGCTCCTCATCAGCTTGGATTTATACCCTCAAATGTCAGGTTCATTCTCAGCAGATTTTCTTCTTACAACAGCACCGCTGCCACAGTTTCAGACTTTGTACCATCATAGCTCCAAATTCACAGGTAAGGAAAGTCAGTTTTTTCTGACTTTTTTTTTCAGATTGTTCTGGCTTTAATTGTGGACACATCCCTGAAGCAAACAGTGTAGACTAGTGCGATGGTCTGAATGTTTGTGTCCCCCTCAAATTCAAATGTTAAAACCTAACCTCCAAGGTGATGCTATGAAGAGGTGGGGTCTTTGGGAGGTGATTAGGTTATAAGCTCTCTGCCTTCTTGAGTGGGATGAGTGTCTTCACAAAAGAGGCCTGAAGGAGCCTCTCTGCTCCTTCCACCATGTGAGGACACATATGGGGTGCCATCTATGCAGAATGGGCCCTCACCAGATGCCAAAAATGCTGGTATGTTGATCTTGAACTTCCCAGCCTCCAGAACTGTGAGCACTAAATTCCTGTTGTTTATGGATTACCTGTCTAAGGTATTTTGTTAAAGCAGCAGGAATAGAGTAAGACAGCTGGGGAACGTGTCATCATGATGAGTAGAGGGGTGGCCCTGGGTGTGAATCCCAGACCCTGAAAACCACAATATTGAGAACAGGGGTGATGGTTTTGGGGTCTCTTTCAGGATTGCATTCAGTGGCGCATAATAAAAATCCCCACCACAAGGAGTTTTTTGGTATAATGAGATGTCCAGAGGCATTCAGGGGAGCAGCCAAGAACCCTTCTAGACCCCTGTTCCATCTGGTTTGTGGCTCTCATCCTCATGGCTCCAAGAACGGCTGCTCTACAATCCAGGCACAAACAAGGGGGAAGGACAAAGGAAAAGGCTGCTGTCAGAGGAGTCTGTTTATTATCAGGAAAAACAACTTTCCATGAGATTCCTCTTTCTTATCTGCCAAAACTCAGCTTCAGGACAGTCTGGGGAGGTAAGTGTTTTAAACTGGATCTCAAGCAAAATTGAGATTGAATAATAAAGAAGAAGAGAATGGATTTTTGGCAGGTAAGGGGCAGTGTCAGCTATAGTCATCTGCTACACAGTCACAAACAAGAAATGTGCACTAAAGCATTTGTCTTCTCCTTTACCAAGAATATACTTCTTAGCTCCTGAATCCAAGAAGGAGACTCAGCTCCTGGCTGGTGGCTTGGGGCTCAGTATCCCTAGAGTTCTCTCCAGAGGTGCCACAAGCCACTTTACTCACCATCTACAATGGTGCCACAGCCATTCTTGGGAGATGATTTGGTCTTTAAGTACAGAGAACTCAAAACTGATGACAGTTATTAAACATTTTTTTTTTGGTATTTTAAATTATATGACATATTTTGAAAACTTTTTTAGAATTATAATTTTGGAGATTGGTGTTGGAAAAATGTATGTGTACATCCTTATGTAGATAGAGATATATTCAGTATTTATACAAATCCTTTGCATTTAACTGTGTATGTGCACTTACTGCTACCCAGGGAAGCCTAAAGAAGTCCATTAGGTCTGCAGAACTAGGCAGCAATTATCTGGAGAGAAAGGACCGCATGGGCTTCTTAAAAACAATCGTGGGATGTCATTTTCTTGGGCTTCTGGAGCAAGAGAAGTGTACCACACAGCAGCAGGTAGAAATGGCCGCTTCCCCTGCCAGGTGTTGTCTTAGGGAATAAAAGCAAAGCTGGGCAAGAGGGGTATTTCAGGTTGGAAAGGCCACAAACTATTACCGTACAGTCATGATCGCCTAATGGTAAGAATACATTTTGAGAAATGCATCTGTCCGTAAGCGATTTCATGGTTGTGTGAACGTCACAGTGTGCTTAACACAAACCTAGATGGTATAACCTACTACACACCTAGGCTACATTGTGTAGCCTATTACTCCTAGGCTACAAACCTGTACAGCATGTTACTGTACTGAATATTGTAGGCAATTGTTACACAATGGTAAGTATTTATGTATCTAAACATAGAAACGGTACAGTGAAAATGTGGTATAAAAGATAAACAAGGGTACACCTGTCTAGGGCACTCACCGTGAATGGAGCTTGCAGTACTGGAATTTGCTCTGGGTGAGTGAGTAGTGAATGTGAAGGCTTAGGACATGACTGTACACTACTGTAGACTTTATAAACACACTTAGGCCACACTAAATTTATTTAAAAAATTTTCTTCCATGATAAATTAACCTTAGATTACTATAATTTTTACCTTATAAACGTTTTAATGTTTAAAGTTTTTTGACTCTTTTGTAATAACATTTAGTTTAAAATACAAACACATTGTACAGCTGTGCAAAAATATTTTCTTTATATATACATATCTTTATTCTACAAGCTTTTCTCTCTCTCTCTCTGTATATATATGTGTATATATTTCTTTACCTTTTAAATATTTTCATTAAAAACTAAGACACAAACCCACACATTAGCCTAGATCTACACAGGGTCAGGATCATCAGTATCACTGTCTTTCACCTCCACATCTTGTCCCACTGGAAGGTCTTCAGGGGCAGTAATATGTATGGAGCTGTCACCTCCTATGATCACAGTGCCTTCTTCTGGAATCCCTCCTGAAGGACCTGCCTGAAGCTATTTTACAGTTAACTGTTTTCTTTTTTTAAATAAGAAGTACAGTTTAAAATAACGATAACAAGTATAAATAAAAAATACACAAACCAGTAGCATCATTGTTTATTACCATTATCAAGTTTTTATGTATTGTACATATTGTATGTGCTATACTTTTATACAACTGGTGGTACAGTAGGTTTGTTTATACCAGCATCCCCACAAATGTGTGAGTAACGTCATGACAGTTAAGACAGGAATTTTTCATCTCCATCCATTATAATCTTATGAGACCACCATGGCATTTTGTTGTTGACCGAAATGTCGTTATGCAACACATGGCTATATTTTATTTTCTACTTCATAGGATCAGAAGGTCACAGAATGTTGATTTAGAAAGGAGCTTGGTGATCATCTGATCAAATCCCTTCATTTTTCACTAGCTCCTTGTGCAAATGTCCTCATTTAATCTCATCATGTAAGAAATCTCATCACCCAGAGAAATGTCACGGGGGTCCTGCAACTCCCTGGGTATTTAGAGGTTTAAGTCACAGGTTTAAAGGCATGATTTGGGTAGAGAAGCTCTTTGGGGAAGAAGGGAAGAGAAAGGAACCTGCGATATATTGTTTCACTGGTCATAGTTGGCAATCTCTCTACTGATTGGAAATTTTTTTTCTTTTTTGAGATGGATTCTCACTCTGTCACCCAGGCTGGAGTACAGTGGCGCAATCTGGGCTCACTGCAAACTCCACCTCCCAGGTTCAAGTGATTCTCCTGCCTCAGCCTCCCGAGTAGCTGGGACTACAGGTGTGTGCCACCACGCCCAGCTAAGTTTTTGTATTTTTAGTAGAGACAGGGTTTCACCGTGTTAGCCAGGATGGTCTCGATCTCAGGAGATCCGCCCACCTCAGCCTCCCAAAGTGCTGGGATTATAGGCATGAGCCACTGTGCTCGGCCTGGAATTTTTTTTTAGCTTTCTACTTATTCATGATTTCAGACTTACAGAAAAGATGCAAAAATATTACAAAGAACCAGTCTACCCTTCACCCAGATCTCACACTTGGAATGTTACCACATTTGCTTTCAATAGATAAATCAATAGATTTATGAATATGAGAAAGAGAAAGAGATAGAGATGATAGATAGATAGGGATATATAGAGATAGGCAGAGAGATAGATAGAAATAGAAAAATAAAGATAATTTTTTTCTGAACTATTTGAATGTAAGTTGCAGATATGCTGCTACTTTATCCCTCAATACTTCAGTGTGTATTTCCTAAAAAGGAATTCTCTTACATTACCATAGCACAATACTCAAAATTAGGAAATTAACATTATAATAATACTATTAGCTAATTTACAGACTTTATTCAAATTCTCCCATTATTCTAACAGTGCTCTGTATGGGTAAAGAAAATCCTGCATCACAGGTAACATTCAGCTGTCATGATGTCTCTTTATCTCCTTAAATCTGGAATAGTTCCTACATCTTTCCTTATCTTTTTTGGCCTTGACAGTTTCAATAAATACAGGCCAGTTATTTTGTAGAATTTCTGATTGGATTTTAAGACCATTAATATTCTGTGCGTAGCCTGAAAGAGAGGAATGCTATGACTTCCACATCGTGATTAATGCTAATGAGTCCAAGCACCATAAGAGTCCCATCCATTGCAAGGAACAAGTAGAACACATAAGAGTTGGTAAGCCTGGGCTCCAGTTTGGAGAAAATAAGTCCAAGTCTACCAGTGGTTGAGTGGATCTTCCACCCTTTCATGAGATGAGATCCATGGGGGAGAAGCCATCCTAGCTTCCCTCAATACCTAGGACACTTGTTCATTTGCAACAACCAAATATGGGCCTTTTAGTCACTATAGATGGTTGTCGCAAATGAATGATTGTTTTGTTTGTTATTCACTAAAGCCTAATTAAAACCGAGGTTATCAAGGCAGCTGCCAGCATCCGACATCTTCCTTCTCGCCTTTCCCATCCCATCACCAGTGGACATGATTCATTGGCTTTTAGTGCATTAGGCAAATTTGCTATAATTGCAAAGAGGGGAAGGAGCAGGGGGCCCATGGCACCACCCAGGCAATACACTACCCTTCCTGTAAGTCACACAGACTCCAAGAAAGCGGCTTAAATTGCATTTATTGATTTGTCAGCCTCTAATAGATCCTTTTTCACTGAGTAAAGGACAGAACCCTTAGAGAAAGTTCTTTCTCTTCCTACAACCCTCATCATGGGTCTTGTCTCAGTGGAAGGGTGTCTGTGGGGTTAATGACATGTTGGAGAGAATTAAAATGCAGACATCAATTTTTCCAAAGATACAGCTGAGAGAGGCCCACTGGGGCCTGTTTCCACCTCTGACAGATCCAAACTGGACTTCTTGACCCCAAAATAACTTTCAGGATTCTAATTTCCTTCCACCCGGGGTTTCTAAGATGAGCTTGCTGACTTTATGTTCGGTCCTCTGGAGCAGCTCCTTCTTTTAGACACCTTGGAAAAGGAAAAAGCATAGCATGGCTGTGCTATGGAATCCCATGTGGGAGGGCAGCCAGACAATAGTTCTCTAGCATCAATACTTAGCCAACATTCTACATTCAATAAGCACTTAAAAATTTCCTTAAAAACTGACAGTGTGACAGGCACATCGCTAGATCCTTTGCAAAGTGGAAGTCTTCAAGCACAAAATACTCATAGAGACAGGGATAAAAATAACGGGCCAGGCACGGTGGCTCACGCAGGTAATCCCAGCACTTTGGGAGGCCGAGGTGAGCAGATCATAAGGTCAGGAGATCGAGACCATCCTGGCTAACACGGTGAAACCCCGTCTGTACTAAAAATACAAATAATTAGCTGGGCATGGTGGCATGTGCCTGTAGTCCCAGCTACTCAGGAGGCCGAGGCAGGAGAATTGCTTGAATTCGGGAGGCAGAGTTTGCAGTGAGCCAAGATCGTCCCATTGCACTCCAGCCTGGGTGACAGAGTGAGACTCCATCTCAAAAAATAAAAAATAAAATAAAATAATAAAATAAAATAAACATAACGAACATACAACACAATGTAGTAAGTTCTACAGCGGAGCTCGTACAATATATACAAAGGACTCTGAGGCATTGGGAGGGCTGGAATGGAGCAGAAGGCAGACTTAGTCTTCCCCTGTGCCTAGAATAGGCTCACATTACAGACAGAATGAGGATGGCATTTGTAGTCCACATAGCCTAGCACTTAACTAGGTACTGCCTTCTGCTATTCAATTTAGCTGTTGCATACGAGATGTACCTCCCTCATCTAGATTGTAAGCACCATGAGGAGAGCAATTCTATCTTATGTTTGGGAAATTCTTCACAGCACCCAGCCAGATGCTAATCCCACTGGAAGTCCTCAAAAGGATACTTGGTGGATGACTCAATCCAGGGGATCATACAGCTATGAAGAATACCTGGCCAGCTACCAAATCCAGGCATCTGTGAGGTCTTGGAAGGAGTCTGATGGAGGTAGCAGGTGAAACTCTCTAGGTCAGAGGCAATGACATAACCCCAATATCCCTTTAACACAATGTTATTTCAAACATCCTTACAGTAAAAACACTTTTGTAGCCTCCAGGATATCCATATCCAAGATTCGGTCATTTTTTTTCTTGCAAATTTGTTACAAAAACTTCCAACACAATGAAATTATTTAGACAGTTTCTTGGAATTCACTGTTCACTTTAACAGAATTGAACCTAGAGTTGAAATGGACACAAACCTCACGGGTTATAGATGGGAATATTTTTCAGGGATTGTGGCATAGACAATCGGTTTAGTGAGGAAACACAGGTATTATAGGAGAAAGGGGAAGAAGGAAGGAAAGATGAAAGGGGAAAGGGATAGTGAGGAAGGGCAGGGATATGAGGTGAGTGGAGATAAGAGTGACTATTTGCAAAGATTTCCTGTTTGTCTTCACTTTCTTCAGATGTGGCTTTTTTTTTTTCTGGTCAGGGTGACTTGGCTCAGCCTAATGGGTTTGTTCTACTATCATTTTTATTGTTTACATCAATGGCTCACAATTTTGGCCACCAGTCAGGTGGGACCTTGGAAAGGCAGAGGACCCAAGGGTGCAAAGCCAGAGCATTTCTGGGTGTAGGAATTCAGAGAATGGATCACTTTAGAAACTGGGACTGTGAGGTCAGGACTCCATTCCTTCACATCTGGCCATAGAAGGTTATGACTGGTTTCCAAAGACTGGAAAGTCTTTGGCCTTGGGTACCAAGGACCTGCCCAGAGCATTGTTGGGTTATGACTACTACTATAATTCAGAGATGGTGGCTGAGCAAGCCTGTCAAAGATGAAAATGATGTTGAACTCAGGGCCAGCAGTGTCCAACAGCCGCATGCTGCCGGGTGTGGGTGTGTGGAGACAGCTGGGTGCAAATTCACAGCCAGAGAAAATTCTTGGGGATTTTCAACTGTCTTTTTTTCCCCCTCCAACAATGAATAGGGAGAACCCCAGACAGTAGTAAAAATAGCTCACACTCTCCCTCAAACCTGTCTGGCTTGAGTTTTTGGAAGGCCTGGGGGAAAAGTCACATTTGAAAGTGGAATTTATTTTGGTGATGATGACAGGAAGTTCAGCACTGAGGACAGAAGGCAGCTTTACAGAATAAAAGCCCTCTTCATTATACTATTTTTAAAAATTCCTTCCCACTGCCCCTCCAAAACAAACTGTTCCTTGATACTTTTATTACATTAATGTAATAAAAGTACACTGGAACAAATGCTTTTTTTTCTTCTTCTTTTTTTTTTTTTTTTTTTTTGAGACGGAGTCTCACTGTATCACCCAGGTAGAGTGCAGTGGCACAATCTTGGCTCGCCGCAACGTACACCTCCCAGGCTCAAGAATTCTCCTGCCTCAGCCTCCCAAGTAGCTGGGATTACAAGCACCTGCCACCACGCCTGGCTAATTTTTGTATTTTTAGTAGAGGCAGGATATTGCCATGTTGGCCAGGCTGGTCTCAAACTCTTGACCTCAAGTGATCCCCCAACCTTGGCCTCCCAAATTGCTGGGATTACAGGCATGAGCCACCATTGCCAGCCAGAACAAAAGCTTCTTAAAAGGCAGCAGTTTTCCTGAGAAGTTTTAATGTGGCGGGGTAAGTGTATGTCTCAGTCTCAGCCCTGCCACCTACCGGTGGTGGGAACCCAGCACAGGGTTGAAACACCTAACCTGACAGGCGGTTTCCTCATCTCTAATTCAGGATAGACCCGTCGGCCACGCCAACCTGAATGGGTTGTTATGGAGATAAAATCAGAAGATGTCTCTGAAATTGCTTTGTAAACTGTGAAGTTGCATCCACATGTAAAGCATTGGTATTAAGGAGCTGAATAAAGCCTCCATGGCAAGGAAAACTGTCAGTGAGAAGTAGAAATACTCCCCCTCACAGCGACGCCACAGGGGTGACAGCGAAAGAACAGCTGCTCAGCACCCGAGCTTGTCGGGAGAAAACACAGTGTCATCAGAATAAACCGCATAAATAGAACCCTCTTGGAGTCGTGCACCACCTGTTCCCACAGTTACCATCAGCCAGGCTTCACCACAACCCACCTACTCACGGAGGGCTGAGAGGACAGAAGAGAGGACCCTGTTTTACAGAGAGGTAAACTGAGGCCCAGGAGGGAAAAGCTCTTTCTTGTGGTCACACTGTGACCATGGACTTGAAAAGTCCCAGACTCATCCATTCCAGCACCAAACCCCACCTCCCTCATGATCCTCCTGACCAGCGCAGACCTGCTGCCAGTCAACTGCCAGCCCCCAAAGAGATCACTGGCCTGAGTTCTGAAACAGGCCACCCCCCAGCTGACCTGCTGTGAGCCACCCCTCCGAACTGACAGATGTACTCAGCCCGCAGCCTGCTGGCTCCGAGGACCTGACCTCTTGTCTTAGGAGGGAGTTGGACTGATGGGTAACACCTGCTTACCCCTCGGCAGGGCTGAGAGTCTTTCAGGCAGAACCAGTTTGGTCTATCTCTAACCCGCTAGTTGTTTGGAACCAGTGAACACAGAATGGAAAACAGAGTTCTAAATCCCCTTCACTCTTGAGGGGTCTTGGAAAACGCCGCTGCCAGGAGCTGGTATAAATCAGAGTGTTCTGAATGAATTAGGGATCCCATATTCTTCCCTCAACCCCAGCAAACCTCTTGGAGAGAGGCCCTGTGTGAGAGCATTAATAAATCACAGCTCAGTATAGCAGGTCGCTGGGCTGTTGGCACACTGTGGCTTTCCCCGGAGATGTGAGCGGCCGTGCAGAGCCTGTCAGAACTGGGGCTCTGAAGCCAGCCTGAACTTCTCACCCTGCCCTCGGCTGTGTCACCACACTGCTGCCCTCACTGGTGCCTCTTCTCCGCGGTGGCCAGCGATGCATATTATTCATTCAGATGTAGCTCCTGCTTAGAATGCGTGGTCAGCCCAGACTGCCCAGCAAGGGCCACCTGAGTTTTACTGGAACTCTGCTGCACTGTTTAGTTTACTCTTGATCCGGGCTGCTTTCATGCTATGAGGGCAGAGTTGAGTAGTTGAGACAGAGACCGCGTGGCCTGCAAAGCCTAAAATATTTACTGCCTGGGCCTTTACAGAAAAAGTGTGCCATTCCTGCATTATGTAGTTATCTTATTTAATTCTAACAATTACACTGTGAACTTGGTATGAGGACTTCTCTTAGAGGGGGAGAATCTGAAGATCAGTGTTTTAGTAACTTGCCCAAAGATGGACAACTGGTAAGAGGCAGAGCCCTTGCTCAGACCCTAGGTGTTTCCACTTCAAAGTCCAGATATACAATTCTGTCCCTCTGGGACACGTCCAGTCAACAGGCAAGACATGTTAGCACTACGGTGAAAGGTCTCATCTTTCTTGAATGGGAGAACCAGGTTTGAAACCATCATTTTGAACAAGGACTGGTTTAGGCCTATGTCATCCCCAGCCTTTCCCTCAGGTTCCAGATGGCAAGAAGCTGCTCTGAAGACCTACCAGGCAGGAGTCACAGCTTGTAAATAAACCTGAAACCCAGAAGAGCCAGTTAGGCTGGAGCAGCCCCTGGCCAGGCCAGGCAGAGTTACCATGACGACAGAGTCATTTCCATCACAAACCCTGCAACAGGCTTCCAGAAGGTGATTAATGGTTGACCTCTGGGGGCTGGGAACTCTCCCGGGGAGTATTCTTTCTAGTCTGGTGCAAAGCTTGGACCATCTACTTCTCTGCTCTCTGGTGGAGGTGAATATTGTAGTTGAGGATGCAGAGATAAAGCACCCCATCCCCTGACCTCCTAAATCCTGAAGTCAACCCAGGAAGCACCCTGTGAAAACCATGCTCCAGCCTTGAGCAGAGGCAGGCTAATCCAAGAAACTCAAGGGCAGACAAAAGAAAACAAGGGAAGCCAAGGGAATGAGTGAAAGACTATATAAGTTGGTTCATTCTTGCTGGATAAATGGCACCCACTCACCAAAGGGAGAAGGTACAAAAAAGAATTCAGCGAGGCAAGAAGCAGGTAGTGAAAAAAGGCGGGGGAATCCTACCTCCTTTGAGTCCAGAGAAAAGCCTTTTCTACAAACTCAAGAAGAGGGGGCGGAGAAGGACGGGCCGCCTGCCAAAGCAGTGACCCATGTTGATTGTGAATTTCAACAATAGTGACTTGAGGAGGCTCAGATGTCCCACGTCCCCTCGCCCATCGCCAATGGGTGGTCACCGACTGCCTGCCAGGTGGGGTGACCCGGGTTCTGCACCCCAACCTTGGGATGTCTGTTATAGAGCCATTTGGGGCTCATTCATTGACAGTTTTTCTCTCTGCTGACATTTGGGTGGCTCTGCCTGCCTAGTCATTGTTTTTGTTTGGCCATTTTCACTGTGGATGAGTCACTCCCCGTCGAACCCTGCAGGGGGCGGTCAGGTGCTGGCTGTGTTGGTACCAGAATCCCAGCAGCTGGTTGTATCAGTTTCATTCTTTTCGCTGAGACAGTGTAACTCTGGGGTTGAAATGGTGAGCTTGTGTGAGAGAGGAAAGAGAAGGCATCTCCCCACTTGGAGTCTGAGCACACTGCTTTGAAATGCAGCTCAGGAAGAGGCTCCCAGCCCTCACTCTGTCCTCTTCTGCTTTTGGAAAAGTAGAACCAGGAAATCGTATCTCCGATGGCACACCCTAACACCATCAGAACGTCCCACAGCTGCACCAAGACCCAAAATACTCCATGAAGAAATGTCATTGTGGATGAGGACCTCAGTTCACAGACCCATTCCTACAAAAAAAAATTAGCTACATTTTCTATAACTCAAATGATTTTCAGTTTCAAGCTCCCATTCTGTGGCAGGAAATTAATCTCAGTTAATTTCAGGTCTCCCATTTTTCACTTAACAGGAAGTTGCATCCAATTTAGGGAGGGGCTACCTGGTGCCCTTGCATGAAGTGGGGGGCAGGGGTGCGATCCCATCCTCGGTGACATCTCGTTGGCATCCACGCACATGTCCTTGTCCTATCTGGGCTGTGGTCCTCTGGCTACGTGGTCACTGCTGTGTCCTCTTCTCATCGCAGAGCCTTTCCAGGTTTCTGGGCTTTTCTGGGCCACATGCCCACAGCTCTCAGCTGCACACTATATGTTCTGCTTTGTGGAGACCTTGTGAGGCTGCTGTCCATACTCCTGGATACCCCTTTCTGGGAGCACTCACCATTCACTACATTTCCCGCTTCCTTGACTCTCCTTCTTTGCTAAGCGCATCTAGATGCGCCTGGATTCCAAGCATCTAGATAGGTCTTGTTCCAAATCCTCCGATTTTGTCCTGGGTTCTCTCTGACCTGCTTTGACTGCTGCACTTTTGAAATTCAAATTACAAGAACTGGCTTCTGGATTTATCATGACTCCTTGCCTGCCGCGTCTGACCGGGGCACCGGGGGAACCCACCACCTCCTAACTCTGTGGAAGTCCAACGTCACCCTGATTTCAAGTTCTCAGGTGGCTTGTGTCCTCATGGTCACATCTGACTCAAAGCAGGGTTTTCTCTGCATTAATCCAGGCTATGGCTGCTTGCTGCCCACTCCTACTGTCCCCCTCTTACAACACATCAACCCAGGTGCCAAATTCAGACCCTTTATAGGATTTACAAATGCACTCTCCATACTATGCTTCTATGTGTGTGTTAGATTTTACCGAAAGCAGGGTAGGGATGAAGAAGGATGTTATTGAGCAGCAACCTCCCAACAAATATTCCAAAGGAGTGTCAGATCCCTGTGAAAGCCCCCTCGGCCTGGGTCTGCCTCCAGAGGCCTGGCAGGGCAGCCCTTGCTCTGCTCTTGCCTCTGCAGCGCCAGACCCTATTGCTGCAACTGCTGGCTCGTCTTCCCCATCTCACCCCCCTTGGCCTTCTGGATTGTCTCCAGGAACTCAAACCCCTCTCATTCTCCCAGGCTTTCTCTCCCGATCCTGTTCCTAAGTCAGCCCCTGGCCACCTTTCCACCTCCTACCCAAGCTGCAGCAGAACAAGACAGACTTCTTGTGTGTAGGACCTACTTTTCTCAGAAGGAAATTAGGCTTGTAAAGAACATTTGTTTCTTTTTTTTTTTTTTGCAAAATGAACAAACGTAAAATGCCTGTTTGGTATTGCCATTAGAAACAGGGAGGGAGGAAACATCTGTTATAGCCCCCACCCATTGGAGATTGGTAGGAAAAAAAATGCCTAAAGCTACAATGGCTTCATTATCTAAGTGTGGGTTCTCCTCTTTAAGGATGGCCTGCAGCACAGTTTCAATCTCAGTCTGACTTTCCCTGCCATTTAGTGTATGCCTGGTATGTCTTCAGGGAATATAAACTAATATCAATATTAGATTGAGTAGCAAATGATTAGGAAGGAAAATAATGTATGGCAAAACTAAATTTGGGGGCCAGGCATGGTGGCTGACGCCTGTAGTCCTAACACTTTGGAAGGCCAAGGCAGGTGGATTGCCTGAGTTCAGGAGTTCAAGACCACCCTGGGCAACATGGTGAAACCCCATCTCTACTAAAAATACAAAAATTAGCCAGGCGTGGTGGCGGGCACCTGGAATCCCAGCTACTCGGGAGGCTGAGGCAGAAGAATCACTTAAACCAGGGAGGCAGCAGTTACAGTGAGCTGAGTTTGTGCCACTGCACACTGCACTCCAGCCTGGGCGATAGAGCAAGACTCCATCTCAAAAAAAAAAAAAAAAACCAAAAACAAAAACAACAACAACAAAAAACACTAAATGTGAGGATTTCCAAATAATCCACAGGAAAAGAAAGCCTCTCCATTTATAATAGGGAAGGGACTATCTTTATCCAAAGGTGCCCCTTTCTGAAAATGAGGCAGCACTGAGCATCAGACACACCAGGGTCTCACCTGCCTCTCGTCCCCTCCTGTACTGCAGGCTCCCTCCCCAGGGCCCTTTTCCTGACCACAGCTCCCCACATAGCCTTTCCCATCTCCTGCCCTGTGTGGAACCTCACCTGTTCAGCATTCCCCTCTCTATCCCCAGGGCCCTGTTCTCAGCTGGGAAGCTGATAAACCGCACTAAAGTGATAATGGATGTAATAAGTTAATGTGTTACCCTTCTCCGGTAACATTTGCATTTTGACAGGGTCTTTCTGAAGAGAAATTGTTCTTAACAACACAATGGCTGGAACTGGGAGCACTTCAGCACCTGCGTCTGGTGGGCCTATGGAAATATATTTGTTACAAGAGGGGTTTTGATTCCTCAGATCCCACTGTTCAGAGAACAATAAGAAGAGCCTCCTGAAGGGGCTACTGAGCCAAGGCCCTGAGACGCAGGCCTAGGATGAATAAGTCACCCCCACCTTAGAGAAAAGGAAAAGACAAAGGGCCCAAATAGAAAGGGGGCTGGGGTGGAGGAAACCCCTGTGGAAGACAACTGACATTTCTGGGCCACAAAAGTGTCCTCCCCTTCAAATAGGAGGCTGGCAAAGGCTTCATAGCAGAGACTGCATTGGGGTAACGTCACATGAAACAGGCATTTCCACAGGGCTGACTGCCAGCCTTGGCAGGATGGGAGGGGGTCAGGGAAGCAGTGGGTGAGGTATAGAGACATGCTCCAGAATGACAGAGTTGTTGGGGGTCTGGAGAAGCTACGCAACAACTGGCCCACCTCTGAGCTTCAATGACCTCCTGATGGCCACAGGTGGTGTTCCTCAGGGCGGGCAGGTGCGGCCTGGCCACATTGCAGGGTCATTAGCACCAGCTGTTTTAACCTACCCTCAAGCGGGCCACACTGCCTTCTGCTTCAGGGCTGGGCTGGCCAGAAATCGGGCCTTTGTGTACGGATGCTACATCTTACCCCAGACTCTGCCAACCTCCTCGTACCTCCTGGGACCTACCGTCTCACTCCTCAGTAATAGTCCCAGTTATGGAGAAGCTCTCTTCCTACTTTTCTTCGTGGCTCTGCCTCTCACTCCCAGGGAGAACTCAGGGTCCTACAGCTCAGACTCAACACTGCTTCGCCCCAGGCCTTCAATCCCACAAACTGCACTTTCTAAGGGATTAAAAATGAGCAGCTGCCCACAGGAAAGTGGACCCTGCTGCCCAGCACTTGGCTGGTATACATGGAGCACAGGCCTGCTTGTGTCTCAAAATAAATTCCACATCTATAAAATAATCCTGAGAGCTGGCGGCTGGTGGTTGGCAAGTACTGCAGCGAGCTGGCCTGCAGCAGAGGAGGCAGGACCAACCAGGCTGTTACTGCATGACTACCGTGCACCTATGGCCCCTGGAGGCCTGAGCCCCACAGGCAGGAGGCTCAGCACCATGCGATTCTGACGCCTCCCCTGGAGCCCAGATCATCCAGGTTCACTGTATCCCCCACACCAATCTTGGGAGACTCAGTACAAGTAGATCAACCCATCTCCTCTCTACATTTTCAGGGAAATTTGGCTCAGAGTCCAAGGCTGAACCTTGTGATGAGGAAACCTTGCTGGAAGCTGACCTTTACTGTAGGGGCCCTGATTCAATATCCTATATCCACAAAAAATGCACATACAGGGCAGCGAGGTTCTAGCCTTCCCCTCTGCCATCTTGATCTGTGAGGGTCTCCTTGGAAAAGTCTATGTGTCTCCTACAGTGCCAAGCAGGGGAGGAATCAGAATTAGTCCAGGTGGCAGCATCCTTTTATGATATGATATAAACTCAACAAATTAGGTATAGAAGGAATGTACCACAACACAATAAAGGCCATATATGACAAGCCCACAGGTGATATCACACTTAACATTGAAAAGTTGAAAGCCTTTGCCCGAAGATTAGGAACAAGACAATGATGCCCACCCTTGCCATTTCTATTCAACATAGTACTGGAAGTCCCAGCAAGAGCAATTAGGCAAGGAAAATAAATAAAAAACATCTACATTGGAAAGGAAGAAAAAGAAATAAAAAGCATCCAAATTGTCTGCGTGTGGATGATATAATCATATATAGAAAACCCTAAAGACTCCACCAAACCTATTAGAACTAATCACAGATTCAATAAAGATGCAGAATCTGCAAAATCAGTATCCAAAAATGAGCAGCATTTCTATAAACTAACAATGAACTATTTGGAAAAGAGATAGAAAACAATCCTATTTACAATAGCTACAGAAAAAATACATAGAAATAAATTTAAACAAGAAGGTGAAAGATCTATCTACACTGTAAAACATTGATAAAATACATTAAAGAAGAAACAAATAAATGGAAAGGTTTCCTGTATTTAATGGATTGGAATAATTACTATTATTAAAATGTCCATACTACCCAAAGATATGGACAGATCCAATGCCACCTCTATCAAAATTTCAAGGACATTTTTCACAGAAACAGAAAAAAAATTCCAAAATTTATAGGAAACCAGAAAAGACCCTGAATGGTCAAAGCTATCTGAAGCAAAAAGAACAAAGCAGAAGGTGTTACACTACCTGATTGCAAAATCTACTACAAAGCTATATGAATTTAAACAGCATAGTACTCGTGTAAAAACAGACACATGGGCCAATAGAACAGAATAGAGAGCCTGGAAATAAATCCATGAATTTATAATCTATTTATTTTTGACTCAGTTGCCAAGAACACACAACGAGGAAAGTTCTCTTCAACAAATGGTACTAAGAAAACTGGATATTCACATGCAGAAGGATGAAATTATCATCTCACACCATATACAAAAATCAACTCCAGATGGATTAAAGACTTAGATGTAAGACCTGAAACCTTAAAGCAACTGGAAGAAAACATAGAGAAAAAGCTTCATGACATTTGTCTGGGCAATGATTGTTTAGATCTGACCACAAAAGCATAGACAACAAAAGCAAAAATAGACAAATGAAATTACATCAAACTAAAAAGTTTTTGCACAGCAAAGAAAAGAATCAACAGATTGAGGAAATAACCCACAGGATGGGATAACATGCTTGCAAACCATATATTTAATGAGAGGTTAATATCCAAAATATGTAAGAAACTCAAACGACTCAATAATAAGAAAACAAATAACCCTGACAGGCGTGGTGGTGCACACCTGTAATCCCAGAACTTTGGGAGGCTGAGGCAGGTGGATCACCTGATGTTAGGAGTTCAAGACTAGTCTGGCAAACATGGTGAAACTCCGCCTCTACTGAAAACACAAAAATTAGCTTGGCATGGTGGCGGGCGCCTGTAATCCCAGCTACTTGGGATTACATACAAATGGGAAGTAATGGAGTGCGGCCTGGGCGACAGAGTGAGATTCTGTCTCAAAAACAAAAACAAAAACAAAAACAAAAACAAAAACAAATAACCCAATTTAAAAATGGATATAGGGCCTGAATAAACATTTTTTAAAAGAAGACATACAAATGGCCAACAGACATATGAAAAAATGCTCGACAATACTAACAATCAAATAAATGTAAATTAAAACCTCAATCTCACAACTGTTAGAATGGCCAATCAGAAAGATGAAAGATAACAAGTGTTGGTGAGGTTGTGGAGAAAAGGGAACCCATGCACATGATTGGTAGGAATGTATATCAGTACAGCTATTATGGAAAACAGTATGGATGTTCCTCAAGAAATCAAAAATAGAACTACAATATGATGCAGCAATCCCACTACTAGGTATATATCCAAAGGATATAAAATCAGTACGTTGTAGAGATTATCTACACTTCCACATTCATTGCAGCATTATTCACAATAGCCAAGATATGGAATCAAACACTAAGGGATAAATGGATAAAGAAAATGTGGTATATATACACAATGGAATATTATTCAGCCTTTAAAAAGAAGGAAATCCTGTGATTTGCAACAACATGGATGAACCCAGAAGACATTATATTAAGTGAAATAAGGAAAGCTCAGAAAGACAAATACTGCATAATCTCACTTATATGTGGAGTCTTAAAAAGTTGAACTCAGAAGCAGGGAGTAGAATGTTGGTTACCAAATATTGGGCATGGGCAGAAGGTTGGAGAGATGGGGAGATGTTGATTAAAGGATGTGAAATTTCAGTTAGACAGGAGGAGTAAATTCAAAATTCACTATTGTACAACGTGGTGACTACAGTTAACAATATAATGTACACCTGAAAACTGCTAAGAGTGTAAATTTTAAGTATTTTTACCACACACAAAAAAGTATGTGATGTATTGCATATATTAAAGAGCTTGATTTACCCATTCCACAATATATACATATATCATTTCATACCATAAATATAGACTATTTTTATTTCTCAATTTAAAAAATCCAATCAAATCAATTAAAAACTGTTTTTAAATAACCAGTCCAGATGCTCCTGGAGGGGGAATTGACACACAGGTGAAAGTTACAGGTAAGCGAGTTTCTGTGCAATCAAAAGAACTTTCAAACAGACAGCACTATCTAAAAATAATGTGCTATCTTGGGAGGTAGTGAGATCACTGTCCCTAGAGGTGTTCAAGCAGGGGCTCAAAAACCACCTATAAGAAAGCGCACAGCCAGCAATCAAGCACTAGAAGAAGGCTGGTTGAGTTGACACTTCTAATGGTCATTTAAAGACATAGTGTATGTGAAAGGCTTCTGATTGGATGGAAGGGTATTGATTGAGTATCGTTACCTCACTTAGATCACCACATTGGGTTGGGAGGGATGGAAAAGTAAATTAACATTTATTGAAAATCCATTATGTGCTGGACACATTATCTTTAATCTTCACAAATGTATGAGAAAGGGTTTATTATTTCTGTTTAATAGTGAGAAAAACCGATTTCAGAGATGCTAAGAACCTTGCCCTAAGTCACCTTATGTGAGCAGGGAGCACAGCCAGGACCTGGGGGTCCAGGGCTATTGGCAGTTACACTGCACTGTGTACCCTCTTCTGAAGAAGCTCGTGCTGTATGGTCCCTTCACCACCCTCCTGGAACCCCATCCTCCTCTTTGCCTCCATGGAGAGTGGGCTTGCATAGAGGCCTGACTGGCTAGCTCAAATCTGTCACTAAAGCACTCATCAGGCTTTAGTGAATCTGTCACTCATCAGCCAGAAGGCCTCATGGGTGATTGTGCCCGGCAGCCACTGGCCAGGGCAGCTCCTGCCAAGTCATTAAGGGAGTGTCTTAGTCCAGGCAAGTAAGACCTGTTATGGGGTTAAGAGCCTGTTTACTTTTCACTAGTGCTGTTGCAGGGGGCAACGTGATGTTGGTGTCAGGGAAGCTGCCACTTTGTTAGTTTACAGGCAAATTGCAGGATTGTTTACAGCAGCCCTTGCTTCCCCCGGGGCATGAAAGAACCAGCCATGTGGCAGCTTTCCTAGCAGGTAATCAGCAAGTTGAGCAGGGATGTAGGACTACAACTGGTTCTGGGATGGGAGGACCTGTATAGGCAGCCAAGCGGGCACTGGGGAGAAGGGAGGCAAGGAGCCAGCAGGTGCTGCAGCAGGTGGGGTACGTCACTGCTGTAGGTCATGGCTGGTGGAAACGTGTCTTTGTGCAGGCAACAGCAATCCTGCCTACAGTAATCTAAACTCTGTCTTTAGTGTGGTCTTTCCTTCCACCCATGTTAGCCTCATGGGGAAACTGAGGCAAGCCAGAGCTGTAAAAGACTCAAGAGTTAGCTCTGAGCTGGACTACTTGGGCACAAGTCTGGTGGAAGCTAGTACTAATGGATCTCTTTGCTCCTTGTTTCATTGAAAGGAAAGCAGTGGTGGCAAAGAGAGGCCAACCATTCCCAGAAGGCCCAGAGTAGTAGCCAGGGTTGACCACCCAGGAGCAGGGTGGAGATGAGGGAAGTCTGCAGCTGTCAGCCTAAGTCCTGGCTTCCCTAGCCCTGCCTATTTTTGCTTTCATACCTTGGCCCCCTAAGACCTTCACTTTGGGGAAACTACCCAGAGACTGGGCTTCTTCCTCTACCTCCATCTCCTTTCTAGCCCTTTTCTCTGCAGGGTCTGCAGAAATTTCTACCTGAAGGGTCATCTCAAGGGGTCTGCATCCCTCTCCCTCAAGTCCACTGGACTTAGCCTCTCTGTGATCACTCTTCCCGGAAGGTGAAGCAGTGAGTGATCCTAAAAAAGTGAGCACCAAGCCTGAACAAGGGATTGATTCCAGCAGTTACTCAGAAATCAAATGTCTCTGCCATGTGCTGCTATGAGATGGTTAAACTCAACTCACAAGTCAGTAGAAGTGTGTTTTACAAAAACTCGGAGTGATAGTCTGGCAGGGAAAGGGTTAGGCAGCTGGGGAAATTCGCTGATAGCAAGCAGCATTTCATCTGCATAACAGCTGTTCCCTCTTCTCCCTTCAAGGGTCCTGACATGGGTGGTAGACCTGATGCACTAACTGAGAAGGCCAGGGACAATTTCCAAGTGAAATTCTATCCTGTAGACAGGAAATGTGTTCATTCATTTGCTTGAGTTGTCAGCCTGTAACTGAGCTTCCTATATGCATTTCCACCCAGCAGGGACAAGGCAGGAGGGGTGAGCAGGCAGGTTAGAAGAAGTAGGGACACGAATTCATAATCAGGATTTGCTAGATCCTCTTAGAGGGAGTCAGCATTTGTGGGGCAATGAGATTATTTACAGAGCTATGAGCAATAGCAATAGCTAGTGAAAAACAGAGACTGGAAAAGCAACAGAAGAGAGCGAGGGTGGGAGATGACCCCCAGAAACCTTGTTCTTGGAGCCTGTAGAAAAATGATTTTCAGACTACAGCAGACCTCTGAATATATCTTTCAGGAGCTATTAGTATCATATATTGGTCCCGAATCTTAAAGCTTGAATTGAGGAGATGATGGTTTATAGATTCAAAGGAGTAGGATTTGTTTTTTGTATGCA
This sequence comes from Homo sapiens, assembly GCF_000001405.40. Classification (NCBI taxonomy): domain Eukaryota; kingdom Metazoa; phylum Chordata; class Mammalia; order Primates; family Hominidae; genus Homo; species Homo sapiens. The sequence goes on from NC_000011.10 coordinate 112,807,510, forward strand.
ACTGAGGATTTTTTTTTCTTCCTTCCCCCATGTAAAGGTCAGGTGATGCTCAGAAATTTCAAGCCCCTTGAAAAAGCAGGAAAAAAGCAGACTGCAGTCCTTAACCCTGAAGATGGCTATGGCCTGTGAAACCAGGGGAAGTGGAAGTTAGAGGGTCACTCAGGGCAGTTGAGCCTGGGGAGGGTGGAGCCCCCTATTTCAGAATGGTTCCATCAGGCCCAGATGGGGGCCTCAAAGAGCTGGTCAGCTGGACACCCTCTGACTCCTCCCTCCCCCATCCCTGTGCTTCCCTGGACCTGGGATCAAACCTATTTTCAGGGCAAACCTTGCAAGGGCTCCAAACTGGGAGAGAGCGGGTGGGAGGGAGGTGCAAGAAGAGAGGGCACTTTGCTGTTTACAGCTAAGCCCTGGTGTCTGAAAGCCTCAAACTGAAGACATCAATAATTCATACATTCATATGCTGTAGAGTATTTCCCCTTTTGTCACATATCTGGCCAATTGATTTCCCTTGGCCACAAACCTGCTGCTTTTAGAACATCATTAATAACAAGTCAACTGGTAAAATCTTCCCTGGGAGAGGGGGCTTTGGTTGGGAGAGGTTCCTGACCTTGTTTCCCCCAAGAAAAGGGGCTGTGAGCAGCCCTGGCAGCAGAATGTATGCACATGGGCTGGGAGCCTTCCTCCTCCTGTTTTAGTGGAAGAAGGGACTGGGGGCCAGAGAGATGAGATGCCCACCCTATGGCCTCCCCAGGCTATTGCTGGAACCCTCTGATAGGGTTACAGGGAGAGAAGGAAAGAGAGAGAGAGAGAGAACTTGGGAGCCTCAGAATAAGAATACAGGTTCCTAATGGAACCCTCTCTAGCAGCCTCCTCCTCCCCTCCTCACCCCAGGTTCTGTCTCTGGGGGTTTCCGTGTCTGATCCTCAAGTACCACGGGATGAAACTAATCAGGGGCTCTGGAATTACTCAAAGAGCTGGGAGCCCATGGTGCAACCTGGAGCTTCTACCAAAGCCTCCCTGCACCTCGTCAGGGAAACCAGGAGGCCACCCAGCTGAGGCCCTCTTGGAGTGGCAAAATGGGGCAAGGGCATCTTTCCTGCTGGCTCCATTCCCTGAGCCCCTTCCATGGCATCCGGAGCCCAGATTGTCTCCTCCTTCTGCTTCTGTGAGTCCCTGGACAGCACCTGGCTCGTAGGGAATGACCCTTCATGGATACTCACAAGAGACTTGTTGAAAGAGTAAATGAAAGCGGAAAGGAACTGACAACTCATTCACAGTAAGTAAAGTGCTGCCACTTCCTCAGGACTCTGGGTTTACAGAGACTCAAAGGAATGAGTCTCTACTGGTGGGATGTCAGCAACTTGGGAGAATAGCTAAATAGGGTTTTTTGTCTTAAGGGCAGTGCGTGAAATCAGATGGCTAGAGCCTACATCACCTATGTGACACTGGTCCTGATGAAAACTCCCCCTCTCTCATTGCGCTGGGTAGGAGAAGTCCCTCTGGAAGGGTGTTCTTCAAGGCTGGTAGAAAAACCTGCACTGAGCAGTGCCCGCTGTGGGAGGAGAGGGAGCAGGCCTTTCCCCACTCCTTGCCAGGGGCATCGCCAAGGTGTGTGCACCAGGAAGCCCATACCACCACTCATACCCACTCCCCCCTGGCCAGTGAGACCCCCCCATGAGAACCCCTGTTACAGGGAGGCTGTGATCCAGACAGGAGGGAAGAGTCTAACAGTTCTGCTTTTATCACTAATGTGGTGAGATCTTACATCGCCAACAGGAAGGCCTCCCAGAGGGCTCTGCTCTTCTGATCCCACTGAAGAGTCCTCCCTGCTCCTCTCAGCCCCATGGTTTATATCTCTGGAAATCTCCTGGTTGGCCTGATATTGATTTGGCTTCGAAAAGGAGTCAGTAAGAAATACACACACCACAGGTCTGAAATAGAATCTGTCCTTTGCAGTTGCAGCAAATACTCCCCAAAAGCTGGGTCTGTTTTCAATACAGCTACCCTAGGTGGGGCCCAGGGCCCCAGAGCTGCATGCTGTAGCCAGCCTTTGCCTTATAAGACCATGGGGGCCCAGTTCCAGTGGGCAGCTTCTACAGACACGGTGTTCTACAGACAGGATAAATATTTGTGTTATATTCACACACACAGCTTGGAGCCTGAGCCAGCTTTATGGCCAGGCCTGGGGAGACCAGAGGCTGAGCTGCACCAGCTAACACAAATGTGCTTTCCTGGTGGCATTACAAGAAAGCAATTTGGGCTTGGGGATGAAGAGAGAGTTATTCGGCCTGGATGGGTGGGCCCTGAACCCATAGATCCCTCCAGTCCAGCTTTCCCTCCCTAATGGATTGACCCCCACCATGCCTAAGACAGCATATGCTGAACCACCTCCTGCCCCCATGAATTGTTTCATCCCCGAGTAGATGTTGGAGCCTCAGAGGGCCTGAAGGTTATCTTGTCCAGATGTACTTAGTGGGGCTGGAGAGTTGGAGTATTTGCCTACCATCACCCAGCCAGTCGCGTCTGCTTCCCTGGGTCCCTCCCCATTTATGTATGTATGTATGTATGTATGTATGTATGTATGTATGTATGTATGTATGTATGTACAGTGTTTCCCTCTGTCTCCCAGGCTGGAGTGCAGTGGTGCAATCCCACTCACTGCAATGTCCGCCTCCTGGACTCAGCCTCCCCAGTAGCTGGAACTACAGGTGCACGCGCCACCACACCTGGCTAATTTTTGTATTTTGTGTAGAGACGGGGTTTTGCCATGTTGCCTAGGCTGGTCACAAACAATCCTGGGCCCAAACAATCCACCTAACTTAGCCTCCCAAAGTGCTGGGATTACAGGCATGAGCCACTGCACCTGGCCCCCATTTTAAATCTATAAAGAAAGTCCTCTTTTTCTAAACTTCAGGAGGTTTTCCAAACCACAGTGGTATTTTTTTGTTGTTGTTTGTTTGTTTTTTCCCTCAACATCTCTGGGAGGCATCAGACCTCTAGATCCAGAGAAATGTCCTGCCTGGGGCAGAAGGGCAAAGCTGGCTACATTTTTTATCTACATCTCTCATTCCTTGTTCTGTATTCCCTACGTACACTTTCATGTTTCCCACTCATTCCCCTAGAAAGAAATGGACTTTTACTAAGGACCTAACATAAGCCAAGTTGTTTTCAATTTACAGCAACTCTATGAGGTGAGAGTTATTTTTCCCAAAGCAACTGTAACTAGTGTGTTGAATAAACAAGACCCATGAGACATATTCAAAAATTTTTTTATTTTGTTTGCCATTGCCCTTTAAATATATTCAGAGCTTGTTCAGTCCCTTGAAACTGGGTAAAATCTCCAATTTTTCTGCTCACTCTTAGAGAATATAGGTCATTTTAAATCAACAATATATTTTAAATCAATAATTAAAAGTGTCTAGTTCAATATAATAGTCAACACATTGATCTTTATACAAAGATATATTAATCAGGATGTTATAGGTCTAGCTGTACTAACAAAGAAGCCAAAAAGGTCTGTAATTAATGCACACATTTTATTATACTTCTCACTCATCCAGAGCCCACTATAGGTCAGGAGACTCTTGTAGGCAGCTGTCCTCCATGTGATGACTCAGGGATTCAGGCCAGTTTGATCTTGTGGTTCCATTACCAACACATGCCTTCATGCTCCTGGGCAACAGAGACAAAGAAAGCCTAGAGGCTTACAGGGCCCTTGCTGTGCCTTAGTCTGGATACGACACACAGCACTTCCAATCTCATTTCCGTCCACAGAACCAATCATATTTCCCACCCAACCTCAGCAGGGCTGGGTAGTATGAAGGAAGAAACATGAGGAGAAATTGGCGAACACAGGACATTTTCTCTGCCACTAAAGACAACCCTTATCCTGATGCCCCAGCTGCAGTTAGCACAGACAGGCCCCTACTACAGAGTAAAGGGGATGGCATCAGCTTCTTCTTGCTTTCTCAGACACCTCCCTTCTGCTCAACTGTTTCTGATCTCTCTGGAGTTGGAGCCTTGGGAGGGAGAAGAGGTTAAAAGAACAGGTAAGTTTTCTCTTGATAGGTATTGCAGTAAAACGACTTCAAGAGCTCTGGGCCTGGCAGGTATCTAAAGTTGTCTTGCCTCTCATGACACTCTCATGGCTTGTCAGAGGCCCTGCTGGAAAACTAACAGCATTTCCCACGACCCTGACTCGGTATTGCCTTCCTGTTGGTCACCCCCCTTTCAATGCCTCGGTTTTCTGACAGTCTACTCCACATGGGTTCTCTCTGTTGGATTTCCACTGCGATCCTTCTGGATTTAGGTCAGTTCTCTCTCCCACCGGTGCCTATATGGTCCATAAAAAGCACTCCTGCCTCTTTTGTTCTGACAAATCCCAGGAGTATAGGCCAGTGTCAATTCAGCAGCAGCTTTCCTTAACTTCTCAACTGAAGCAGCTGGTCTGCCAAGCCCTCCTGCCTTCGAGGTTTCATGGGCAGGAGTCCAGCACCAGCCTTCTGGGTCCTCCTAACTGCAGGGAATAATGTCAAGCTGCCTAAGTGGTGTATCCTCTTGCCTTGAGGTGAAGGGAAAGTACTTCCACCCTCTGTCTTATGGGGCTGGAAGCTCTAGGCATGGCTCATTTCAGAGGCATACTTTCTGTTAAATTCTCTCTTCGCTTCCAACAAATTGGCAATGTATGATTTCCACATTGTGGGCGAGGGATTTTGAGAATTGTGATTATGGATTTCTAGGTAATACTTTTGTAAATTCTGCGTGTGGTCTAGTGTACTTCATTCAATTTAACACTGTGTAATACAAGTGACAGACACCCAACCCAACTCAACTTTGTTTAAGCAAAATGGAGGATTTGTTATAAAGGACATTGGAATGTCTCCTGGAACCTGAGAGCATGATTTCAATGGGGGCTTAGGAATTGCTATAACCAAGTTCCCACATTCCCTCAGGACTCCCTCCACATCTCATGTTAGTGCTTGTTTCCTAGCCTCTGTTGCATTTTTTCTCCCTGAGAGTGAACTCACGTCCCTCACTTCTCTGTTCCCATCATTGGAAATATGGCTACTGGCAGCTCCCAAAATATATATCTTCTAGTTCAGCCACAAGAGACTTTCCACTCTCAGGCCTAAGACCAAAAATCCTCCAGAAGTGGGCACTGTGTTGTGTGCCTGTAGTCCCAGCTACTCAGGAGGCTGGAGCAGGAGGATTGCTTGAGCCCAAGAGTTTGACTCTAGCCTGGGCAACGTAGCAAGACCCTATCTCTAAATAAATAAATAAATAAATAAATATCCTGAGGAAAGGGACACATGGGTTCCACTTGGTTTTGGAGCTCTCAGCTAGCCCAATCAGCTTGATTTGTGGTGAGAACTCCTTGTGACATGGCAGCTCCCCTGCAACCCTGGATGGTGTGGGAGCTGGGAAATTCCAGAAGATAGCAGGTGTATGTTGACCCTGGCGCTTTTCCAGTTGTTCAGTCATTTGGACTTGTGTTAGTGTGTCTGATGTTTCATTCTAACTTTAGTAGCATTAGAGGGTGGAGGCAGGTTCTGGTTTGTGCAAAAGCCCACACAACTGGGGCCAGCCATCTAGAGAAGACCTCTCTTCTTGCCTCTTCTAGTAATAAGGATTTCCTTTCTACCAGTCATAAAGCATTTAGTTCCTACTGCCTTGAATTATGAGATGCCTGCCCAAGAGTCTTACCTTCCAAACAATGTTGCAATGTTGCAAATATCTAACTTCTGAGGCTATACTTGTGTCACTTTTATATACCCTAAATCATCCCAAGCACTGCCTTGATATAACATCAATTCATTGTATTTATAGAATGCATGAACAAATAAATGAATGATTCCAGAGGACATTTTCCCTCTCTGTGAACCTATTGAAAACTCACCTGAGAATGACTAAAGGAAAAACATTCATGGATCTTGGATAGAATTTCTTGCTTCCCTCTCAGAAAATCTGAGTTTCATACACAAAATAAAGTAAAAGTTTAAAATAACATCTAGCATGTTTTACACATAGAATATGTTCAACAAATATTTGCTGGTTGGCTCAGATACACTAAGGACACTGCTCCATATTGTTCCTGCTTCATCTCCATGTCTTGGCCCAAAGCCTTCCACTACCCCATCTGCCCAGCTGACCTATACCTGCTGCAGTCACTCAGGTACTGGAATTTTCCCAGAAGGGCATCACCAGAGCTATTTGCTAAATGGACTCCACTCCTCCATTTTGTTTTCAAAGGAGTTAGAGTTCAGAAAGAAGTTTCTCAAAGCAAGGGAAATGGAATGCTGAAACAAGAGATGGAGAGTAACTAAAATCATCTTGATTCTAGTCTTGCTTATCCTAACCATCTGCAGAGAAAAGGCAGACAGAGGTTGAGTACCAGATACATCACTAGAAAGATGGAGCCAAGAGAAGTCTAGGGAGAAGGTCACAGGGAGGAATCTGATGAGGCAGAACCTTATTCCCAACCAGACATTTGAAGGAAGCCAAAACCTGGGAAACCATATCATTATTTAAAAATCCCATTAAGGCTCTATATGGGGGAGATAGAGGTGATGCTTGCTAATTTCAGGAAGTAACTGAGTAGTTTTAAGTACCCAAAATTAATTGATGGTTTTAAGGAAGAAATAGAGTGTAGGTAAGGCTGAGTCATAAACCCATCGTTGGGGAAGAGGAAGACTATTAATTCTCATGATTCCTCATACCACAGGACAGAAAAGTAATAGTTCAAGTTGTGTATGATGAAATCTAATGCTGTGGCATAATTTTTTCTCATCGATTGGTTCCCAGCCCATCTCCCGTGATTTATAGGAATAACGGGGAGGAAGTGCTCACTGCAGTATGGCCAGGGCTGGGGAGGTTTATGTGCAATACTGGTTTCCAGAGTTAATAGATTTTCAATTATGGCCTACTGAATAGTGTTATGTTCCTGGAGGCAGCAAGCCTGAAACTGAGCCACTACCAGCTCACCAGACCCCATCCACCACTCCAAACCAAGCATCTGGGTGGGATGGAAGAAGTTCCTACCCTGGTCAGTATGCTGGGACATGTCTGCCTGGAGAGTGTCTAAGTTCCCTCCTTCATCAATAAAAACCCAATGGCCCTGAAATATTCCTACATCCCTGCAGCTGAAAAACTGAAAAAGACATGATTCATGGAACCAGGATTACACCCATTCTACCCAATGAAATGTGGTAGCCTAGCGGAGATTTGCTCTAAGAAGCATAGTCTAGAGTTGGAAACAGGCAGTCTTACAGGAGCCAAGACTCTAAACTGGAAGGTGGCAAGCAAAAAAAGCTCAGGGTCTGAAGCCAGGAGAACAAGAAGATGTCAAAGAGTGGCAAAAAACCTCCCTAAAGCAGGAACCACAACCCCTTCTTAGTCATTGTTGTGTCCTATGCACCTGGCACATTGTTTTACACAAAGGGGCATTCAGGTATTTACTGAATGAATGAGCCAAACAAGCCTGTGGAGTCTGTTACCAGGATCACAAAGACATTTACTGTTCAAATATTTCTATGCTCCTCCACCTCCCTAAACCCCTTTGAGTAAAGTGTGGCCATTGACCAGTACAGGTCAATGGACTGTGAGTAGAGCAATGCAGTACACTTAAGAATTAATGCAGGACCCTCCAGCATCTCTTCCCCTGCAGTAGTGATCGTGGAAGTCTCATATTTCAGATGATACAGTACAAGATGTGAGGACTTTTATCAGCTTAGGTTCTTTGATGGCTACATGGAGCAGAGTATCTTCCTCCCCTCCTGACCAGTCTGGGATGGGTAATGGGAGTGAGAAATAAACTTAAGTACTGTGTTAAGCCTTCATGATTTCCTTAGCCAACACTGAATAAATGAAACAATCTACATTTACCAATTGTCTTAGCTCAGGCTGCTATAAAAAATTACCATAGACTAGATGGCTTACACTTTTATTTCTGACAGTTCTGGAGGTTGAGAATTCCAAGAGCAAGTTGCCAGCAGATTTGGTGTCTTGTGGGGGCCCTTTTCCTGGACTGCGAATCACTGTGTGCTCACATGGGCTTTCCTTGGTGCTGGGCTTGTAGAAAGAGGAATATCTGGCCTCTCTTCCTCTTCTTATGAGGACACTAATCCTATCAGTGTCCCACCCTCATGATCTTATTTGAACCTAATTACTTTTCAAAGGTTGCATCGCCTAATATCATCACCTATGGGCTTAAGGCTTCAACATAAGAATATGGCAGGGGGTGGGGATACAAACATTCTATAACACCAGTTTAATCCAGTGATTTCCATCCAACCCTCCTTTCATACCCTCTTGCAAAAAGGTCTCTTTCTTTGGAAGTTATGTGAGCTGGTTCACCATCCTTTAACTCTTTCACTCATCTTTGTCACCATTACCCTCCAGCTTAGTTTTCATTCCTCTCACTCATTCTGTATTTTATTAGTTGGCTCCAAAATTTCTTTTGCTCCTCAGCTTCTGTCATCACATTTCACATCTATGCAAACTATTTTGAGCCCTAGCATTGGCATTCCTTGACATTATCAACTCCAACAACATGTATCCACATTAGCAACAACCAATCCTATGGCCATATTCTGGGCCACATTATCTATAACTCTTCCAGCTTTGGAAATGCAAATTCCAATATACCAATTTTCTTCCCTTTCACTCCTACCATGCTGCTGTTAGACTTCACTTAGAGCTCCAATCCTTCAAGTTCAACCTATGACTCTGACTCCCCTAGTAGACCCTCATACTTTTCTCTACATTCTCCATCTTTATCATAGTGCATGACCCAGGAAGTTATGCAGAAGTCATTCATGAAAAATAAGTGAGCAAAGTGACTGTACACCTGCACACCTGGTGGATTTTTCCCTGTGGCCTCTTAAAAGTGTTGTTTGGTAAACTGCATTGCAGATTCCTCTCAAGAGCATCTGGACAGAGCTCAAAAGTTAGAATTCTAATACTGGGTCCATCACCAGTTACCTACACATAGTCTTGGACAAGTCCCCTGACTTTTCCCTGAACTTCAGCTTTCTTGTGTCTTTTTTGCTAAATTACTAATAAGGATCAAATAAAATCATGAATGTGAAAGTGTAAAAAACTCTATAGAAACATAAAAATCACTCCAATAATACTCATGGATTTCCTATTGTTTAGCATGTCAGATTCACATTCTTCTTTATGGAGGAAAAGCCAGGCAGATGTTGTAACAACCAAATGCCCCAAAAGCCAAAACTGAACGGTCAGGTTCCTAGATCAATAGAACCTGCTTCATTGCCTTACTCATTCCTTCACTTACCAAACATTCATTGATTTCCTGTTGTTTTCAACTACTTAATAAGGCACAGGCCTTGCCCTGATGCAGTTCAACCTTTTGATAGGAAAAGAAAAGGAAACAATAAATTGCAATCAGAGAGATAAGAGCAAAATAGAAGTATGTGCAGGATTCTGGGGATGGAGGAACCCCAGTTCTCTCTAGGAAGAGAGGGAAATAGAACACAGAACCCAGAACAATTTCACGCAGCAGGGTCTACGTTCTCGCCAGCTCTCCTGGGGACACAGCCATTCAGCCAGGATCTGGAGGAAACTGACACATGGGGAAAAAAATGGAACACAACCAGGAATTGAGCTTCTATCTGTAACTCTTCCTCCAGTTCCTTGCCTTGGCACTACCTGGACACAGCCCCAAAGGATTCAGGTATGTGTGCAATTATTTCTCTCAACAGTCCTACGAGGTACAAGGCTATCACTTGCCTCTGTGTGAATTCCAGACAGGCCGTCTGAGACCAAATCCTGCCTTATTCTCACCATGTCACACTGCCTATCACACCTGGGAAAGATGCAGGGTGGGAGCCTGAGGAGGGGATAAAGGCCTCCCCACACGCCTGTGATTGGCTTCAGAGCTTTGGGGCAGGGTTACTGTCCTGGTGACCAGTCTGCCTCCACCCAGAATCCTTCTTCTACCACTGACTCCCTGCAGTGCAGGCCAAACAGGTCTATACCTTATTATGCCAGATTCCTCAGCCCAATGCAATGGAAATTAAATGCTATCTGCACAGGAGCCCAGCAGAGACACTGCATTCCTGGCTAGCTAGGCAGGACTTGGGATGACAGGGAGAGCGGAAATTACTTCTCAGTGATGAGAGCCTGACAAAGCAATTGTGCCCTGAGAATTGGCTGTGCCGCAGAGAGACAGGCTGGCCTCCTAATCTCAAGAAGCTTGGGTCTTTGTCCCTGGATCCTGGGAGCCTCTGAGCTGCTCAACCATGGTTCAGCCTGGTGAACCTAGGGAGCACGTTCTCCCCACTTCCTCCTGGACAACAGATTTTAAGGAGGGTGCAGACCTAGCCATTTTGCTGCCACAAGGATCCAGAGCATATTTTGAACAACAGTTGCAGCATTTTTAGTAATCTGCAGATACAGATGAGGAGATTGGTGTCTGAAAGCTGATCTCCTTTGTCTTTACTCTTACCCTAGCCCCCTAGGTGGGTCTCTCTGTCTCTCTCTCTCTCTCTCGTGTGCACGTGCCTTTTTTTTTCCCCTCTCTCTCCCGCCCCATCTTCCTTACTCCCTAAGTGTGTGTGGTGGGAGTTGGGGAAGTTGGGGGAAGGCAGCAGGGGAGCACATATCCACGTGTAATTTTTGATATCGAAGTCAGCGTTTTCAATTACTTTCCACTAATTTCTCCCACTACCCTTTTCTACTTGTAACTATGGAAATGCATAATAAATGTCCATTTAGATGTGCAAGGGAAACAATTTTCAAAGTGAAAGATAATATATTTTCATGAGCCCCAAGTTCTCCTACTTCTTATACCTCATCCCTAGCCACTGGCTTGCTGGTGTACATGGGTGGCATTCATGGCTTAACATAAAGGAGGCCACATCATTGAAACTCATTGTGAACTCGCCATCTTGGGGCCCCCTCAGTGCATATGATCCTGTCTGTATGGGCTGAAAGAGGGATGTCCCTGACTGCACGTGGAGCACCAGATGCAATGGCTCTGGAATACCCAAGGAGATGACTTTCCAGAATTCAGAAAGATTTGAGACTCAGCAGGACACAGACTCCTTTCTCACCCCCAGGGAGAGGATGACCCAGGCAGAAAGCAATCATGCTGCAGTAGTGACCTCCACAAAGCTTAGAATCAGGAGGTCTATGCATCTGAATATTGTTGTTAATGGGCTATGCTTCTCAAAATAACATACGCCAGGTGGTAGGACATGCAGTTCCTAAAGCTATAACATGAATATGGTGAATTTTCCTCTGTGATCAATTTTACTAATTGACAACTGATTCAAAACATCATATTTATATAAAAACATTATGTAGGAGAATGCAAAATTCTTGAGAATTTTTACGGTAGTCCATGAGGTTAAAAGGAATTTATGCTTATAGCTGGCAGCTTCAGAGTGTACCCCAGGACTCTTGAGATACCCTTTCATTCTCCATTAGGAACATTTTACTAGGAAGTTTAAGAGGTCCTGCCCAGCAGTCCCCACCTCCTCTGGGTCTCATGCTGAGTATAATAGTTCATTTTTCCAAGAATCCTGTGGGGGAAGAAAGCCAATTTTTTCATCAACCCTCATAAGTTCTTAATTGGAATAGACCCCCTGTAACAAAACACAGATAAATGGAAGAAAACCAAAAAGGCATTTATTAATATATATATTTCACACATGCATGGGAGACACCCAGAGAATGAGTGGGTGTCCTTGAAGTCCAAGAAGTGTCTTTGAAGTTCAGCTTATATAGCATCTTCAACAAAGAACAGTAAATTTTTAGAGATGTGAAAAGACAAAGAAAAAGGACTTTGAGTCTCTAGGGGCAGCGACTTGTGGAAAGGCAAATAAATGGCAGATAAATGTTAGTTAGTAAAGCTTGTTAATGCAGATTCCTCTGGTGCTGTCTCCAGGTGGAATAAGGATCTAAAGTTGTCTTCAAAGTTTATCCTGTGTTCTCCTTGTTAGAAGTAGGGACAGGATACCTTTTGTCTTTGTAAATCTGTGTCCTGCTTTTAGGCAAATGGAGGGAGGGCAGAGAGCTTTCCTGCAGCTGCTTATTCTTAATTGCCTTCAGCTCAACAATCCTTATGCAAAAGAGGCATATTTTGGGGTGGCATATTCTGGTCTCCCACGATTCATTGGAACCATTTTTTAGCTTCTGCAAACTTAATTTTTGAGCCAGTTCTAAGGTGACTCAGGTTCAAAGCCTGCCCCTTGAGGATGCAGAAAACCAGTCTGACACCATCTGAGACCTGAAGCTGCCTTTTTCTAACCTCTAGTGACCCCCAAATCCTCTCAGACTCACTTCAATCAGCCCCCACTTCAAGGGCTGAGTTCTGAGAAGATGCAATTACCCCTAAACGTCCGAGTGTCACCCACTACATTGGGAAAACCCAATCATATTCATTTGAAGGGGCTGAGCATGGAGCCAAGAACAGGATCAATATTCATTTTCTTTCCACTGAAAAGAGATGACAAAGGAAGTTGTCCAACAGGGCAGCCTTTCAACTTGAGCAACACTAATTGATCAGTTATTTGGCAGATAGATCTGAATTCCCAGACCTGACTTCCTCCCTCATGACCTCCTTTGTCCTTCTTACTTCCCACACCTCTGGCAAATGAAACTGTGATTCTGCAGATACTTCCAATAGCACCTGGGCCTTCATTGAGGTTGAGTTGAGGATTCTGACTTTCAAGAGAGATGAAGTCCCCAGCACCTAGCTCTCTGAATCAGGGTCAAATATTGCTGAGGCAAAAAGTTCTCATGCCTGTCCCTTGCCCTATATATAGGACAGGGAGAAAAAGAACAACAAGAAGAGCCATCCTGCCTCCCATAAAAAACCTCAGGTAGGAAATCGATAGGTCAAAGCCTAACATGGCAGTAGCCACCCTTACTATTGAGGCAAGTCCTGGGCCTTCAAAAGCACGGTCCCTTCTCATTTATTTTGCAGAAAGCCAGGGGGTCTCCTTTTTGTCCCCAGGCAAAGCACAGGAGGGAGTTCAAAACATGCCACCCCAAAATATGCCCGTTTGGCATATGAGATATTTTGAGCTGAAGGCACTTGAGAAGCAGCAGATGCAGGAAGGGCTCGCTGACCTTCCCTTTCTACCTAAAAGCAGGTCATAAGATTTTCTACGAGAAAGGTGTCCTCCTTGTACCCACGTTGAGGCTTGGAAAGCAATATTGCAAAATGAAGGCCTCGGAAGTGAAAGTGTTTCTCTGACCTTCTCCTGCCCTCATCTCTCTCTCAGTCCCATTCCCCCCTGAGGCCAGCCATAAAAATGAGAATCCCTGTTCCCTGAGGGTTGTCTCAGAAACCAGAACTCCTTTTCCCCAAAGCCAGCAATATAACTTAAAAGTATTACTCTAATTTTCCTCTACCTTTCTATGTAAAAACTGGCCATGAAGAAATTATCCAATCTACTTTGTTTAACTGTAGGTCGTAAGATTCTACTCCAGAGGGAGACCTGTCCTACACCCAGGAGGAAGGAACGCATGCTCAGAGATGTCAAGAAGAATCTAGACAGACAGACCTTGCTGGATTTCCATACTCAATCTATTAGCATTAGATCAGACCCTTTTTGTCCAATCATATTTCTACATGGCTGTCCATACTTTGTTGAACCTAAACATAAAAATGGACAATTTCCCCTGCATCTTTGGATCTTCATTCTGCAGGCTCCCATGTGTACACGTTACATAGATTTGTATTTTTTTTCCCCCAATTAATCTGCCTTTTGTGAGGTGATTTTTCAGTAAACCTTCAGAGGGCCAACCCCTTGGCTCCTACATCAGATAGAGAATACTCTTACCCAGAGACTAGGAGTCAAATGCTGAAATGGATCTGTACAAACAAACCTACTAAAATAATCCTTCTCTTGCTTTAGTTTTCCCCCACATATTTCCTCATCATTTTCCCACAAATTACCACACTTAGAAATTTAACACCCTTTTTCTTTGTCTCATCACTTCTTCAAAAATTTATTAATCTTTGTTTAAAAAGGTACATAAACTCTTGGTCTTAACCACTTCTTCAGATCTTCATTTTTCCTATGAAGGCTCCCATGTACACACAAAAATATTAAATAAAATTCGTATGGTTTTATCTTGTTAGTCTATGTCAACTTAATTGTCAGGCCCAGCTGGCCACGGAACTTAAGAGGGCATAGGAAAAGTTATTCCTCTCCTACATACACCTGGACCCTTCTAAAACCAGATGTGAACACCCTGGTTTTCTCTGTTCCTTTTTGCACCTTAGAGGCTGAGATAGGCCTACAGCCCATACCCTGTGGTTGGTCAGACATGTGCTCAGGGATGCCAGGCCATCTCTCTCTTTTCCTCTCTCCCTGTGGGCCAGGGGAAGTGTGATTTGTTTCCCAGGATTCTGTTTCAGGATTTGGCCTATCTGGCTTTTGCCAGAGCTTGGCACTGCTATGATGTTTAGTAAAGTAGTTCATCTTTTCCCATTTGGTTACTGTTCTTTGTGCATATACCCCATCTGTCAGCTCCCTAGAGGGAAGGAAGGTGAGTGACACCCTGGACCCTAGCAATGATTGTCCCTAATGTGAGAACCTGGATAGAAATGCAAACAGCACACAATGCTTCCATATCCACACATTTGGTATTTGCTGCACAGCAGCTATGGCGAGGTTCATTTGGCTATTATTCCTGCTCATCAAATGAGGAATCTCAATGTTCAGAGACTTCAGGTCACCTGATGACAATCAAAACAGCTAGTTAGTGGCAAAGCAAGACTTGGATCCAGGTCTTGGGAGCAGGATATACAGTGGAAAGGATGCAGGCTTTGGAGTCAGGCAGACCAGGGTTGAGTCTCTGCTTCCCAGCTACCTGGCCTTCTGATTCACTCTGAGTGTGGGGCTTGGGGGCAGGCTGAGATGTGGGGGCAGGTGTCCCCCTGACCTAGTCCCTTGGCTTCTGAATGGCTTTTCATCCCCCTCTGCTGCTGCTACCCACAGTTCCCCACCCCATCCTTCCCACAAAGCCAGCCTCATTTCTACCCAAGAACCTTTCTCTCTGGATAAGACAATGAATTCAGGACCAGCCCAAGGGAGAGGAGCTTTAAAACAAGAATACCCATCTGGCCGCCAGGAAAGGATAAGAGCAGCATGGAAGAGATGATCTGGGATCATCCCCATCAGCCCCTCTGCAGGAGGGACCCCTCCCCACCCCCAGGGTCTCCATTGTTAAGCAAACAAAGTCCTTGGTGCTAGGGTAGGTTGCATGCAAATTGAATTAAGTCTCCATCTGTTAGTTTATTCATTTCAGAGTTGGGGTTTTTTTCTTTATTCCTTTTTTTTGGACTTCCCATGTTTCATACTTGCTAATGAGCCAATCAAATAGCATTAGGAACTGTGGGCAGGAGGTGGCTCTGCCCAGCCTGGAGCCCCCTTTGCACTCTCTGCCACCTCTGAGAGAAACCCCTCCCCCTCTCATCCTCTCTTTAGATTCCTGCTGCCTCAGCCCTCCTAGAAAAAGTGCCCAAGCTGTTGATTCAAAATAGATATTCATTTGCATGGAATTAGCATGTTGCTCATTTAATGTTCAATTCCACCCCCGTTCCACCATCCAAAGTCCGCAGTCCAGGATATGGTCAGGAGGTCTGGCTGAGTGCCCAGATATAAAGCTTGTGATTTAGGTGGATGTCTTTAGAGTGCAAATTCTCAGCAGCTGCCTCCAAGCTCTGCCCTCTGCTGCACTGAGGTCAGCCCTGTTATAGCAGAAGGAGACAGGTGGTTACCTTTGAAGTGGAGCCCTCTGTCCTCCACCAGGTTCTGTCACAGTGCTAGAAATGCCTGGCATCAGAGTTGCCCAGGAAAGTTTGGTTGAAGGGATGGGAGAGTAGACGGTGAGGACTCTGGATCACCTGTGAAAATAATGGCAGCAATAAAAACAATGGAAATAACAAAGGCTACCATTTATTAACCATCTGCCATATTCCATACATTGTTCATATTTAAGTTCTCACCCTTATCACAGCACTGAAAGGTAAATAGTATCATATCAGTCAGGACTCTCAGGTGCAAGTATGCAAAAGCATAATTCCAACAGGCTAACAGAAAAGGAGAGCGGGGTATTGACTCATGTAACTAAAAGCATCCAAATCCAGGGGACTTTTGGTGTCAAGTCCTTCTGGACTGAACTGAACAAATGATGTCATCAGGACATTGTCTCTTTCTCTCAGCTCTGCTTTCTCGTATTAGGAGTCACTCTGACAGCCTTCCTCAACTCAGTAGCTCTCAGCAGCTCCAGGACTAAGTCTTTCTGCATGATTTGAATCCAAGTCTTAGCCATGATTTCCATTGGCGTAGATTGGGTCACATGGTCACTCATGAACCCACTGCTTTACTGGGAGACACAGTGGCCTAATAGGGCCATGCCTGAGTCACATGTCCATCTCCAGAGAGAAAGGGTAGGCATTAATGCTTCCTCCTTTACAAAGCACCAGGCCTCCAGGCCAGTGGAGGGATTCTCAGCAGAAAACGGGGTTCCTGTTACAGAAGAAAGCAGAAGAAAGAGGAATAGATGCTGGGTAGCAAAAACAATAAATGTCCACTCCAGATATCATGCCTCTTTGTAGACAGGGAAAAACATGCTCAAAAGGGTAAGTTATTTATCTGGGGTCATATAGATAGTAAATGCAAATTGATATTTAAATTTAGGATTTATCATTTACAAAGCCACATGTTGATACACATGAAAGGCAGGGAAATACTGGGTAGAAGAGGGTGGTTCCTCGTCAAGGGACCCACCTTCAAGCCTGGAAACCCAAGGCCCTAAATGGGAACAGGCATTCCTGTTTTTGTGCCAAAATGTGGCATTTTAGCCCACCACACCACCCATCTTGTACCCATATAAACCCCAAACCCCAGGCTCCACAAGCAGATGAACAGAAGGGCAGAGTGGCAGGGCAGCAGAGAGGTGCAGCAGAGAAGGAGGGAAGAAAAAGAGTGTCTGAACATTGAGAGGAGCTCGGCTGGGGACGGTCAGAGAGGAGATAGCCATGGGATGGCCAAACTCCAGGGGAAGATCATCTTCCCACTCTATCCTCTTTCTAGCTCCCCATCCATCCTGCTGAGAGCCACCTCCATCCAGCAATAAAATCTTCCCCATTTATCATCCTTCAATTTGTCCATGTGGACTGATTCATCCTGGACACGAGACAAGAACCTGGGTACCAAGAGGGCACTGAGCTGGTTAACACTTAAGCCATCTGTGGAAGGCAACTGCTAAAAGAGCACTGTCACACACCCACTGGGGCTTTGGAAGTCACAGGCACCCACCCCAGATGCTACCGTGGGGCTGGAGCCCAAAAGCACTCTCCCCAGCTCCTGCACCTGCTCATCTACATGTTCCTCCTCCCATAAAGGGTTTGAGCATGCACAGCAGCCAAACAGATGTGCTACACCCCTGTTGCACCTCCTGTCAGGGGGGCCAGTGAGCTCTCCCATTTCAATATTAAACCTCCTCCTTCCTCTTATACTGACTATGAAGAGGGAAGGGAGATAGACAAGCAGGGAGGGGTATTAAAAGCAGAAAAATATGTACAAAAGAAAAAAAATTGCTGGCTTAGTGAAGATTGAGCTTCCAAAATGCTCTGATATGGTGCAAATATGTCATGGGTGAAGGAGAAAGCCATTAATCCAATGGAACTCACTACCTCATGATGGAAATAAATAAATTAATTTAATTAAATGATTTTATATGCCAGAACAAGAAGGAATCGTAGGAGATTTGAAATCATCTGGGCTGACATAAGCCATCTGACACAGTTCCTTTTTATCCCCTCCCTCACCTGCCCCCTGGTACAGAAGGCTAACTGTGATCTGAGTGGAAAGATCCCTCCTCTTCTGCCTTGAAGAGGTGTGTGTGTGTGTTTGCGTGTGTGTGTGTGCACCTGTATGTATGTCTGTGTGTATGTCAGTCTATGAGAAAAAATATCAGGGAATTGACTTTTATAATTCCCTGTGACTCAGTTATTATTTGGGCCACTGATGTCCCATAAGTATCCCCAGTGTTGCTTCAGTTGAATAATTCATAATGGGGGCTGGTGCTCCCTCAGCTCTGTCTCTACAATATGACTGCTATGTATCTCTTAGGGGTTATCTGATAGCAAGCAACAGAAACATACTCTGGCTAACTTAAGTTGAAGGGTATGGGGCAGTAAGAGAATTGAAAGACAATCTGAACAACTAGGTTTCCAAAAGTAGAGGAAAGGGTATAGGGGTTTCAGGGTCATCAGGGCACCTGGCTGACCAGGTAAATTAGGGTGGATTTAGTTTGCTGTCTGCTCACCAAGGCTTGCCTCTCTGTAGGGGGTTTTGTCTGCCTGGAGAAAGGGTGACTTTTTCTTTGCTGAAAGATGCTTCAATTCCCTGAGCTCCATGTCTTTTCTAAGCATCACAAAGGGCTAGGAGTGGCACTGGAAGTAATAAGCAATCTTCTCAGGGAGTTACTGTAAAATGCATCAGCTCCAACAATTTCTGGCCTTGCATAATTCTACTCACAGTTCAGATTTTAAGGAGAGATTGGCTAGCTTGAATCCCCACTAGAGAGTCCCAGGAAGATTTCATGGAATTGGGGGTAAAGTGGGGAAGGGAGAGTTCCCAGGGGAAAAACAGCATTCTTAGCTAAAAGAATGAGAAACATTCCTAGGCAGATCAGGCCGGCAGGTGTTCACCATACCCTAAAGGCTGAACAGGAAGCAAATGTTCTCCCTTACTCAGGGGTGCTATGTTGCCGAATTCCAGAATGAGTCCTCTACGTTGAATCCCATGTGTATTGTACCCCCTGCAGTTGTGCAATGTAGAAGCCTTGCCTTTTCCCTATATACTTCCTGCTTCACCAGTCTTTCCAGATATAACATTTACTAGGCTATGATAAATATATTCTGAGTTTTTTTGCCAAAGGGTGAGGTAGATCTCTCAGCCCAGCATGATGTAGGAAGACCCCAGCTGATAACTCTTCCTGTTTTGCTGTTCCATTTTATCACCCAAGGAAAGGAGGCCTAGGTCTTCAGAAGAAATCTATCCCACTTGGATGAACCCTTGCATCTCCCTCTTTCAAGCCCCCAAATCTGTATCCCATACACGTCTTTCTAGAAACTACCCCTGCTTCACCTAAGGAAGATGTCTTCTCCTCCTTTGCTTTGCAAACTCAGAGCTTTAAGTTTAGTAGGATGCTAGTCCTACTAAAGGTTTTTTTTTCTATTTTTAAGACAAATGGAAATGATGAGTGCTCTAATTTCAGTCCACTGATCTAGTTTCTTTACTAGTTATGTTAGAAACAAAAACACTAACACTAATGTAAGGGCTATTTTTCCCTCTATCTGACCTCATCTGAGGAAAATAGAGCCTTTCCTTCAATGTGTCTTTGACCTTGCTCCTTGCAGAAAAATTACTCTTGAATTACTGTGCTAAACAACTTTTGACCCCTTCCTCAGCCTGGCTTACATTACACAAGCCTCACATTAACCATGAGCAGCTGTGCCTGAGCCATCTGGGATGGTAGATACCAGCACCTATTAGATAATTTCCAATCCTCAAATCTCTTTCCTGATAGAAGAAAGCAGGAGTTGGTCTCAGTTCATCACCACGCATTGTCCACTTAATTCTGGTTCACCCTGGTTTTGATTCTCCTACTAATCCTGCTATCCATTCCTTTCTTTTCCGCCCTTAGCTTGGCCTTTAGACTTAATTCATGGCACTGCTTTTGTACCTACTTCCTTGGTACCTGTCAATAACTGTTCTTCTTTTCCCACCTGGCCCACTAACGCTGGACCTAGATATCATCCTAAGGAATTTGTTATATTAGGGAGCTGTCTGGAAAGCAGGATGAAATGATGTAAGAAAATGAAACAAAGGATATGCAAGTTTTAATGAAATGTAATTTCATCAAAATGTAAGGGTCTTGTTCAGAGAGCCATAAGGGTGGGGGGGGTCCCTAGTTACCTTGACCAGATGGATAGTATTAGGTGGGGTTGGGAAAAAGGGTTAGAAGCAGGAAAGAACCATTAGAGTCAATTTCAAGCATAAAGCAGGCTGTGCCTAACCCTCTTTAACTATCAGGATTCACTATGCACTATCAACCCATCTAGGATCAAACCCCCACTGCAATATCAACCCAACAAGAAGAGAATTGGAGAGTGAGAAAGAGCTGAAATACTTGGGAATAGTGGAGACAGAGAAGACAGTAATCATTTCCCCCGCGTCACTGCTAGATCCAATAATTCTTTGCCATTTCCATGTCAGGAAATGTGGGGAAGGAGTTCTAGAGTTACACTACTGCCAGTGGATCTTCCTGTATAATCCCAAGGGGGCTACACTTGTGGAGTAGAAGAACTGGAAACATCTGGTTGTTATGGTTTGAATGTTTTTGTTCTCCAAAATTCAGGTTGAAACTTAATTCTCAACGCAACAGTACTGGGAGGTGAAGCCTTTAGAGGTGATTAAGTCATGAAGGCTCTGCCCTCATGAATGGGATTAGGTGCCCATACAAAAGGGCTCGAAGGAGGGAGTCTGCCTCTTTTCACCTCTTTGGACTCTTCTGCCATATAAGGACTCCTTACACTCCTTCCCTCTGGAGGATGCAGCAACAGGTGCCATCTTGGAAGCAGAGACTGGGCACTTGCCTGCTGGTACCTTGATCTTGGACTTCCCAGCCACCAGAATGATGAGAAAATACATTTCTGTTCTTTACAGATTACCCAGTCTCAGATATTTCCTTATAGCAGCACAAATGGACTAAGACAGTGGCCTCATTGAGGATCAGAGAGATAAGCTCAGGTATAGCAATCAGGGATTTGATTCTACCCTAGAGACAGAGTTGGGCAAGAGTGGTAAGACGCTGAGTGTGGGCATGCACTGTGCACCAACTCTTCTCCAACAACAACCACCTCGGGTGATCCCAAACATCCTTAGTGTCTCAATTGTTATCAGGATGCTCCAAGTGGCTTTTGTAGGCCCTATATCTCATATCCAACCGTGTATTACGTATTTCCACCTAGGTATTCCATAGTAATGCCACACTCAACACGCCCCAAACTGAACCACACCCTGTCCCCAGACCTTATGTGTAAATAACATGTCATTACCCATATCAGATTTCCCAAGGCAGAGACTTGACTGCTATTCCTGACTCCTCCCTCTCCCTCAAGCCTCTTATATTTAGACAACCACTGAGGGCTGCCAATTCTGCCTCCCAAATGTGTATCAGATGTGTCCCCTATATCCATTCCTACAACTACTGTTCACATTCAGGCCACCACCATTCTTGCCCAAGCTACTGCATTAGCCTCTAGCCACCATTCACCCATCAGTGAATGGTGTCAGTCTCATCTTCCATGCCATTCCTGTGCTTAAAAGTCTGTCGGGAGCCCCGTTTTGCTGAGAATAAAGTCCAAGCTCCCTTGCCTTGCCTATCAGACCCTCTGTGACCTACTTTCACCTTCCCCTAGCTTCATTCCTCACTACTACCTGCCCCATATTTCATGCTTTACAAACAGAAACATACTTGTAGTCCTCCCTTCACACATCTTGCTGTATCTCACCTCCGAGTCATTGCTCCAAGTGACCCTGCAACCAGCAGTACCCCTCCCCTGCTACTTTTACCTAACACAGACTATTCCTTGAGGCTTAGCTCGTGCAGTGCATCCTCCAGGAAGCCTTCACCATCCACTGCAGTTCACTTCCTCACCAATTAAAAAGGCTTAAAAAATATTTCCAAAAAAGACTAAGAGATTAAAAGATTCTGTCATGTTTTTCATACCCCACATACATTTAGGTCCCCCTAATTCATGCTATCACAATGCACAGTGCCTATCTTTGCCATAGACCATACTACCTTTTATTGTAGTTATCTGTTTATACTACCTCATCTCTTAATGACAGCCTCCATGGGAGCAAGAACAATATATTACATCCCCAAACCCAGTCCATAGTAGATGTTAAATAAACCATAAATAAATATCTTTATTAATAAGTGATGAACAAAACCTTTGTTGATTTTTTTCTTCTCCTCCACTTTTGAAGAGGCAAGACTGTTGAGTACGATCCTTCCTGCACTCCCTTCCAATGAGTTCAGTGTCGTGGTTAAGATCATGGGCTCTGGATTCAGGCACAGCTGAAGCATCCTAGCTCTTTCATTTATTAACTGGAGGAACTTGGGCAAGTTACTTAACCCCTCTGAGTTTCACTCTCCCACATATGCAAAATGAGGATAATAGAATCCACCTTATGTGGTTCTTGTGAGGCTTAAACAAGGTTGTGTATGGTTCTGTATTTGGTACCTACTAAATGTTCCCCTAAAATTCTGGTTATGATCATTCCTCCACCCTACTACTTTCTTCAATTCCAGCCTATGTGGTCCAAAGTCTGATGAGAAGGCATGATTAAGATTGGGAATGTGAAACAAATAAAATCTTTTTAGTGTATCTTTAACCTGAAGTTTCTGCATTTGTTCCAAGAAATGTTAAAAGAAAAGGGAATTCATTGTAATTCTAGCTGTCTTTATTTTTCTTCCAAGACAAAAGCATCAGAAAAACGCACAGCAGCAGCTAGCACACTGAGCCACCGCCAGTGAGCCTGGACCAAAGCAATGGTGCTGCTGCTCACGGCAGAGGGACTGAGCCACAGAGACAGAGCTCATTAATGCTAATGGCCTTTGTGCAGCTAATTAGCACCATATCGCACTCAATATTTACCCTTGTGTGCTGACAAAGTTCTACTTTCTCCTTGGGAAGCAAGCTGTTTTTCTACCTGACCCATAACAAGGAAAACCTCTGATGCCAGACAACAGCTCCATGTCTGCCTAGATAGATTGGCTAGAGAGAAGCTGAGGGCCTGCTACCCCGGGGTGGGGGAAGGGAGCCTGTGGTTCTCATTCCAACCCTGGGTGGAGTGTTGGGCAGCTGAAGTCTTCACCCAGTGAGGGTGCCATTTTCATGATACAACCATGCAGCTGTCAGCCCCAAGTGTCCTTCCACAACCACCATGTGCTCAGCCTCCTCCTCCTTGCTTTGGAGGAGGTGTTTCTCTGGGAGAAACAGGGCCTGGGAGAAGGAGGTGAACCACTAAGAAAGGGATTTAGAGGGCCTGTCAAGGCAGAAATCTCCGAGAGACCTGTCCACAATCCACTCAACAACCTTCAACAACTTTTAACAGAGCTCCTAAGCTATGCCATATGCCAAGGGCTGGGGACACAAAGATGGGCAAGACAGTGGGCAAGTCCCTGTTCTTGGGAGCTCTCAATCTACCTGAAGACTGACCTGTAGCAATTGTGATACAATGTGATAAGGAAGGTGCAGAGCTGAGTAGAGGAAAGGACCACTCAGGTCAGACCAGGGGGATCAAGAAGGGCTGGATGGAGGAGGAATCACTAAACTGTTGAAGCGCCTCGAGTCCACCTCTATCAGAGAGTACTGGCACATTCCCTGTCCTCTGAAGCAACAGACTTGGAATCTGAGGATGTATCACAGCTAGGTCCGGCATGAAGTGATGCAGACAAGGATGCTGCTTTAGGTTATAGGATGTGCTTTGGAGACCAGCAGGCTAATAATTGCTCCATTAGCAGGAACCTGGGCTTGATTCTCTCAGAGGTCTCCCCTCTTAGCTCACCACAGCATTCTTCTAAGGTCCCTCCCAGCTCCCACCCACCATCTTGCTCTACAAGCAAATACTCATCACATAGATGACCCCAGGGCTGGTGGTTTCTCATCATGCCCCAAGGGATACTGGCTTGAAGCCATTCCCTCAACCCTGTAAATTGCTTGGTTGGCCAATGCCCAGCTACTAAATGCATTGGCATTCCCGCCATGCCACCAACCATATCCAAGTTGAAGCTGTCTTGAGACCATCCATGTAGAGCACCAAGAAAGACAGTCTGAACACACCACCCCCTCCACCCCTGGAGATGTGGAGGGTTGGGCAGTCTCTGCTTTAAGATAGGAGCTGAGAGCCGGGTGTGGTGGCTCTCGCCTGTAATCCCAGCACTTTGGGAGGCTGAGGCGGGTGGATCATGAGGTTAGGAGATCGAGACCATCCTGGCTAACATGGTGAAACCCTGTCTCTACTAAAAATACAAAAAATTAGCCGGGCGTGTTGGCAGGTGCCTGTAGTCCCAGCTACTCGGGAGGCTGAGGCAGGAGACTGGTGTGAACCCGGGAGGCAGAGCTTGCAGCCTTCAGTGAGCGGAGATTGCGCCACTGCACTCCAGCCTGGGCAACAGTGCAAGACTCCATCTCAAAAAAAAAAAAAAAAAAAAGATGGGAGCTGAGACTAGATGATGGTCTCTTGCTGCAAAGGTAACCACAACCAGTGGCTTCTCATCAAACACCAGTGCCTGACCACCCACTCATCACATTCATAGACACACACATACCATAGCCTGTTGTCAGCTTCTGTTCTCCAGAGCACCACTGAAGACTGTGTAGGTGGAGTTGTCCAACAAGGCTCCATGAATGGGCTCCTTGCTGGCCATTCTCTTTGAGATGAAAGGACTGCAGATCAAGCTGTATGGTCAGAGAAGGACTCAGTTTCAGTCACCACATTATGTGCTGCTAGATAGCTGAGGCTACACGAGGAAGTTGCAGGATCAATGTGGGGGCTGGCTTTTCCCCAGTGGATCATTCCCATGGAGCTCTCCACAGGCCTGAACTGGCCCAAGGAATTGAATTAGACCACAAAAGGATGTCCGGCCCCACCTAGCCCTGCCCAGCCTGCTACCTGGAGCTGGCTTCTAAGTAGAAAAGAAGACTGTACAGTTGGCAAAAGCTGGTGCCTACTTCTAGGTCTCTGTTGCCCTGAAGCTGTTTCTAGGTTATCCCCACAGCTTTCCCAGTCTCTATGCCTTTCATTCTCTCCTTAGGTGAGCCTAAGGGCATTGTTTCAGGACAAAACTAGACAAACAGCTGAGATAGAAACAGCCTTGATTTCAGCACAAGTCCTGCCCTCGTAAGTCCCAACCCTTCCCCACTGGCCTGGCCTGGGATACACCCAGACTTATGGCAGCCACACACAAATGCCCAGCCTGACTTGGGCTGGGGCTACTTCTCCCACATATAACAGTCCTCTCCCCTATGACATACACACATACACACACACAGAGCCTCCAGGAAACTGCCTCAGCTTGCTCAGAAAGGCAAATGCACATGATTTTCAAATGTCAGAGCTGGGAAGGAATCTAGAAGTCATCCAGCTTAGCATCCTCTTGACAGATGGCTGGAACCAAAGCCTTGAAAGGAGGATCAACTTGCCTACTGTCACCTGGCATGTTCCTAGCACATCCTTGTCTCCTGACTCCCAGAGCAGTGCTCTTCACAGACCATCAAGTTGCCTCCTGGCCTGTACCTTCAGCAACCACCACATCAGCTTCTGCTCAGGTTCTTCCCTCTACTGCAGAGGTGGTCAGAAGCTGGCAATTATGACTGATAAGGGGTTTTGAGATTTAGCCTCCATCTGAAGAAGCTGGGCTATATGGTATGCTGGTTAGCAAAGGGAATCAGAATATGCCTTCCAAAGTATACCACTGAAGGCAATTAAGATGTACCAAACGTGGCAAGAGCTCTCTACCTTCTCTCTGCCTAGAAGCAGTGCATAATTTTCCCTTTGTGAAGGTGTTCCCCCTTCCCTGTTCTGTACAGTGAACAAGCCTTATATTAGAGACAAAACGTCAGTGCCCACATGGCTCTACATAGGTAAACCTCACTAAAATAACTCTTATCTTACCTCAAATATTAGTTTTCCTCATATATTTACCTCCCCACAGTAAACTGTAGCCCAGCCACCCCTTAACCTATTTCCCTTGTTCTCCACTTTTATTATCCTTTGTTAAGATGGTACATAAGCCCCAAATTCTAATACTCCTTTGAGTTACTCATCACAGAGCTCTCCCACATGTATGCCTGTTACACGGGTAAATAAACTCTGTATTTTTCCTCCTGCTAATCTACCTTTCGTCAGTTTAATTCAAAGGCTCCAGGCACTAAACATAAGATAGTAGAGCACAAATATTTTTCCTCTCCTACATTAGGAGCCCAACTATCGCAGCACCTAGGTCTGAATCCCAGTTCAATCACTAAGTAGTGGTATAAACTTGGCAGGTTACTTTACCTCTCTGGGTCTCAGTTTCATCATTTGCTAAATGGAATAATAATATAACCTACCTCACAAATTGTTGTACATATTAAATGAGCTAATATTAAAGAACATGTCACAGAGGAAGCATTATATGAACCTAGGTTATTATTATTATTAGGGTGCTTTTTATAAATGTATATTCAAATCCTCACCCTTAGAGATTCTGAGTCAATACATCTGTGTTGGGAACCCATAATCTGCATTTTAGCAAACACCCCTAGTGGCTTTAATAGGAGTGTGGGTGTTGGGTAGCTCCAAGGACAGTATTAGGAGAAACCTTGTTTTCAAAGTTGGGGAAGTGTGTATTGATCCCATTCTGGTAGGTAAAAGGCTTTCAATGACCCTATTAGCTTTCTTGTCTGAATCTCTACACCCACATTTCTCAAAGTCATCTCCTGCCAGGAAGGCTTATTAAAAGACTAATTATCAGGCTTCATCCCGAACTTCCTGATCCAACTCTTGAGCTAGGCTTTGGGAAACGGCCTTTTAAATACTACCCTCCTGCCAAAGTGATTCAGAGGTGCACTGAAATTTGGGATTCACTGACAAAGAGTGGGTTTCTATGGCCTGGCCCAGCCCAGCATGTTGGAATGCTGACCACTGAAGATCCCTGTGGACCAGTGCTGCTGACAAGAGAGCCCTGGGTTGTCCTTTACTCCCCCTCACCTCACCCACTCAGGCTGCCACTCCACAGATCTTGTTCCCAGCCTGGGTGGCATTTCCATGCCAGCCCCTCATTTCCTGCCAAGAACAGAGCCGGCCTCTCTGATCCACTGGCTCTCTGCCCAGCTAGGCAGTAGGTGGCATCCGTGAAGACTGCTTTGCCCTCTTCTCCCTCCAGACTGCGAGGCTGTGCTGCAGAGGGAGAAGAAGAGATCAGGAGCATCATTTAAGAGGCTGCTCAGACCAAGCACAGGGAGCGGCCAGGAAGACAATCTTCAGCCCAGACAGCCCCTCCCACCCTGCCCAGACCTCTGTGTACTCATGTAAAGATAATTCAGTTACTGGGAATGCAGACCGGAGAGATAACCTGATTTAGAAGCTGAAACCATGTGAACAAGGGAGGGAGGCTGAGGTGCAGGAAACAGCTCTTACCAACCCAGGAAGGCTGAAATAGTAAACAGGGAAAGGGGGATTGGGTAGAGAAACAGTGGGTGGCTGCCTAGAAAGGATTATTGCTGGTTTGGGTGTTGGCAGGTGGAACCCCCACCCTCAGCCAATCCAAGGGTTTACTCACCCCTGTGAAAGCCTCTGTGAATTCACTTTTTCTAGAGTGTTCAGGTAGCCGTCATCTGGCTTATACAGCCATCCAGGGAGGAGATAAGTAGAGAAACCTATAAAGTGTCAGGAAGAAAAAAAACTTTTCTAAGGTTTAATTTGAGTCATTGATCACCAACTACCCTAGGAACAAGTTATTTCAGTGTGAGCCATCATCTGTGAAAGCTGGTGGCTTGGCTACTGCAGGATCCTCAGGGGAGGAGGCTTCTGTGATGCTCAGATCAAGGTCAGAGGCTTGGGGACCCTTCCTCCCCCTCTTCTTCCTTCATATCAGAGATCCAGCATCCCCTGGGCAAAGTCCAGAGCGGCATCCCTCCTCCATGAGCCCAGCTATAGTGCCTCTTCTATAGTCTCACATCCTTTGTTGCCTGGAAGTTCTCCCTGCAGTCTCATTTCCACACACTTGCATCTTTGGAGGGAGATGCTCTGGTGGAAAGCAGGCTAGCTTGCCCCTGTAAAGAAAAGGAAGTGACTAAGAATCTTGGAGAGCAGTTCCTTCCATTTATCTCTGTCTACTTCTCCTAGCATAGGGAGATCTTTCTCTGCAAATGATTTGTCTTTTTTATAACCTGCCTATTCCATAGCAGATGAGTTCAAGACAGTGAAGATCAGTCCTCAGACATTTTAGACTAGATTTGTAGACTGAAACAACAGAGCAGGGGCCCACCCACTCTGCAGGTGCCAGCTAGTGAGACCAGACACATAACCACCAGATTCACTGCGGGGAGTTGGGGCGGGGAGGTGGCTGCACCCTTCTCTGGGGAACAGCTGCCTCTGAGCAGCACTGGAAGCTCCTACATTAACTAGGCAGAGGACAAACCAGCAATAAAGGAGTTAAGCAACAGCCAGACATCACCCCCCACAACCCCCTCCCTCTGGACCCAGATGAATAACCAGTCAGTAAAATGACCCCAATGGAAGGAGTCCAGAATCGTCCACGCTGATCTCAGGAGGTATCTGCACTACTCACAGCACAAATCAGATCACTCAGAGTGAAGATGGCGCGGGGCGGGGCGGTGGAAGGGAGACCAGGGAGAAGACATTGCCTGAGCAGGGACCGGCCCGGGGCAGAACCTTCAGCTCCTGGGCCTGAACCTGGAATTTGTATTAGAAGAGAGAGCTCTCTGAGGGACCTGGCCCTTTTGAGTCTGCCTGTCTGCATTTTTTTCTTGAGAATTTGTTAGCGCTCAAGAAGAGGCGTTCCCTGTTGAGTTGGCTTTCCCTGGTGTGGTAAGGCAACAGAGAGCCTTCTCTTGGCAGCTAATCCTTCACCGAAGCTGTCAGGATGAGATGAATTACTAGGAGGAAAATAAATCAGATTTGCGAGAGCATCGGAAAGGCCGAGCCCCCAGAGTCTGACAGAAACCAGAGACCCCCACCCTTCCATTCTGGCGGAAGCACCCACTCACCCACTCGGGGGCCTTGACTGCCCCCACAGCTCCGCCCTCTCCCGGTCCCAGCTTCTGCCCAATGACAGGAGAGAGCTGCCCCTTGGCTTCCCCCAACGTCCCACAGGCTCCTCTGCTTGAGGCTTAGTCCCTGGGAAAGGCCTGCAGATTTATAGGCCTCAGCTGCAGACATTCCACCTTGCCATTCCTTCCCCTCACGGCCTCTGAGCACCCTTCTGAGTCCCTCTGTCTCTCAGCAGTGCCCACAGTGTTTGATGGTCATGGGGCAGGAAGAGGAGGCTGACCTCTGGATCCAGAGACTCCCAGCTTGAAGGGGTCACTCCTTCCTCAGGCTGGAGTGCCACTCTCCTGGGACCTGCACTGCTGTGACTTGCTATTAGCTCAGAGGTGCCTGTCCAAAAAACAGCAGGACTATTCATTTCATTACAGGCCCAGCAGTGGAGCAGGGGCCCTTTCCTCTCTAGAATATTCTACCCAGTAATAATCTTCAGGCTAAGCCTGCATCGACAGTACTCAGGAAACCCCACCTCCTCAAACCAAATTACATGTCCCCAGTTTGAGAACAATGTGAGCTAAGTCTAATAAAGTTATAAAAATGTCAATGGGTTGTTTGTGTGGGAAGAGAATGGCTGGAGGTGGAAATGTGGTGTCATGAAAAAGGCTGCAGACTTGGACTCAGGAATCATGGATCCAGGACTCATGGCTCATTATCTCAGTGGGGACCCGGGGCTGGGTTCCTCCTGACCTGGAGGAAGGCCGGGTTCCATCATTGGCTGCTGAGGTTCCTCCTGACCTGGAGGAAGGCCGGGTTCCATCATTGGCTGCTGAAGTCTCTCTGATGATGAGTTAGGGAGCTTCCTTAGAAGCTAGTCATTGTCAAAATAATTGTTAAAGAATAATGGGTGTAGAAAGTGAATTGAGAATGAAGGGAGAGAATGAGGAATGAGAGATCAGGGACACAATCTGAGAGCTGGGAGCTGGCACCCAGCCCAGGAAGCAGTGCTGTGTTCCTAGGGCCAAGAGGTCCAAGAGTTCAGCCAGCCATACTTACCCAGAGCCAGGTCCTGGAGAAGCACTTGGTGGGTGATGCTCCAGGGTAAGGCCAGGGACCAGGGATCCCCCGATAGGTGCCTCAGGCTCCTCCCTAGGAAAGCTGCATCCTCGGTTGGCTCAGGGTCTGGTGGGGCTCGGCCACCTGACTGGGGAACCTGGCTATCATCATGCCTGAACTGTCCGAACTGCGTGTGATTTAGCTCAAACCTCCACTGGGTGGCAGAGCAGTTGGGCATGATAGAAAGAGCACTAGGTTAGTTGGGCACTCTTGAGCAGGCTGTTGACACTTGTGAGCCCCGGCTGGCCATCTGAAAACATCGCTAAAACATCTGTACTTTGCAGAGTTGTTCTAAGGATCAGATGCAACGAATGAGGAGCACTGCAGACAGCCTTTAGCAGCAATGGGTAGTCATCTTGTGTTAGTTATTAGATAATATTGTTTAGTTTATGCAGTCTCATAAACAGTATGAATAATATAAGGAGGAGAACAATGCCCACCCCTCAGGGTAACCATTCTTCGGGTACAGATGAGGCCAGGAGCAATGGTAGCTCCCTCTCCTGTCCAACTTCCTCCACTGTCTGCACCCCCTCCTCTCCCAGGCAGGACCCAGGAAGCCAGAAAGCGCAGGTGAGCCCAGCGGTGGATCTAGCTGTGTAAATCTGGAGAAAGCAGAGAGAGGCAGGAAAACTGAGGTGTCTTAGAACCATTTGTGTAAACTGTTTAGACTCTGAGGGAGCAAAGATTAATGTGAAAATCCCATTCCAAGAAGCTAGTGGCCATACATCAGCAGTGCCTTCAAGATTGGATACGAATCCGAGGTTTGGGGGAAAGTAAGTAATGTGCCGATTAACGAATCACAGCTCTGAGAGAGATGAGAGAAAAATCTCTCTCTCCACTTCACTCAGTCAAGCCCAATTTACTGCTCATATTTCTGTCATAAATGTCTGAGAGAAGCAGAGCCCTGCAGGCACGGAGACTGGTCTGACAGGGGAATGGACCTCTCTGGAAGGAAGGAGGAAGCAGACCCCTGCATTCATGGCTACAAGAAGGAGCCAGTGTGAGGGCACCCAGTGGGCCCTGGCAGAGGGATGCCTTTGGCTGGGCAGCCAGAGAAGCTAAAAGTATTTCAATTGAAAGAAAAATGTCCTTATCCACCTAACTATCCTTTGAGACCAGGAGGAGAAATTGACAATGTTGATTCATTTAGCTCAGCAGTATTCAGGTCAAAATCAATCTTGTCAAAAATCCATCACCACACTCAATAAGTAAGAAAAGGGATCCAGGATCCAGGGGGAATCAATCACACCCCATCAGGGAGCAGCCAAAAACAGATCTATCATGGCCCCTTGACGGAGGCTTCCATTACTTAACACGCTATTTCCTGAATGCACCCTAGGGACCCCACCCAAGGTCATGGGCACCAGCCCCCAGCAGCAGCCAGAACTAAGATGGCCCAAGAACAGGTGGTCACTCTACTGATTATCTCTCTGCTTCCGGAGCATCAACATTCAGCAGGCTGGCAAGGCCCAGCAGAAGTCATTTCATACATTCCTTAACTTCAAGAATCATTGTCACATAACTCTCCTGCTGTCCCCAAATCACTGTGGCTGCCTCATATGTGTAGGAAAGGGAAATAATAGCAGTCTAGCAGCTTCTCCACTGGACCAAGCTCAGGCTGCTTCAGTCCCCTGCTGGGAAAAGCAGAGTGGTCCCTGCAGAGCTTCTCAGTCTTAAGGAATCACAAGATGCAGAAGTCAAGACTTGCTTCTTTGTCCCTGGGCCAGAATCCAGCATCCCCTGAGGGTCACATTATGGCAACCCTGACTCCTCCAGACTCAAAGGAAGTGTGTGAGTGGGGCCACAGAATGTTCCCTGGGAGCCCAGTGATGGCGAGGCCTGGGCCCCGTCCCCACCATTCACTAGCTATGTGAGTTTGAGCCAAATATTAAACTTCCATGTGCCTCACTTTCTCGTATGTAAAATAGAAATCATAACAATGCATACCTCTTAGGATTATTGAAGATTCAGTGGGACTTCTCATGTGGAGAACTGACATACAGATAGTGCTAAGTAGGTGAAAACTCTCATTAGACAATGGTTCCTTCGGGCACTGGGTTTTTGCTTCTCTTCTCATCTTTCTACCGCAAACAACTTCCAAAAAGTGTTCATTCATTTATTCATTCAGCGAGTATATATTGGATGTCGACTGTTCTAGACCTGTTCTAAATGCTGGAGGGACAGTGTACACAGGAGGTGGCAGGGGACAGATAACCTATAATCAAATCAAATAATTGCAGATAATAATAAACAGGAAAATGAACTAGAGATTGACTGGGATGTCATGAGGGAATATTTAAAATTGATACACCAAAGGCCTCTCTGAGCTGGAGATACTTGAGTTGAAGCCCAAGTGCTAGGAAGAACTCAGCCATCTGGAGATCTGGAAGGGCGATGTTCCAGGCAGTGAGAAGGTGGGGGGCTGCTGGGGGGAGCTGGGGAGAGCTGAAGGAGGGAATGGCACAGAGAGGTAGGTGGGACAGATCAGGCAGGCCCGAGGAGGTCATGCCAAAACACTGTGTCTTTAGTCTAGATGTAATGTGAAGCTGCTGGAAATGATGTCTAATAATGTATTTTCAAAAGCACATGAAAAGTGCTATTTGGAAAATGGATTGAAGCAGGACAAGAGCAGAAGGAAGATGAATTAGGAGGCTTTTGCAGAGCTCAGGGGAGGAAGGTGATAGTTTTGTTTCGAGAGGTAGTGTAAATAAGTACTAGGGTATGGGAAATATTTTGGAGGTAGAGATGATAGCACTTGCTGATAAATTAGATGTGGAAGATGAGAGATGACAGGAATCAAGGATTTCTCCAGTTTCTGTCTGGAACCACCAGATAGATGGGATGCTAATTATTGTTATGGGGAAGACTCAAGGAACAGGTCGGGATGTGGAAGTGCAGTTAAGAGCTCTGAGAGAGTTAAAGTGCATTTTTTAAAATTTTATTATTATTATACTTTAAGTTTTAGGGTACATGTGCACAATGTGCAGGTTTGTTACATAGGTATACATGTGCCATGCTGGTGTGCTGCACCCATTAACTCGTCATTTAGCATTAGGTATATCTCCTAATGCTATCCCTCCCCCCTCCCCCCACCCCACAACAGTCCCCGAAGTGTGATGTTCCCCTTTCTGTGTCCATGTGTTCTCATTGTTCAATTCCCACCTAAGAGTGACAACATGCGGTGTTTGGTTTTTTGTCCTTGCGATAGTTTGCTGAGAATGATGGTTTCCAGCTTCATCCATGTCCCTACAAAGGACATGAACTCATCAATTTTTATGGCTGCATAGTATTCCATGGTGTATATGTGCCACATTTTCTTAATCCAGTCTATCATTGTTGGACATTTGGGTTGATTCCAAGTCTTTGCTTTTGTGAATAGTGACGCAATAAACATACGTGTGCATGTGTCTTTATAGCAGCATGATTTATTATCCAAGTGGAGATGTCATGTATGAGTGGTTAGACTTGAGAGTCATTGGCTAATGGATGTTATTTAGAGTCACAGGACTGGGTGAAATCAGCAAGGCAGAGAGTGTAGCTAGAGAAGGGAGGAGGGGAAGTCTGGGTCCCCAGGAAGTTCATTTGGAGGAATTCTGATCCAAAGCCCCCAGCCTTTTGGAGGTATATGGTTGCCAGAACAGAGTCACATGAGTAAGGGGTATGAGTAAGGGGTCGGGATGGGGATTTGAGGCAAAAGATTCTTGGGAGAACCCCACCTGGAAGAGAGGGATGACGGTTACCTTCTGAACACACATGTAGGGGCGCATGTTGTGCTGGTCCAGCCCCATCCTAGAGGAAGGTGGGATTCTATTGTATGCAAACTTTGCTTGCTGAGTGAATATTCCCAAAAGGTAGGTGGCATCAGGCCCCTTATGCCACCAACATATGAATTTGGGGAAGAGGGGAAAATGGAAGGCGGATGGTGAATTTCCACTCTGAGTGCAATGTGGCTCTCTTCTAGGGAAACCCATATTTCCCCAGGCTTCCTCAGCCTATGCAAAAAGCAGGACACATTAACATGAATACCCAAAGGCTTGTTGATTTCCAGAACTGCAAGATCTCAGCCCCCTTCACCTGTAGCAACATCTTCCTTGGTTATTTTTGGGAGTCTTCAGGACCCTTGACTGTGCTCATGGTCTCTTCATACTGTGTCTATCATAGAACCCCCTGAAGCCACAAAAGGCAGGTAGTTCCCTTCTTCCAATGCCATCCATTCCTCCCTGCTGAGTTACCATGCCCCCAAAGCTGTAGCACAGGAGGAACCACCTTACACCCCCTTGCTATGCTGGGGTCCACCTGAAATCAACAAGATTCTGCTTTTTCCTTCCATGTGCTGCTGTCACCAGGGGAGGGGGGTGGCCACTGACCAGCAGTTCATCACATTCAGCCACATCCTGAGTCCCTTCAGGGTCTGTCAGATGACTGAATAACTCGAGGAACCACAACGTGTTTACCCTTGTGTCCCCAGCACCTAGCACAGGATCTGCCCCCCACCCAGCACCTGGTTAATTAATAGCTGACTGAGTGAACAAATGGACAAACAGCTACTAGTGTGTGTAAGGAGAGGAGACCTTTGGAGGTGGCTTACGGAGTGCATGGAAGTCCTTGCCTAAATGACAGCCATAGGGAAGAGAGAGATGACTGCAGAAGAACTCTCTGCAGGAAACAGAGGGGTCCCAGGCAGATGTAGGGCTAAGGGGCTGTGCCCTCCCCTGCCTCCGCATACACCTGTTTTAGGAATGATGAGAGAACAAGTAAAGGGAGCAGTGAGGAAGTAGGTAATGATCTCAATTTCACAGCTGGGTGGGTTGGGATCATGCTGAGGGAGTTAGTTTCTGGGACAGCAAAGAAGCTTCGACTTTGCTCTGTCTTCCTATCTGGTTCATCCAGTCAGGTGCCAAGATGAGTCCAGCCGGAGAATCCAGGCTCCAGTGCTTTCCTATAGACCCCTTCACTGCATGCAGCCTCCGCCTTCTCAGATGCACTCTGGTTCCAGACCCATGCCCCTCTGCTCCCCAATATGGCCTCTTTGAAAGACACATGCAATGTTAATAATGACAGCCACCATTCATTAAGTTATTTCTGAGTGCTACACACACACAGCCTCCCTCGTTTAGTCTTAATGTCAACCTCGAGAGGTGAGCACTATTTTTCCTACTTCACAGAGGTAGAAACTGGGTTCAGAAAGGTTAATTTGCCCAAGGTTTTATAGCTAGTAAGCAATAGAGCCAGAATTCTAGCCAGCTATGTCCAGTTCCAAATTTCACACTCCAAATTATTTTGTTATATTAATTCTCAGAATAAACAAATCACCACACATCACATAAAGTAGCTGGAGAGGGGGAAGGGACACTTGACCCACAAGCCATTAGCCATGGTATAATCTGCATGCATGAATTCATGTGCCCTGGGTTCTACATTGAGACATCCAGTCACAAAAGCACCGTCAGATACTGCCTCCTGTTTCCTTAGGAGTTGAACCAATTCTCCTCCTCTCAAGGCAGAATCTCCTGTCCAGCTGGGCATAGGAAAGCAGATGGCCATTATTCTCCCAGATCTGAGATTCTGGATCTTATCAAATAGAGTCTTTCCTATTCTTCCCCCAAAGATAGGCAAAATGATTGCTGTGTAGAATGGAACTGGAAGTCTAGGTGCATCCCCAAGGTTTGGAAAGGTTACCAAGTTCCAAGACCAGATCCTCAAACATCTCCAAAAAAAGAACCAGTCCATCTTCATGTGGCCAGTCTGGCCTCTCTCATCCTAGGGATCGGAGGCCCCCCAGAGCCCCTCCTGTGAACCTTTCTCAATCCCTGTGAGGCAAGTGCATTCAATCAGTCCCCACAGACCTCCTGGACCAATCCCTGCTGCCCTTTGTGTAGCCCACTTTGTTCAGCAAAAGGGCAGTGGTGGTTCTTAACGCTGTACCCTGACTGGGATCCTGCTGAGCACTTTCCATTGAGGCCTGCAGGTTTCCTCTTAGTTGTAGTAATTTTCTATTCCTTGGGGCACCTTTACCTTATCTCTAGGGAAGCTCCATGGATTATAACGATCTCTCTGATTTATCCATCCTGGAGTGCAGACCCCACTTGGAGACATCACAGTGAGCACTTGCCTTCTGGAATCTTGAATCAAATGAATATGCTTAGAATACTAAGAAAACCTGAGACTGGGGTATGCTACCAGTCAGCATGCTTTAGAATCCATGTTTCAAAAAAATCTGACTAGCCATGACTTAAACCAGTGCTTTTCAAACTGTAACATGTATTGGAATCACCTAGAGGATCTTTTTGAAATGCAGTTTCTGATTCAGTACATCTGGAGTGAAGCCTGAGATTGCATTTCTAGCAAGCTCCCAGGTGATGCTGATGCCTTAAACAACAAGGATTTAACTTTTTAAACATCAAGGATATGTATTGCTTGTTTATAAAAAGTCTAGAGATAGGTGACCCCAGGATTGCCGCAGCACTCACTGATGTCTCTACCAGGCTTTGTTGGTCTTCTGCTCTGTCACCCTCGTCATCACAAGATGGTTACCAAAGCTCCAAGCATCGTGTCTTCACATATCAGTGTCTCAACCAAGAAGGAAAAGTGCAGGGGCAAAAAAATAACTTTCCCCTTTATCTCTCTTATAATCAGATAGTAAAATCTTTCTCAGAATCCCCCCAGACTTTCACTTACATCTAGGCCACAACAGGGTCCTATAGCCCATCCCTGGACCAATCACTGTCAACAGGGGTCAGATTGCCACAACTGGCTTAAACCAATTAGTATTCACTCCCTGGGGCTGGGAACATTTTCACCTGAACAAAAATCAGAATTATCTTAGCAAGAAAGAAGAATGGCTAACATGTAGGCAGCCAACAGTGGCTTCCCAGATGTGTGGAAGCCATCTTTGACCCCACTGCCAAGCCTCTAAACCACTTTGCCCTTGCCTCCAGAGAAGGTTTCAGGCAAAAGGAGAGAAAGGAGGGCAGACCAGCAAAAATTAAAGATGAAAAAAATGTAAGGTTTTAGGGAGCAGAGTGGGCCACATGGGATCATGCACATAACAACATTTCATAGACAGTAAAATGCCCCAGGAATGCAAGCAGTTGTGGTGGTAGCAATTAGTATCACTCCTAGTCCTGTGGAATGTGGGGAACAATGGAAGCAGAAAGAATGTCCTCCCCACAGCCTGTCCCCCAAGCCAGATGACCTCTGTGACTCTGGTGGGAATTTTCCCTGCTTCTAATTCTCTCCCTCTTTGTTGATTGTAACTGCCCAGTGATCAGCTGATGCTGCTGGCAGGGCTGGGTGGGCTGGCATGAGGCTTCTGCCAGAGGAGAAAGAGGCATTTGTTGTGGAGGAAGGATTCCTGTTCCCCAGTGGTGAGAAGTCAAAGAGCCAGAGGCTGAGGGTACACTGGGGGCACCATGTCCTCTGTCAAAAGGCAGGGCCCTTTGGGCAGAGCCCCTGCTGCCCAGGACTTCACACATACTGTTCCTTTCTTCAGAAACCCTCTTCCCAATATACTGCTCATGTCTGGCATCTGGCTCCTTCCCAGCTTCAAAAGAAATTGAGCATCCCTCATCCAAAAATCTAAAATCCAAAGTGCTCCAAAATCTGAAACTTTTTGAGCACTGACATATTACCTAAAGGAAATGCACATTTGGAGCGTTTCAGATTTCAGACTTTCAGATTTGGAATATTCAACTGGTAAGCAGATAATACAAATATTCTAAAATCTGAAATCTGAAACACTTCTGGTCCCAAGCATTTCAAATAAGGGATGATCAACCTGTATCCCCTCTGTAGAGAGGCCTTCCTTGGCCTCCAAATCAAAAGCAGCTTCTCCCTTTTCCTCCTTCACCTCCCCTACTTGTTACTCTCTCTGACAGTGGCTAATTTTTCTTCCTCAGCTTATTCACTACAATTCATAATTATTTGCTGATTTATTGTCAATTAACCTGAAAATAAAAAGCAGGGACCATTTTCTTCATGATACCACCTCCTCAGCCCAGGGTATGGCCCATAGTATTCTCACAGAAAACATTTGTTCAATGAATGAATGAATACAGTCAAATCTGTTTTCAGTCTCCAGCATGGGAGAGCCAGAGCCAGCATTTAAATGAGGCAAAAGAAATTCAGTGTAGCTTCAAGAGGTGAACTTTCCAACCATGGTGCTAGACAACCTCTAGAAGGGATGGGCAAAGCACTGTGACCACACATATATCTGACATTCTGGATGAGGTGAGGAGGAGGCTCTAATGGTTGATTTCAGGTGTCAACTTGACTGGATGGAGGGATGCCCAGATAGCTGGCAAAGTATTATTTCTGGGTGTGTCTCTGCAGGTGTTTCTGGGAAAGACTGGCATTTGAATCAGTGGACTGAGTAAGGAAGATCTGTCCTCACCCGATGTGGGTAGGCACCATCCAATCCACTGAGGCCTGGGTAGAAGAAACAGCAGAGGAGGGGAAAACTCTCTCTCCCACTTCTGGAGGTGACACCCTTCTTCTGCACTTGCATACAAAAACTCTAGCTTTTCTGGCTTTGGAACTCTGGGATTCATATCAACAGCCCCTTGGGTTTTCAGGCTGAGTTACACCATCAGTTTCTCCAGCTTGCCGTCTATGTGAGACTTCTCAGCCTCCACAATCACATTAGCCAATTCCCCTAATAAGTCCTTTTCATGTCCCCTATGTATCTATGCATCTGTGTATCTATCCATCTATCCATTCATTCATCTAGCTAGCTAGCTAGCCAGTATTTCTCTCTCTCTCTCTCTCTCTCTCTCTCTCCATCCATCTATCCATCCACATCTATGGATCTATCTATCTAATGTATGTCTCTCCATCCATATCTATCTATTTATCTATCTATCTATCTATCTATCTATCTATCTATCTATCTATCTATCATCTATCTATCATCTATCTATCTATCTATCTATCTGTCTGTCTATCTACCTATCCATCCATCCTATTGCTTCTGCCTCTCTGGAGAGCCCTGACTAGTATAGAGGCCCACTTCACTTCATGGTTAGACAGCTTCCAGAAGGTGCCACTGGCCTAAGGAAGACATATGATGCAAGTGTCACCCCCACCAGCACCCCCATCTTTAATAGCAGTAATAAATTACCTCATGGTTAGCTCCTCTGATCCTTGATGTTCCAGCTTCTGCTTCCCAAAACCCCATCAGTTTTGGATGGGTAGGAGGGTTGGGTGGGATCAAGGCTAGGATCCTGGCTCTAGGTCGTGGTTCACTGGGCCATGTGATGAGTGGGAAATTGACTGGAATGCCAAAATCATGAACCAGAACAGCGAATTCATTCCCCAGCAAGATGGAAGCTTGATGACAGGGCGGAGCAGAGAGAAACACCAATCACTCACACCTGGCTTAAAGTTTTCACTTAGCTGTCCTGGTGGTAGCTTGAAAGAGCTCCTGCTGCATCCTGCCTGGTCCAGAGCAACAGGAATAACCACCCAGGTCAGTGAGTGCACAGGAGCTAAATCAAGCAGCAAGTCTTAGAGAAACAATCAGTTGGCCCCGACCCCTTTCCTGATCATCTTCACTGGTGTGCAGAGAAATTCCTCCAGAAGCTTCATATGATTCCACCATCGCATTGTGATATTAGCCTATGCCAATAAGCACTGCAGAAAATAAGAGCTAAAGGAAGCTGCAAGTAAAAGCACACTCTGTGTGTGTCTGTGTGTGTGTGTGTGTGTGTGTATGTGTGTGTGTGTTGGGGTACAGGTGGGCAGCCTACACAGAGGTAAGTTAAAGGAACAGATAGAAAGGAGGACTTGTGTCAGGCAGTTGGATATACAATGGTTGGCTACTTTAGGGGAGCATTGTATTCACTCACTCATTCATTCATCCTTCATTCATTCTATGTGTTCTAAGCACACACTTTTCCCCAGGCACTGTGCCAGCCATTGGGTTTGAACAATGAACACAGTCCCTGCCCTTGTGGAGCATGTAGGAAGACTCAGAAATTAATCAAAGATTTCCAAATTAAAACTGTGTTAAGTGCCATGATGAGACGAGATTGTTTAACAGATGTCGGTCAGAGCAAGCTTTCTCAAAGATGTGAGGACAGAACTGACTCTTCAGGAAGAGGAAGAGTAAGGCAAAAAGTATTCTGTGCAGCAGGAACAATATGTGCGAATATTCGGAGGTAGGAAGGAACAGAATGAAGGCGAATGATGACTTTGAATCTCTTTCGTGACCCAGGAGGATACAGGGAAGGCAGGCATAAGTGGAGCCCTCCCCAGTACCCAGCCCCTACTCCACCCCAAGATGAGGGCTGGCCAACAGCTGACCAGGAACATGGAAGACCCTGTAGCCTTGGGTCTCCCTGGAGAGGGAGCTTTGAAGGGTCCCCTAGAAATGTGCTGTGCTGGTCTTGCTTATCCTATGCTGTCCTGGGTGTCACAGAAAGATATGGGAAGCCACACTGCTGGCTGACTGGTAATGTAGAGGGCAAGTTACCTGTCAGCATCTCCCTCCACCCCCACCTTGCTAGGAAGGAAGGCACTGTGTGTCTTCTCCAGGATTCCCTGGCCCAAGAACCAGGGAGCCAAAATGGCTTTTCTTGAACCAGCATTCCAAGATTGCCAGGTGTTTGTTCAAGGCCAGACTTCACACTTCACAGGACCTCATAGGCCATGCTATGGATTTTCTTTTTCTTTGTTCTTTTCTCCTCCTGCATCCCCCTGCTATGTTTTAAATAAACTTTTTAAAAATTGAAGTGTGACTTACAGGAAAGGACACAAATCCTAAGCATTCACTTATTTTTCACAAAGTTAGCACACCCTAACATGTGAACACTGAAAGACTCCTAGAATGTCCCTAGCAACATCATTTGTAACAGCCCTCAAACTGGGAGAAAAACCGCTGATCAGCAATAGAATGAATGAATTAAACATGGTATATTCATACAATGGAATACTATTCAGCAATAAAAGATGAAAAAACCACAGCTCCATGCAACAAAATGGATGAAGCTTGAAAACATCATACTGAGTGAAATAAGCCAGACTCAAAAGGACAAGTATTGTATGAGTCCACTTACATGAAATATCTAAAATAGACAAATTCATAGAGATAGAAAGTAGTTCCTATCCTTGGCAGAAAATAGGTTAGAGAGGCTGGGCAGAAAAGGAAGGGGAATTATTGTTTAATGGGTACACAGTTCCTGTTTGGAGAGATGAAAGTATTTTGGAAACAGATAATTGCAACATTCTTATAGTCATTTATTATACATATGCACTATTTTATTTTATTTTATTTTATTTTGTGATTATACACCAAGAACTGGAATTGCTGGGTCATGATACTCATATATGTAACTACAGACGGTTTTGCCACAAAGTTTTCTAAATTGGTTGTACCAATTTATACTCATATGAATATATGATATTATTCCTTATCTATGCCAAACCAACAATTGATGTCCATTTTTTTTACAAATTTAGTTAATTTTGTATGTATAGTGATATTTTATCATGATTTTAATTTATGTATCCCTGATGACCAATTGGTTGAGCACATTTTCAGGTGTTTATTGGCCATTTGGATATTCTCTTTAGTGAGGAGCATTTTCAAGCTTTTGCCCATTGGAGAAGAAGGGTGTCTGTCTCTTTCTTCCTTCCTTCCTTCTTTTATTTCTTCCTTTCCATTTCCTTCCTTCCCTTCCTTTCTCTCCCTTCCTCCCTCCCTCCCTCCCTTCCTTCCTTCCTTCCTTCTTTCCTTCTTCCTTCCTCTTGTCCTTCATCTCTCTCTTCCTTTCTTCCTTCCTACCATTCATTCTTTCATTCTTTCTTCTTTCAATGTTTTAAAAATATTCTGGAAAAGCATTTTTGTTTTATGTAAGTGTGTGCTATAGAGAATTACTTAGTATTAATAATATGCTATTTATTTTAATCTTTTTCTTTATGGTTAGTTGCTTTTGTGTGTCTCCAGAAATCATCTATATTGGGGTTATGAAGACAGTCTTCTATGTTACTCTCTAAATGCTTTATTGTTTTACATTTCACTTGAAGTCTATTATCCCTCTTGGGTAGGTTTTTGCCTTTAGTGAGAGATCGAATTCAAGATTCACTTACCATATACATATCCAATTGATCTAATACCCGTTACTGAAAACAACACTTTTGCCCTCTGCACAACAGTGTGTTTTTGCCATAGATCTGTGGGCAATATATATTTAGGTCTGTTTCTGGACTCTACATTCGACTTGGCTCATGCCACGAATAAGATATTCCTTTACTTACTTTTATAATAAATCTTGATATCTAATCTTTTTCTTCTTCTTCAACTGTGATATTCTTTAAGATTGTCTTAGCTATTCTTGAATCTTTGCATTTTCATGTAAATTTAAGAATCAGCCTGTCGAGCTTCACATAAGAAATGCTGCTGGCATTTTGGTTGGAAGCACACTAAGCTTCTAGGGCAATTCAAGGAAAATTGACAAACTTATACAATTGAGTCTTCCAGCAAGAGAACATGTCACATTCCTCCATTACTTAGTTTTTCTATTTTTTTCTCAGTAATGTTTTATAGTTTTCTTTATATTTGTTTCACTTATTTCAAGTTATTTGATAGCTTTAATACCATTGTAATGGCATCTTTCTTGAATTTCATTTCCTAACTGCTTTCTCCTGTTAAATAGAAATGCCAAGACCTTGCTAAAATTACTTATCAATTCTGATAACTTATTTGCATATGCTTTTGGATATTATGCCTAGCAATCATGTCATTTGTAAATAGTGACAGTTTTCTTTCTTTTCAATCCATATCCTTTTTATTTTTTCATGGCATTATTGCACCTGCTAGTATATCTAATATAATGCTGAGGAGAAACTGATAGCAGACATTCTTATCTCATTACTAATCTCAGGAGGAAGCTTTCAATATTTCACCATCAAGTTGAATTTTGGAAGAGAGCCTTTATCAGAAAAGCAAGTTCCCTTCCATTCCTAGTTTCCTAAGAGCTTCTTTTTTTTTTTTATCATGAACAGTTGCAAAATTTGTCAAATGCTTTTTCAATATAAATTGAGATGATTATATAATATGTCCCCTTTATTATATGAATGTAATAGTTATGTTGTTTGATTTTCTAATATTAAAACATTCTTGAATTTCCAGAATAAACCCTGCATGACCATGATTTATTATTCTTCATATAAATATATTTCTGAATTGAGATTTCTTACCTTTTCTTTATTAGAGCTGTATCTATCTACATGAGAGATATTACCCTGTAATTTTCTTTTCTTGTAGTATCCTTGTCAAATCTGACATCAAAGTTATGCTGGACTCATAAAATGGTTAAGATATGTCTCTTTTTTTAGTTTTTGAAAGAGCTTATTTAAGATTGGCAGTTTGTTTTTCTAAAATTTTAAAATAATTTACCAGTGAAGTCATTTGGGTCCAGAGTTTTGTTTGCAGAAAGTTTAAAATAATTAATTTTTAGCAGTATGTAACAGTTCAGATTTTCTATTTTTTAATG
Source organism: Homo sapiens (assembly GCF_000001405.40). Lineage (NCBI taxonomy): Eukaryota > Metazoa > Chordata > Mammalia > Primates > Hominidae > Homo > Homo sapiens. The sequence goes on from NC_000011.10 coordinate 112,850,954, forward strand.
TCAGTTTTGGTAAATTGTGCTTTTTTTCTAGGAATTTGTCCATTTCATCTAGGTTTTTAAATTTTTTAGTTAAAGTCATTCATAACCTCGTCTTATTGTCTTTGTAATATCTATAGGGTTTGTTGTGATTACTCCTTTTTTATTTCTGATATAGGTTATTTGTTCTTCTCCTACTTTCCTGATCAGTCCAGCTAGAGTTTTATAAATTTTCTTAGGCTTTTCAAAAACCCAAAGTTTGGCTTTATTTATTTTTTATTGTACATTTGTTTTCTATCTATTGATTTCTGCTTTTTATTTTTTCCCTTTAACTTTCCTTGAGATTAATTATTGTTCTTTTTTTGAGGTTTCTGAAAGGGATACTTAAGTAATTGACATTCAGCCTTTCTTTGCTACTACATGTATTTAACATTATAAAGTTATCTCTTCAGATTTCTAACACTTAATGTCCTGGCTGCCTTGAGTGGTTGGTCTCTTATACTCCACATAGCCATTTTATAATTTTATCCAGGTTTATACTTCTTACTGGGAGTGTTAGCCTAATACATAATAATTCATCAGAACCAAAAGAATATCATGGATTTTTAAAAAACATAGTCATAATGGGAAGGAACTGAAATGTTTTAGGTAGTAGATGTTCTAATACTGTTTTTAACTTAATAGACTTTATTCTACAAAGTATGACCACTGGAGACTTTTAGCAAAATGATCACATCTGCATTTAAGGATGCTGATTATTAGTATAATGAACATTTATTGAGTAACTACTATGTTAGGAGGCAGGATAGCAGAGTAATTAGGTATAGACTAGGTATAGTGGAATCAAACTGCCTGGAGTTTAACACTAGCTCTGATACTTACTAGCTATGTAACCTTGGACAAATTATTTGAATTTTTTGAGCTTTCTAATTTGTAAAATAAGAATAATAATAATAGCTACTTCATAAGGTTATTGTGGGAGAGTGAATAAGATAATATCTACCACATCTTGGATAATGCCTAGAATATAGTAATAATAGCTAGCACTTACTGATTTCTTAATTATTATTCATTGTATTCAAGAGAGAAAATGGGATTCAGAGAGGTAAAGTAACTTGGCCAAGGTCATGCAGCTTATAAATGATAGTGCTAGGATTTGAATACAGGTCTAGATGTTTCTAAATCCAATGGCTTAGTGTGAATTAATGTAAGATAAGTTGGTGGAAGAGAAAACCTAGCAGGTTGGCTCCTGCAATACTCCAAGAATAAAGCCACAGGGACTTCAATTTGAGTAGTGACAGTGCAAAAAGGAAAGGAAGAAAAAGATCTGAGAAATGACAAAGGACGCACGGGACTTGATGACTAATTTTGGGATGGGAGGATGGAAAAGGAGAGTGAGGAGTCAGAACTGAATCATAGTGTTAAGCCTGAGTGACTAGAAGGTTGATGAAACAATAGACAGAAATAGGAGATCCGAGAGGGGGAGTGAGTTTTGGAGGGAGGTGTTATGCTCAGTTTTAGCCATTTAGAGATGAAGTCGTCAGTTACAGATGCAAAATTGGAGGTCTCGATGGAGGGCAGGGCTGTAGAGATCATCCCTGGAGAAGAGGCAGTTAAGGCTTTAACAGTAGATATGATCCCCAAGTGAGAGAATGAAGGGACAGGAATGAGCCCCAAGGATGGAACTTTGGGACTGAGCCAATGTTTATTTATAGATGTTCTGGAAGAGAATAAATAGCCATGTAGATAAAGGAACTGGTGGATGTAATCTACTCAGACTTTCAATAAGCCTTTTGGAAAGATTCCATTTCAAACACTATAAGAAATCAGGGCATGATGAGTACAGGAGGAAAGTGGTTTTGTCAGGAGCAAGGAATGGGCTCAGAAACAGAAATAAAGGATAAGGATAAATGGATGGCCACTCCTCCAGGGAGATAAGTATAAAGGATCAGTGCTAGGTCTTTACCTATGATCTTGATAAGGGCATTTCCAATAAAAGCTCCATGTTTGCAGTTGACATTAAATTATTTCCAGGAGTAAAGTACCAAGCCGAAGAGATTAGACTACAGGGAAACCTTAGAAATCTGTGTGGATTGGCAAAACCCAACAGTCTTGCTGGGTTCTCAACTCCTTCAGTCTCCCTCTCCCTATAACCGAGGCCTGAACCGTCATCTCAGTCCTGCTTTTAGGACCAATTACGTCTGTAATCTGAGGAGATTTAAGGAGTTCTAGTTCAACCTCCCGGGCCTCAGTATCAAGTCAGCCCTCTTTGTGAGATCCAATGGCCATCCTGGGCCCCAACTCTGGTATCTGTGTTAGCAATTGCTTATTAAGCAGCCTGGTGTGTTGGGTGCCACATAAGTGCTAGTATAGTCTCAGTACTCAAGGAGTTCACAGTTGAGAGTCCTTGCCTTTATTAGCTTCTGGAACAAAATTCCTCACAGGGCAAGGAAACTACCTTGCTCTTTCTAGTTGTAGAGATAGTTAGTGCTTATATATTATACACACACACACACACACACACACACACACACACACACACACATATATATATATATATATATATATATATATATATATGGATGCTCCTTTACATCTGCCAGCCTCTCTCTTGATGAGTTGGGGCCTCGTTATTAGCTTTCACAAATACACTGTGAGCTGAAGGAAAGGTTTTCTCTTCTGAGTCAAGACCGTTAAGAATGTGCGCCATCTCCTAATTCCTCTGCAAGCTTCGAAAAGGGTCGTCCCACCTTCACTGGACTCCCTGATAGAGAAATAAACCTTCATTGTGTTTAAGCTACTGAGTATGGGAGCTTTTGACTGTCCCATAGCCAAGCCCAGTCTTTCTATGCCAACTAACACACTATTCTTCCCCAGGAGCTGCAGTCCTGTCCCAAAAGTCCAGCTTACTGATTGGGCCACTGCCACCTGAAGTTGTCTTCAAATATCACCTTTTCTGAGGGCTACCATCTCTCTCGCTTCTATTTAGGAAATCCTCTCAAGGTCTTCTGGATTTATTGGCTGTGCAGGCTTCCCTAAACTGGATACTGGATCCCACCAAGCAGCCTTGTCCAATGGAAATTTCTGCAATGATGGAAAAAACCTATATCTGCACTATATAATATAGTAGCCACATGTGGTTATTGAGGATTTGAAAAGTGGCCAGTGGAAATGAAAAATTGAATGTCTAATTTAACTTAATTTTAATTAGCTTAAATTTAAGTAGCCACTTGTGTCTACCATGGACCTACCTGTGGGTAGCACAGCAAAAGTATCCCCAGAGCAGTGCCCACCGCAGGGCTCCACTGTGCTTTCCCTTAATGTGCTCTGACACATTCTTGCTGATGGCTAATGCTTCCAAGTGCAACCAACTCATGAGAGTGGTTAAAAAAAAGTGATGGGTCTGTTTTAAGATAGGCAATGTTTAGGAATCAAAATTCTAGACATTTAAATAAATGGAAGGATTTGGAGCCAATCCCGCGAAGCAACTTATATTCATCGAAGATTATTTCTGAGCTCAATGTCTGCTTGCTATAGCCTGAAGGATTAGCAAAATAGCGGGTACCTGAAACCATACAAAGAATTAGTGTTCCCTTAAACTTAAAAATTGTGTGATAATTCAGATTTTTTTTTCTTTTTAAGGGAGAAAACACAAGTTATGTGATAATTCAGATTTTTTTTTCTTTTTAAGGGAGAAAACACAAGGAAGGGGAGAAGTTCTACTAAAAAGAAACCTGGAGGGAGGAGGAAAAAACTGCCACTTGAGGAAAAACTTAAACATTTCAAAATTCCTACAACCTAAATCCATATAGAAAGAAAAAAAAACCCTAAATGAAGTTACCATAATATTCCTTTACCAAATTCTGAAATAAGACACCGAAAGGAGCGAATAAAACTCTAGTGTGTGGTTTTCAGAGGTGGAAAGGAGCCATGCTGGGGGACATGGACCCACACAAGCTAGTTTTTAAAGGGGCTTAATATACAGACACAGTCCATTTAATTGACATACAAAGATAGGGCACAAGGCTTTGCAAGAAATCAAGGGACCAAAACTGGAATCTCAGGTGTTGAAACTGTTTTATCCCACAGGGCAGAATGTTCTCTTTCCCATTTGCTCCGCTCTGTCCTGCTCTCTGCTTTCAGACTTACTTTTTCTTTGTATACTACATGGTTTTCCCACAACATAGACTTATGTTTTCTGACCTTGGCTTTGACTTCCAACTCAATTCAATGCTTTTCATGTTCGCTTCATCATCTGAGTCAGTGTCTCAGTATCCAAGTCCCACATTTCTGGGAAGAGACTCTGATTGACTCAACTGGAGTGAAGTGTCCCTTTCTGTTCCCATCAGTTTTGGTCAAGGTCAGCAGTGTCTCAAGGCACAGAGAGCTGCTCCAAAGAGTTATGGGTTGGCTGCTTCTCTAGGAAGAGTGTTCAGTGAGAAGGTAATACATCTACCTTCCCCTTACTTTACACAGGAAGAAACCAAAGCCAAGGGAGTTTCAGTGGTTTACCTAAGGTCTTAATTCCTGTGACTTTTCCCACAAGATACTCTTTGATACTCGTGTAATAATAACAAGAATTATCACCTATTGAGAACTTACAATGTGCCATCTCTGCTTTTAGAGGTGCTTACAAATATTATCACATAGGATACTCATATACATTTTAGGAGTATATATTTTAGGACTTAGGTATCCTTATTCTCATATACATTTTAGGAATTAGGTATCCTTATTCTCTCCCTTTTGCTTATAAGGAAACTGAAGTTCAATGAAGTAAAGTAATTAGACCAAAGTCAAATATCTAGTGTGTAGGAGAGCCAGGTTTCAACTATAATATTTCTAAATCTTAACTACTATGTGAGATTCCTTCCTACTTCACATAATGGGTAATAATTTATGGAATTTATCATCTCAGAAGATGATAGCAGAAAATATGAATGTGTTTGGATAACTGTTGAATTACAGAACAGCTAACAGACTAGGACTACCAAGGGGCTCCACATAAGGTGAAAGACCCTGTCCATCATCGATTTTCAATGTTCAGCAAAGCACATATAAGGATAAAATGCATATTTCTTAATGGGGGGAAAAAGGAAGAAAGATGGTTACCAGGGAGGATAGCTACGCCTTCTAACAATATGTTCCTTAAGTTGTCTGTTACCAGCAGATAGATTTCTAGGCTGGGGAAAACCTGTCTAGAAATGCTAAGTTTCCTTTTGGGGGAAACTCGATATGCAGTTGGGGAAATGGAAAAATAAGCAACTACCATCAAACACTGTGGAAGTGCAGTACTGGAGACGTGCTCCAGGTATTCAGAAAAGTTCATCCAGCCAATGGCATGGTGGGATGAGGCTTCACGCTCCAGGTAGGAGGATCAGTGTGGGAAAAGGTGGAGGCACAGGCAGTGGCAGAGGGTATGTGGAAAGTGGAACAGGGGTGGCTGCAAGCAGTTCCATGTCACTGAGAATGACGGTTAGAGGAGGCCAGGGTGGGAGGTGTGTGTTAAGGGGTTGGCAGGGGGAGAACACACAGGGCCCTTTACAACATGTTAAACAGATTGGATTTTATCCAAGTGATTAAAGCAGGAGAATAACAGGGTTAGTTTCATGTTTTAAAAATAGATCTTCCTGCTCTGAGGAGGATTGATTTGAGGAGGAAAGACCTAGGGGTAGGGAGAACCTATTGGGAATCCAGGCAAGAAATGATGAGGGTCCAAACTGGGGCAGAAGTTCCAGGGAGGAATGGAAGGAAGAATTTTGAGAAATTCTTAATAGGTACATTGGCAGGACTAGTAACTGATAACAAATAGAGGCAAGGGAAAGAGGTGAAAGGATGTGGGAGCTTCTGACTCAGAGCCTGCATAGATGGGAGAGCCAGTCACTGAGAGAGGAAAGCAAGGAGGGGCACGTTTGGGAGAGAAAATGTGAAGTCCTTACTTGAAGTGTTGGGGAGCCTAGGAGGCTGGCAGGAGAAGATGTCTAGAAGGAAGTTCAGGAGAGAGGCTTGGCTCGAGGATGCTGATCTGGGGGTTACCTGTTAGAGTTTGAGCAGGTGAGATTACCATTCAAGAGCATATAAAGTGAGGACCCAGGACTGAACTTTAGAGAGGAGGCTGGGAAAAGGATCAAAAGGAGACAGACGCAGAACAACCAAGGAATAAAAGGCTAATAAGCAAAGAGGTGCGAAGAGCAGAGTTTCACCAAGGCTAGAGAGACCAACCAGCCAAGTGCAGTAGAAAGACCCAGTGAGGTAAGAACTAAGTCATTCATTAAACTTGGCAATTAGCAAGTCATTGGTAATCATATTGACTCTAGTATCCATGAATTAGTGAATCATGGGCAGGCTTCATTGGATTAAGAAGGTAGTGGAGGTCTTTAAAGTCAAAGGAAGGGAAGACTACCCTCACCCAGATTAACATTATGGCTATGACATCCAGATGTCCAAGAGGAGCCAAGTAGAAAGTGGTTAGTTAGAAATGATAAATATAAAAGTACCAGTGGTTCTGCAGAGAGCACTTTCTCTAGAGCAGTGAAACAGAAATCAGATAACAAGTGGGAAAAGTTTGCTAGTGGTGAGGACATAGAGGCTTAGTGAGTTGACTGGTAATTTGAGATAGAAAAGCATAAGAAAGAATGAAAGACAAAGGAAAAGCAGGGTCAAGGCAGAGGTCTTTTGTTTGCATGTATGAGTTTTTGTTTTGCTTTACCTTCCAGTAGGCATAACCTGAATATCTTGGCAGACATACAGGAAGGAAAAAGTGGAGACAGCAAATATTGCAGGGAGAGTGTCTGATGAAACCATCTCAGAAGCAACAAGAGAAGGAATGGTAAGCACAGCTAAGGATGTTTAGCCATGAAAGTTAGAAGAACTACTCTTTTTAGACAAGATAAAAGCATGAAAATAGAGATGGGAATGCATAAAAATGGAAGAGAAGAGCCTAGACATGGTGGCCTCAGCCTTCTTAGTAAAGAAGGAGGTGAAGTCACCTCTACTTTGGGGCAGGTATGTGAGCTTGGAGACTTGAAGTTGGCAATGATGTCAAGAGGGATGTGTGAGGGAGCCCTCGCAAGGTGAGGCAAAGCATCTGCTAAGCCAGAGGGGAGACTCACTTGAAATTAGACTGCAGTTAGTAATAGCATCAAAGGCTACGGAAAAGTCAACTCAAACAAGCAAATAAGACTTAGCGATCAAGAGAGACTGATCAAAATTCCTACACAAGATTGCAGGTACAAACAAATGGACAAAAAGTAAAAGGCCCATTTACAGATAACATGAAGAGCTTAATGCTGTCACAGACATTTGACCCTCTTCCTTCCCTGCCCCTCCACCAAAAAGCTCTATGTTGGTGATTGCACGTCATTTTAGGGAAGGGGTTGTGGGGATAAAGGGAGTCAAGGTTTCTGAACTTCAGACAACACAGATCAACTTTGGTAGTCACTCTCTGCTCCAAAGCTGAAAATGGCTGCATTGGCGGCTTTAGCCTGCCTGCCCGCCCTAAAACTGCCAATTCAATTCATTAAACATTATTAGGCACCTTCAAGGTGTCAGCCCTAAGCTCATTAGGGATGGTGGGGAAAACACAACAAATGAGATGCTCTCCTTTGCTTTACGGTTTGGTGCAAGGACTTATAATCCAGTGCTCAGCCTCCTCCCAGAGGGGTCTCCGGAGCCCATTTTTAGTTACATCTACAGCCAGCCAATAAACACTAAACCTTCCCCAGACAGCATCAGGGACATGGGAGGGGCTTTTCTTCCTCTAGAACTGCCTCATAAGACCAGCCCACATAATAATAGTCTTTCATTTTACTGACTGCTTAAAATATCAGAAGACACATCTATGAAGTGGATGAATCTGCTAATAATAAAGAAATACCCATGGCAGGCAGAGAGGCTGCCAAAAATAAATCAGTGAGTACAACCCACAGAGCTAGTTATGGTGAAGACTCTGAACCTCATAGCTATCTCTCTCTGGAAGCCTCTATGTGCCTCGTGTACAGGCAAATAGGTTTCCAAGTGTTCTTACCACACAAACCATCTATGTCATTAGTTTTTCTTGTTACCCCAAAGTTTCCACAATTATCTCACACAAGAGTGAATCAGATAGAAAAGAACATGCAGAAATATATGCATATTTGTCAGGATTGATAGTTAATTACCATGATAGCTTATGTTCAAAATGCTTACTGAAGAGTGAGTATTTCCATGCTAACTCTGGAGGACTGGCTGCATCTTGGCCCCAGGTTTGCCTTCTCTAGCACATCCAAATAATAGCTACAAGCCATTCATTCCACCTTCTCGGTCTAAATCCTGCCCTTCCTCCAGAACTCACCTGTACCATGAAGTCTCCAATTACTTGAGTCTAGCTCACATCAATTCTGTCTGCCAACCTGGTGTAACATATATACAATTAGTATCTAATTGTGTGATGTTTTCTTTATTTCATTTACCTGAATTTTAGGTCTCTAAACCAACTCAACTTCTGAAAGGCAAAAATTATTTCTTCCCCCCCCCGCAATGGGTTATGACTTAATGCTTCTCTTTGTCACTCATTCACTTGAACATCAATTATTCTGGGTACTGGGATACAATGGTGAACCAAAAAAATCCTGCCCTCATGGAATTTAATGTGAGGGAAAGGCAAGGAAATAAACCATTCTTAATGAAATACATTAGGTATCAAGGTAAGGAAGTGCTGGGTGCTCTGGGAGCATTGATGACTGGCACCCAATCCAGTCTTAGTTTGTGTGGTCAACAGGGGGTAGTGATGGTGGGACCTCATGTAGGATGTGGTGTCTGGGCTGAGTCCTAGGAGGGGAATAGGAATCATCCAATGACTGTGGTAGTGGGTGAGGGCAGGGGAGCCCCATGGGAAGGAGAATTTTTAGTGTTCAAAAATCCTCAAGTTGGTCCATTCTGGGAGACATATGTGATTTTGTGCAGGGAAAAAGTGAAAAGGAGAGGGACAGAAAAGGCTTTGAGGAGCTGACAGTCTGATCCGAGAGATGAGACAGACCAGAATACAAGAAACATGATATGAGCAGACTGGACAGGCATCTAACCTAGTTTGAGGAGTGGAGGGTTAGGGAAGGTTTCTCCAGGAGATAATATCTCAGCTGAAACAGCAAGGTTGGGTAGTGTTTAACCAGGAAAGAAGACAAGGAAGGGCATTCCAGGCAGAGAGGGCTGCGCGGTCAAGATCCTGGAGAGTCTGTGAGCTGCAAGGGATATAGCATTATCAGGATATTTTTTTCTTTTAGTCCCTCCTGATATATTTAAATCTTTGGCCTTTCTCTGGCTTTGTTAACCTCAGCTCCACAGCCAAACCACTTCAATGTCTTCCTACTGGAGAGAGGAAGAGAAACCAGGAGAATGGTAAATAAAGAAAAATCTCCCTGGGAGGTGTGTTGGACCCCGGGAGTTGGGAGGAATTCTAGTGAGGGGAGGTTACGCGTTGGCTACAGAATTTTGCTCTCAGAGCAATTAGCAATTAGCAGCAATTAACCCCTTTAAACCCTCACCTTTATACTATGAGCTTCTTGAGGGAAAGGGCCATGATTTTTATTTTTTATGCTCAGTGCCTAACATATCACCTTGTATTACGTTATATAGGCAGCTAATAAGTGTTGAATGATTGACTGAACTCCTGGTTCCTATAAGATTCTGTCTCTTGCTGAGTATTAGCCAGGATGCCTCTTATCCGAACAACAACAATAACAACAACAACAGCAACAACAAAAACCTTAAGAGATCTATTCACCAAGTAATGCTTGCTTCTTTCAGTCTAACCAGGCTTCTTGGTAAGTCACAGGTGGGTACCAAATGATCAATCTTCTTTCTAATATGTTTTACCAACTCAGATTACCTGGGACAGGTAAAACACAGATAATGATTATTTATATGTCCTCATATTTTTTACTTTCACTAGTATCTATTGATATTCCTTTTTTTCCCTTCTGGTAACTTGGAAGCGATATACTTTTAATTTTTAGTGATTAACTACCTTTTTTTTAACAAGCATGTTTATTTATACATTTTAAAACATATCTAAGTTATTTAATATTTCTACTCTCTTTCCAAACATATCTAGGAGAGTAAAATATGTAACAACTTACTAAACACACTGCTTCTTGCATCTTGTTATTGTCATCTAGAGCAGTGCTGGACAAAGCACAATCCTCCAGCCAAATCTGGCTGACAGTCTGTTTTTGTAAATAAAGTTGTATTGAAACACAGCCACATCTACTGATTTATGTATTGTCAATGGTTGCTTTCACTCTACAATGGCAGAGTTAAGCAGTTGTGACAGAAACTACATGACCAAAAGCCTAACATATTTATTGTCTGGCCCTCGACAGAAAGAAGTCACAGATTTTGGTCTATATATTTGATTTTACCCTTTTTCCGGTACAAAACAGAGTGTTTTGTTTTAAAATAGTTAATGGTTAATTAGATTAACTGCCATACTATTTTTTTCTGTGCTTACTATATTTTCTAGTATTCTAGATCTTCTCTCTGGATTCTTCTCCTTTTTTCCTTAATAATTTCTGTATTATTACAGAAATAATGGTTGGTATATTCTTTTAGCTTTTGCTTAAAGAATGATAGTTTAGCTGGATATAAAATTTTAAGTTGATGGTCAATTTGCCTTAGCACTTTGAAGATATTATTCCATTGTTTTTCTTTCTCTGTAATTAGTAATGAGATAACTGTTGTTAGTTTAATTTTGTTCCTTGTTGAATAGAATCCTATTTTCCAATAGCCTTATTATTTTTCTTCATCTTTCATGTTCTATATTTAACTATAATTTAACTTAAATTGATAAGTGTGTGTTTATCTTTATTCTGTTGAGGTTAAAATTTAATTTTATCTAAGTGTGTGTTTATCTTTATTCTGCTCAGTACTCAAAATGCATTTTCAATTGGAGGATTCATGTCTTTCTTTAATTCTGAGGGGAATAAATCTCAGCTATTTTTTCTTCAAGTATTCCTTCTCTACCGTTTTCTCCATTCTTCATTTATAAGATTCTTAAGTTCTTTTTCATAGCCTTCCCTTCTTTTTCCACAGCCTTCCCTTCTTTATCCACTTCTGTCTATTTTATTTCATAACATTTGTTCATTTTTAATAAATGTTACTTCTTTTATCTGTGAAGATCCTAAGCATATTTCTTTTTAAAGCTTTGTTAGACAGATCCATGTAATTAGTTTAATTTGGAGTTAATTCATGTTCTGATTGCTTATTTTGTTGGTTATTTTTCTTATTATTAGAATCATTCACATATTTTAAAATTTTACTTTCCAGGGATCATTTTTTAGTGGGAAGTTTCTGTTTTGTTTTGTGTCTTACTTTTCTCCTTTGCTATCTAGCAGTTTACTGTTTTCCCCAACTTTATCTCCTGGGACCCAAGTACAGAACCAGGGTTGAATAATAATATTGCTAGCTCTGTAGTGATACTGAGGATATTGCAGATCCAGACATGAAGTCAGTGGGTGGCATGATGCTGAGCCTGCTTACAAGGCTATGTCCATTTTCTTCCAGCTCCTCAGTCCACAGCTTCCTATTAAATGTGCTCCTAGAGCAGTAGCATCAGCTCCCTGGAAACTAGTTGGAAATGCAAATATTTATTCTGGACCTACTGAATCATACACTCTGGAGATAGGGTCCAGCAATTTGTATCTTAACAGAATCACCTCCTGGTGATTCTGATGCACGCTCAGATTTGATAGGCACTGCAACCATCCCCCAAGCAACTAACCAGTGGTTGCTTTTTCAGCCTCTTTGCATTAAGGGGGACAATCACCCAAGTCAGCCCCATAATTCAAATAGTGAAACTCATCTGGTTCCCCATCTCATTAGTGTCAGCTTCCAGCCCCAGAATCAGCAACCTCCTTGTGTTTTCTTCTGGTTCTGGTCCACAGAAATGTTTATCTTGTTTCTGAGCCAACTGGCTTCTTGTTGGCTTCCTCTTTTCATATATTTGTAATTTCTGTAGTTAAGGTAAAAGGCGTATACTGAATCTTGAAGTGACAGAGACATCCTTAAAGAAGTCCACAAGCATAATCCACACTCATCTCTTGGGTTCTTTAGCCACAATATTACTATATTCATTGTATGCCATCTGATTGAATAACCAAAATATTAACCACCTTCATATACCACATACATTTCACTATGCTTTGTGACCTAGGATAAGCAGCTTGACCCTTATGAACCTGAGCTAATTCATTTGTAAAAGGACAACAATGATAACTACATGAAAGCTTTAATGTGAGCATTAAATCCAGTAATATATGTGAAATAACCTAGCATAGTGTCTGGCTCGTATATTGGTTCTCAAGGGTTGTTAATCTCCTCCCTTTCTGAATCTAGAACTTGCATTAAGTTAAATTTAACATTGTTAAGATTTAGACAACCCAGTTTCCAGCTCACTTACCAATTTACTTCTTATCCAAACTCCTTTCATCACAATTCCAGTTCACCAGAACATGATGATATTCTAAAACAGAAATGTTAAGAGGCTCCTCCCCAGCTATAAATAGTGGGGGCCCATCCCCATCCCTCCAGTGGCTGAAGGATTGGGGTGGTTAGCAATACCACTCTACACAGCCTCAGAAGTGATGAATGCTAACAGCTGGGGTCTCGAAATAGAAATTGGCTCCATGTGAATCCCCCAGATTAGGCAAAGAATAGCAATAACAATAATAACAGTCATAATATGGATAATAATAATAAAGTTAATGTGTGCCAGGCACTGTTCTAAGCACTTTTGTTATTTCATTTTTCACAAGAGCCTGTACAGTAGATACTATTATTATCCCCATTTTATAGATAAGGAAATCTGTTAGAGAAAAGTTAAATCACTTGTCCAGGGTCACTCAGCTAATGAGTTACAGAGCTGAACTTGAATCAGGCAGTGTGACAAGGCAGTTAATCTACAGGGAATCCAAAGAAAGAGGAATAATATCCCCCTTGGTCACTGATCTGGGTCTAACCCCCTTCATTTTGCAGCTCTGATTATTCACAGCCATCAGATCACATTTTCATTCAGTATCAGAAATTAGATGTTACTCAGACTCTTTTTCCATCAAAAAATTGCAGCATTTCTCCAGGAAACAGGGAAGAACAGTTCCCTCAGGCAAAATCAGTGGCTCCTCAGGACTCTTCCCTGATGGAAATGCATGGCTGTCTTGATGAATGTCTCTCGAAGCCACTGGCTGCCTGTCCGTGCGTATTTTAGACCTCTTTGCTCCTTTCTGTCTGCTGTGGGTCTGTCTCTGCCTAGTCTTCCCTTGGACTGACTCTGTCTGTTTCTGGCAGTCTCCTCTTTTTTCTTTAGCAAAATTGCTTTCACAATGCAGCAACAACTTCCCACCTGCAGTGGAACCACATATTTTGAAAGGAACATGAGTTTACAGACAAAGAATCCTTTACTTTCACCAATTCTTGATTTCTTCCCCCTCAGGCACTTTTGTCACAGACGAATTTTTTGTCCACATTGCTGACAAGGGTGGTCGAGCCTGGCTTACGGCGGTCAGGATTGGGGTGGCAGGAGTACAGACAGAGCTGCACTGGGTGTTAGGGTCACTAGCAACTCTGGGTTCCACACCAGACATTAGTGTTTCCAGCTGGGATAATTTCATCTTGCATTGACTCAAAAATTGCTGTGATTTTGGTCTATAAACAGCTCGGAGAATGGGTTAGGGAAGAAAAAGCAGAGGCCTTTGATTCCAGCATTTAGAGAAGTTTCAGGCTTCCACACCTGGGAGGAGGCAGAAAAATGAAAGGAAGATCACTCTGCACTTGGGCATAAATGAAGGCAGCTGATACCCACTCACTAGCTGTAACATCATCCCCTCCTTTTCCAAAGTGCTAATTCATTAAAACTAATGAGGCCCCTATGCTGCCTAAGCTGAATGCTGATCAGACTCCCGGCATGCACCTGCCGTAGTGCTGGCTCTTAGTCCTCCCATGCCCAAAGTGGGGAGTGACAGAGGCTCTGGGGCCTCTAGGGCAACGCGGAGAACTGGTGTGGACTTGACAGAGCTGGCACTTGATTTGCATACAATGACATGCCGCCTGGTTCATGTTAAAACGCACAGATGGACTTACCCTAATTCTGCAACGGACCTACTTCCCGCCGGGCCCCATTGTCCTGTCTGTTGAGCAGTCGTCTGAGAACACCTTTCCTACACGTGGCACAGGTGCATTTCCAAAAGTCACCCACACTTCCTGCCTGATCACAGGTGGAAGGGAGGAGTGCTGCTAGGGAGGAGTGGACTAGGGAGGTGGCAATTAATGTTTTGTCATCCTCAAAAGAGTGGAATTCCCATTGTGACCCTGTTTGAAAAGAGGGCATGAAGACAGGTGCAAGGTGAGAAAAAGGTAGCAGTGAGATATACCTGATCCTCCTTCGTGTGGTAGCTTATCTCCTTCATCCCGTAAGTGTTTACTGAGCACCTACAATGGGCCAAGAAATGCTCTAGGCACTGCAGAAATGTGTCAAGGGGGACAGCAGTGTCCCTTGTTCTCTCAGAGCTTATTCTCTTGGGTGAGATATACAATTTAAGCAGTAAAATAATATGAAATTAAATAAGTTAGGGACGTATACTGAGAGTGATGGGGGTGGGCAGTGCATGGAGAACAGCATCAGTCTAAATGGTCAGGGAAGCCTTATCTGAGCTGATATTAGAGCCACAACTAGCAGAACGAGAAGGTTAGGTTTGCAGTAAGTGAATACGTAGAGTGGGGGCAAGCCCTCAGGACTGAATACGCCCCTCTTTTTGAGGCAAGGGGAGGGTGGGCAGTTGGTAGGGGTCAGAACATGTAGGTTTCCTAGGCCATAGTAAGGAGATTTTTATTCTTCATTCGCCACATCTGCAAGGGTGAAATCTTACAGCACATGGGACATGCATTCTAAATTCTCTTAGGACATCCTCCAGGGTGTTGCCTAATATGTTCTACTGTGGATAAAGTCAGGCCTTCCTGGTCTGTCCGCTTTTACTCCCCTCAGAGTTGGTACAGCTTCGATCCAGACGTAGACCCTAAAATGCCAGGAGAGTACAGTCCCCTCAAATCCTGGGGACCATTAATAGCAACATCCGCCACCACTGGCTTCCAGTGTGGAAGAAAGGAAGTCTCTGCTTGGCAGCCAGTTACCCTGACAAACTTCTCTATTTTGAGACAAGGATCTCCAGCTCCTTTCACCAGAATTTTGAAACAGATCTTGCAGACAGAGGACCAAGGTTTCACTCACCAAAGGTTAAAAGGGGACCTAGGAGCCTCCAAAGATGCCGGGCATGTCCCTGAATTTGCCTCCTGTCAGGTCAGCAGACAACAAACAAGAAAATCATGAGGTTTGGTCCCTTTGGCTTTGGTCACAGCCTGTCCCCTCATCCCTCTTCCTTCCACTTCTCCTAAGAGTCTGGCTTCTTCTGTATCTGCTCCACCTCCTTCAATCAGCTCCCAAAGGTTTTTGATTCTGTATCCATAACAACGTTGGTGTCTGTCTTATTTTTTTTCATGTCAGTTACAACTATCCAAGTTCAGGCTCTAGTTGATTGTCTCCTGACTAGTTTTTTTTCACACTTACAATTGTTCTCTGCCTCCAGCCATAAACCCTTCACACTTGTGCTCCTTGGTGGAACTTCCTCCAATACAGATCTAATCATGTTACCTGCCCACTTAGGAAACCATGGAAGATTCCTCAATGTCTATGTTAAAGGATAAAAATCAAGATTCCTTGGCGCCAGGTTTTTTTATTTTATTATTTTATTATTTTGGGGATGGTATCTCATTCTGTCACCCAGGCTGGAGTGCAACTGCATGATCACAGCTCACTGCAGCCTCCAACTCCTGAGATCACACATTCCTCCTCCCTCAGCCTCCTCAGTAGCTGAGACTGCAGGTGCAACCCACCACACCTGGCTAATTTTTGTGTTTTTTTTTTTTTTTTGTATAGCTGGGGACTCGCTATGTTGCCCAGGCTGGTCTTAAATCCTTGGGTTCATGCAATCCTCACCTATCAGCCTCCCAAAGCACTAGGATTATAGGTGTGAGCCAACACACCCAGCCCTGGTTTTTAAATCTGATCCACCTCTCATTTCTAGTTTTACTGA
This sequence comes from Homo sapiens, assembly GCF_000001405.40. Taxonomy (NCBI): domain Eukaryota; kingdom Metazoa; phylum Chordata; class Mammalia; order Primates; family Hominidae; genus Homo; species Homo sapiens. The sequence goes on from NC_000011.10 coordinate 112,867,045, forward strand.
TCCCCACCCTCACACCCAATCCTTGCTACAGCCATCTATAATATTCCTACTCATTCCTTAAGTTCTAGCTAGAGTACGAGGTCCTCCATGTTTTGAGTACTCTGGAAGTAGAATTGGTCTCAGCGATGTGCACGTCCCTAGCGCATAATGTGGTGACTGGGAGCTGCAGCTCTGGATTAGACCCAGCTCCCCATGAACTTGCTGTGTGACCATGAGCAAATAATTAAACCTCTATGACTCAGTGTTTCCTTTTCTATAAAATGGGATGATAATTTCATCCTCATAGAATGATAGTTAAGCATTAAATAAAATACTCCATATAAAGAAGAATGCCTTGCACATAATATGCGTTTAATAAAAATCTGTCAGTCAACAAATATTTATTCAGTGCCTACAGTTTTCTAGCACAGAGTTGTATAAGACAGGCAGCATCTCTCATGGAACTTACAATAAACGTGTGAACAAATAAATCAATTAGATAAGTTTAGGTACTGACGAGAAAGGATAAAATAAAGATCTATGGTAGATAGTGCCTTTAGCTATGGGATTTGAGAAAGGCTACACTGTGGAATAACATTTTAGTTAGTTTTATTACCTCTATCATAGTGCTTAATATAGTCAACCTATGTTGATTCTGTTTAATTGGCCACAAATCGATTTCCCAAAAGACAATGCATTGATGTGGACAAATTGACTGCCTCTTCTTATATTAGAGGTTGTGGCAGAGAGTTCCAGTCACTCACCTCATATCTGTTCTTCTGCCCTCAACTGTATTAACAGAGCCCAGGTTTTATTTGGGGTGTCAGAGGGGCACATTTCCCAGCTTGCCTTGTAGATAGGAAAGTCCGTGTAATATTATTTTTGCCAATATGTAGGAGGAAGTTCTAGTGTAAGACCTCCAGGAGAGCTCCCTAAAAGAGGAGGGGTAGATACAGCTGCCGTGTGCTTTTGCCCTTTGCTTTTCCCTGTTTCCAGGCTAGGAGACAGATGTAATGCTGGAGGTACAACGGCCATCTTGGGTCCACAAGGCAACAACATTATCCTATTCCGAATGAAAACACAGAAGGATTCTGGGTTTCTGAAGACATCCTGGAGTCACCATACTAGCCCTGGACTCACCCCTTATTTCAGAATAAAAATTAAAACCCTAATTTGTCATTGAAAGCAATTCCAAATACAAAGGTATTTTTGCATCAATCGATTCTTTCCACTTACCTAGGCCTGCCCAAGGAGCAGGTCATACTACACTTTGGTTATTTTTGTAGGCCTCACTTTGCTTTGCATGATTCTTTCCCCGTAGCGTATGTTTAAGAAATGCTTGCTTATTTATTTTTGTTGTGGTTGTTGTTGTTGTTGTTGAGACAGAGCCTCACTCTGTCAGGCTGGAGTGCACTGGCACGATCTCAGCTCACTGCAACTTCTGCCTCCCAGGTTCAAGTGATTCTCCTGTCTCAGCCTCCTGAACAGCTGGGACTACAGGTACCCACCACCGCACCTGGCTAATTTTTGTATTTTTAGTAGAGACGGGGTTTAGCCATGTTGGCCAGGCTGATCTCGAACTCCTGGCTTCAAGTGATCTGCTTGCCTCAACCTCCCAAAGTGCTGGGATTACAGGTGTGAGCCACTATGCCTGACCTGTTGGTTGAATTTTAATGACAGGTACTTATGCTCAGATTTTTCATAAAATTTTCATAAAGTCTGGACCTCTTTCATTATCTTTCACTCTCAGGATTGTGGCCTGATGTTCTCGTGTCAGGGATAAGGGATTACTAATACCCTTTCTGGCTGAAAACCCCCGTTCCATGTAGATGCCCTTCTCTCCACGGTCACTGGAACCCCAAGTTTATTGTTTATGCTCCTGCAGCATGATCAGAATATTTGGACCTCTTTCCTCCTGTGGCCTCAGATGAAAGTGAGCCCTGTGCCAGCTTCCCTCCTCAATCTCGCCATCTGTATTCCTCATGCAGTATTATACACATATATACATTCAGTAATACACATGAGCTCCCTGGAGGTACAGAGGTTCACATGCTGCCCCTGGCAGGATGACCTGGATTCCACTCCTGGCTCTGGATCTTAGATATTTTGTGACCTTGAGAAAGTTTACTTTCCCTCCCTGTCCCTGAATATTCCCATCTCTCACAAAGATAATGATTCCTTCTTATGCCACACCAGCTTGATGTGTGGGTTAAATAAACTTATCTTATTTTCAAAAGCCTTGGGTGTAAAATACTCAATAGTAAAAACAAACAAAACACTTAATAGTCGTGATACTCAGTGAGAGGATGCTAAGTGTTCCCACCACAAAAATAATAACTATGTGACATAATGAATTTGTAAATTAGCTAGACTGAACCATGCCACAATGTTGCTTTACATCAAAACATGGTATACATGATAACTACATGCAACATTATATCTGTCAGTTTAAAAACAAATAAATAAACGTAGCTTTGATTAATATAAGAAAAAAGTGATGCTCAACAGTTCATGTCATTTCCGTTCTTCTTAATTCTGATTTTCTTTCCCCAAAGGTCTTAGCTTCTTTTCTTTAGTGTCCTTGCTGCAGAAACTGCCTAGCACATTTTGTTTCTCTATTATTGTCTTCATCATCATCTTACCTATCTAAGGCTTGGTTCTTGTAGTGGCAATTTTGTATTTGGTTGCGAATAACAGAAGTCCCAATTATTGTGCAGCATTTAAAAAAACAGGTGTTTGTAAGAGTCACTTATTAAGAAGCCTAGAGGTGGGCAGTCCAGGGCTTACACAGCCTCTCAAAAGTGCCCCAGGAACCCAGGGCATCTCTTTTTGCTCTGCCACTATACGTGCAGATGGACTGCTGTGTGGTGGAGGTTTTGCACCTACAAGACAAATGTCCAAACTACAGGAAGAATGAAGTGGGAACAACTGGGAAAAGGACTTTGTGCTAATGAAGATTTCTCTTTTTATTCAAAACGGTGAGCTCTTTCTAGATGTTCCTCCCACCAGTAACTCATTGACCAGAACTGTGCCATGAACCTCTTGCTTCAAGAGAATGAGGAGAAATGAATATTTTCAGCTGGACACATTGTCTTCCTGAATGCAGAAAGGTATTCTGTCCGTAAAGAAGAAGGCAGAAATTAGGTAGGCAATTAGCAGTGTCCACCACGATTCTTTACTCAGTTTCAAAATTACAAAGCAACTCTACTCAGGTTTGAACTAGTCAAATGACTTAATTGGAAACACATGATCTTGGCAGAATTTTTTAAAAATAAATTTTATTTTTTAGAACAGTTTTAGAATCCTAGAAAGATTGTGAAGATAGCACAGAGTTTCCTCGATACTTGGTACCCCATTTCCCCTATTGCTAACATTTTACATTAGTAAGGTATATTTGTTACAATGAATGAACTAACATTGACACATTGCTATTAATTAAAATTTATAGTTCATTCAGATTTCCTCATGTCCTTTTTCTGTTTCAGGATCCCATCCAAGATACCACATTGCGTTTAGTTGTAATGTCTCTTTAGGTTCCTGTTGGCTGTGAGAGTTTCTCAGACTCCCCTTGCTTTTGATGATCTTGGCAGTTTTGAGGAATACTGACTAGATATTTTGTAGACTGTGCCTCAGTTGGGGTTTGTCTGCTGTCTTACAATTATACTGGGGTAATGGGTTTTTGGGAGGAAGATCACAGAGGTAAAGTGCCATTTTCATCACGTGATTTCAAGAGTATATATTATAAACTTAACCTATCACTGTTTAATCTTAACATTGATCACCCGTCTGAGACAGTGTTCAGGCTTTTTTACTCCAAAGTTACTCTTTCTCCCTCCTTTCCATACTGTACTCTTTGGAAGGAAATTTCTATATGTGGTCCACAATCAAAGAGTAAAGGGATTTGCTCCTCCTCCTTCAAGGCAGAGTTCACATAAATCATTTGGAATTCTGTGCACAAGAGATTGATCTTTTCTACCTTATTTATGTATGCATGTATATATTCAATCATTTATTTACATTAATAATGACTTATGAGCTTGAATTCTATACCTTGCATTATCATCCAATACTTTCTTATTTATTTTCTTTCTTAAATTCTTCCAGCTATGGCTGGGACACACAGACACACAGACAGACAGACAGACAGACACACACACACACACACACACACACACACACACACACACACACTATGATGGAGGTAAGTCAAAGGGACACAGGAGCCAACCGAAAGAGCTTAGGGGCTCTAACATACAAGATGCTTTGGGATCCTTGTATACTCCTTACCCCAATCCTAGAATCAGCCATTTCTCCAAGGAAACTTCCTTTTATTGGAGAATATTAAAAACCAAGATCTGAGGAATAGATGTGCTCATTGTGGTCAGTAGCCTTTAATTACAGACTTAAGACTTCCTTCCCCATCTGTCAGGTAAGTAATTATTTTGCTCCTCTGCCCACCTCTGGGTTCTTTCTCTTTGACTACATGGAATTGAGATCAACAGGAATGCTGGGCTCTCAAAAGTTAGGGTAGAATGAATATGAAAAAAAGAGGCATGTCTCCATAAAAGAGAATTTGCTTGGAAAGACTTGTAAGAAATAATTTGCTTGGAAGAATGCTGAACTGAGAGGCTCCTGAATGTTAGAGAAATTTGCTAGCCCAAACTTTCACATTTCTCAACTCTTAAGAAGTAAAGTGACTGATCCAGGGTCATGCAACCAGTTAGTGGCAGAACCGTGGTTAGACTGTAAATCTCCAGATTTTTCCCTATTGCTCTCTTCCCCAAAACACTCTGCTGGTGAATTTCAATGATGTTTTCACCCCCCAGGTTAGTGCAGGACTGGCCACTGCCTTGATGTGACCCTTACCAGGCAGAAACCTCAGTTTGCTGAGGACAGAGCTGGATGTTGACACTCTGCACTACGTTTTCAGGGCTGTGTGATAAGCAAACACAGAGATGTTAGACACCAAGCTAACCATGTAGAGAGCAACTCTGTGCCCACACGGGCAGGGGGGCAGCATCTGTCATGCTGACAATGAGGCGCCAACACGGATGTCTCACCTCAGGGGTCCCCAGCGTCCCCCCACCTCTGCCACTCCTATTGGAAGAAGAACGCTGAGTTGGGATGTGAGGCTGTTTGCATGATGTTGTTTTTCTGATGTAACTTCTCTTGGTTTCCTACCTCCCTTTTCTCTGCCTCCTGCCCTCCCTCTTGGGAGCAATTTATGTGTCTCTGGCTCATTTTAGACAGAGAAAGAGTGCTAATTAGCTGTCTGATTCATCCCAGGCCACCTGTCCCAGGACACTTGACAGTAAGACCAGACTGGGTGTGGTCCTGAACACCAGGGCAGGGAGACTCCCAGGGGTCCAGACAATCCCCCAGCTGACGTTGGCCATAGATCATGTCACATGATGGGTGGGAAGGAATATTCTGCTCCCAGAAGGATTGTCCCCAACACCCCATTTCCTGTATTCTAGTCACGTGGGCATGACAGATGCCGCCCCCCCTGCCCATGAGGGGGCTTTTAATTCATTTCTCCCCTCAAGTGAAATTCACTCCCATAGGATGCCTCACCAGCTGATGGTCCTGGGGAGTGGGATAGTGCATTTGCCTACAGAACTCCCACCCATTCAGTCCTCAGGGAGAAATCTCAGGAAAACATCTTGAAAGTGTTGTCTGTACTGATGATAGTGACTTTCTCACCTCCCTTCTCTCCACATCCCACCAAATCAGGCATCCGTGCCTGCTCCTACCATGAAACTGCCCCAGTCGAGGTCTGAACAACCTCACAATGCCAGGCGCAATATCCCCTCCTGCCCTTCCCCTCACTCTCTCTGCAGCATTCAATGCCATTGACATCTCCTTTCTTGAATCATTGTTTCCTCCTGGCCTTGGGCACAACTGGCTCTCCTTCCACCTTGCTATCTATTCCTTCCCCGTCTCCATTACTGGTGCCCACTGCCCTGTCGAGCCACTTCCCATCTCCATCTATCTTTCTCATGAAATGCGATTTATCCAGCCCCATGACTTACTACTGTCTATATGCTGAGGACTCCTTAGCCTTTCCCCTGTGTCCAAATTCAAATGCCCAGCAATTTAGTATCTCTGCTTGGTCAGCAAGCCACAGGCCTGGAATCCCCTAATAAATTTTGGACTATTGCAGTAATCATCATTAAGCTAATGTAAACACCATGACCAGGCCCTAAGTAGATTTCTATTCTTTATATGACTTTGGATTACTTCTTATTCCTTGGGTTTCCTGTCTTATTATATATTGATTAATGACAATAATAATAATAATAACAGCAACAACTAAGCTGTTAATTTCTTACTATGTGCCACAAACTGTGCCCAACACCTCATATGCACCAATCCATGTGGACCCACATGCAACCCATGAGGGAGATATTTTTATCCCCCATTTTGCAGCTCACAACGCTCAGGCTCAGAGAGATTCAAGCACTTGTTTAGGTCACAGGACTGGAAGTAACAGAGGCAGAATTAAAACCTGTTTGCTTGACTCACTCTCCTTACTAGCTGCCTCTTCTTATTAACCCGTTCCTCAGCTACAACTAATTTTGGGCCCAAACCTGCTTTTTGAGGCCACTGGTGTGCCTCTCCAGGCTTGCTATGTCTTTTCACCTCTGAGTCTTAGCTTGGGAGTTCCTGTACGTGTCTAATACACTGTAGATGTCAGACAGTCTAATAAAATAATTTTTGCCCCCCTGAAGAATTGAGCACAATTTGTGCAGAAGAGAAGGGGTAGAGGGCAATTATAAGAAGGCTGTAGGAGAAAGCCTAGGTCCAGAGAGTGTTGAACCCTAGTCCACCAGCAGTGAATTGCCCAGGGAACAGTCTATCCGGGTCTGTGCCATCAGAGCCATCAAATGTAATCAGATGTCAAAGAAATCTGTTAAGCTGAGTGAGGTGAGAGCCCAGAGAGGGCAGAGGACTTGCATTGAGATGGATAGCTCACTCACAGATCTCTCCAGAGAAAGTGTTTCTATCCTTTCCTTTTCTTGGGAACAAATAGAGAAAATTTTATTCAGGTCCCTAAGAGCTCCTAATCTATAAAGATCCATAATCCCAATGCATCATCATCATCACAATGCATCTCAGAAAAAAATGAAAGGACCTGATTCTTACAGTTTTCAATCTGGGTTCCACAGGGACCTGGGGTTCCAATAGAACTGGGAGACCTAGGGAGTCTTAGGCCTTCAAGAATCTCCCTAGTCTTATCTTTTGTATGTTGAGGTTTCACAGAAAATTTCATAATTTATTAATTTATTTTTATGTTTATTTATTTGTTTATTTTGAGATGGAGTCTCACTCTGTCTCCAGGTTGGAGTGCGGTAGCAAGATCTTGGCTCATTGCAACCTCTGCCTTCCGAGTTCAAGAGATTTTCCTGCCTCAGCCTCCCAAGTAGCTGGGATTACAGGCGCATGCCAGCACGCCCAGCTAATTTTTGTATTTTTAGTAGAGATGGGGTTTCACCATGTTGGCCAGGATGGTCTCGATCTCTTGACCTCATGATCTGCCCCCCTTGGCCTCTGAAAGTGCTGGGATTACAGAAATGAGCCACCACACCTGGCCAAAATTAAAAAGAGTTTTTTTTGAAGAAGAAGAATGAGTATAAAGACAATAGGTTTTAACATCAGAAAGGCCTAAGTTGCGCTTTTGATTCTGCAGCTTATTAAAGTCTGTAAGCCTCCATTTTCTCATAAGTAAAATAGGGATGATACCCTGTACATCTCCAAGTCGTAGTAAGAAGCAAATGAAATAGTGTGTGAATGTGCCTGGCAGAACGCTTGCTATGGAATACATATCCAGTCAACTCCACCCTTCTTCCTTGTCTTTTCTTCCATGACATCCACTACCCAGGAACCGCAGAAACGGCCGTGGGTTTCAACGGGTGCTGACTGCCCCTAAACAGAAAATGATGTTTCCATGGTCTCTCTCACCATCAGTTCAATAAGACAGAAACATCCAATTTAATAAGCCAAAAAGCCTCTGACCACACAAAGCAGCCATCACAAAGCCCTGCCTCTGTTAAACCCAGCAGCAGACCCCTTCAGGATGTCATTGAGGGCCTCACTGATTCATCTCGAATGTATCAGCTCAGGAAGTGGGTCTTATAGCTCCCAGCGCTGACAGCAGCACACACAGAAACAACCCAGCAGAAGAAAGGCAGCAAGGCTGTTAGAGGTAGATATCCTCACAGCAAGGGCAGTGGAAGCTGATCTGACGTGAAGAGAGGAGTTGGAGCAACTAACAAGCAGGTGCAGATAGATCACAGCTCAGTGAAATGATGATCAGTAGCCTCTGTTTAAGGAGGAAGGAGAGTGTGTAATGTGTTTTTGAGAAATGTCTACTAAAAATGATTGAGTTTTTTAAAGAAATGAGTTTGGCTCCTGAAAGGATAGGATTCCGTTATCGAGTTAGTTTGTGTAAATTCTAAAAATGCACAGATAAATGAGGCGTCACTCCACTTAAACTCAGTCCCTAGACTTGTGGGGTCCATTCCAGGCAGTGGATTGAACGGGAACAAGACTATTATTGGTTGATCTCTGGCAGAGGGGAAGATGCCAGGCTTCTTGAAGAAGTTCCCTACAGCAAAACCTAGCAATAGGGACAACCCTCTGGAACCGAGTGAGGGAAGGAGGGTGGGGAGACATCCAAGCTTGAAATGGCAGATGGTTTAGTCCAGAGTAAAGTGTGATTCATTAGTTTTTATGTATCTTCAGTGAACAGAGATGGGAAGAAAGGTGCAAGTGTCAAATCACTCATTTAATTATTTTGTAAAACTCTTCTGAGGGTCCTGAGTGGTTGCAACATAGACTATCATGTATCCACAGGTGTGAAATTGCTTTGGAGCAGGGGCTTCAGAACAACAGTCAGTCCATGAGGACTGCTGAGGGTGTTAGGGTCAAAGTGCGTCCCCTGACTTCCCAAGGGGTGGAGCCCACACACCTGAACACAGTTTGCAAAGGAGCCTTGCAGCTGCCCACACCCCTTGAGGTGGGGAGACCCAGTGGCTTTCCCCTAGACTTGGTGGAGAGCAATCTTGGCTTCCAACACTCTAGAAGAGCTGCCACACCACATTAGACACACATTTGTCCCTTGCTGGGAACAGTTTGGGACAATAGTTCTTCTTTGTTTGAGACCCACCCCAGTGAGAAACTAATCAGGGCTGGGGTAGCGGGGCATGGTGGAGTCTTGATCCAAATGTGTGAATGCCCAAAATTTGCATTTAATTTCAGGGAAGCCCCAATCTTCTTGAAGCCCTGGTCAAAAGGCCTTTCCAAGCCCAGCATCAACGGCTTTCCAAGTCCTCTTGGCTTCCACTCTGATCAGCTTTCTTATTCCCTGTCCTGACCTTGTCAAAGGCTCCTCCAGCTCCCGCCTCTTGCCTGGCGGCTGTGGTCTCCATACCCTTGGCTGAAACTCTTAACCACTCATTAAGAATCTTCCACAGTGACATCTGGAGGGAACAGCGATTGCCTCCCTTTTCCTTACCCTTCTCCTTGGTTGAACTTCTGCGACACGTGGTTCTCTTCTTACAAGGAATGAGTCATTCTTGGGGAACTGGCCTAAGCCCCACAACCTTGCAGGGTCCCCAGACTCCCTGGTGGACCCTGAACTCACAGTCTAGCTCTCACGTACTCTCTTGCAGAGGGGTTTTACAAAAGTCATGGGTGTCCCTCTCTCCAGCCCCAGCTCCCCAGGCACTCTCAGTAAAGCCAGGCACCTGCAGCCATGTCAAACTCTAAGGGCCCTAGAGGGTTACCAGTGAGCATCAGTGAGCTACCTGCCCAGACACAGTGAGGCTGAGACCAATACACTGGGCATTCAACCCCACACCAGCAGTTCTCAGGCTCATTCACAAGGGGTTGTCACAAGTAATTTGTTACCTAAAGTGAGCACCAACATTTGCAAGTTGCTTGCTTTATCAAACAGTTTGGGAAGCAGAATAGCAAAGTTGTTTTGAGCAGACACTTAGGAGTCCAGCAAAGTCAAAATTCTGGCCCCACCACTAGTTGTTTTTGTGATCTTGGGCAAGTTACTTTACCTCTTTAGCTCTCAGTCTACCTGTTAGTAAAATGGCATTAAAGTGTCTGCCTCCTAAGGGTTATTGTGAGGATTAAGTGAGGCAAAATGTCAAGTGCTCAGCACAACATCTAGCATAGATGCTACCAATAAATGCTGGCTAAAGTTAGTGTTTGCATTCATACTTGGATTCATATATAGATATAAATTCAGCAGTCTCCCTGTAAAAACTGTACCTTCTTTCCCTTTGACAGGCTTTCCTACAGCAAGGGGAGAAAAAAGGTGAAATTGCAGGCTATACATAAAGAACTGAACCTAATAACAGCCTATCTTATTTTTGTCACATCTACAAGTGAGTTATCATCACTGATGCACTAATAGTATTTGTGGTGGTTATGGTTTATTATAATCCCTTATTTTTCCACAGAACAAATATAAATTATGAGAGAGAGAGAGAGAGTGTGTGTGTGTGTGTGTGTGTGCGTGTGTGTGTGTGTCTTTCCTCCCTCATTGTGGCTACACTCAGAGCGTGTGTCTCAGGCACAAGCCTCATCTGCCAAGGATGTAGGGCAGACGGAGGCTGACAACAGCAACACACCTGTGATCTCTGTGTGTCCCTCTGTAAGGCCTGAGCCATGATGTCCTGCAGGTAGGGGGAGGAGGCTGCTCAGGATGCGGAGTGGGCCGCTGTCCCCGGCAGCCAGCCCCAGGCCCTGCTGGCCCCGGCAGAGCCAGGCCATACCTCAGCTGCTGTCTCCCATCTGATGAATATGGAGGAGCCTTCACCCGGCTCTGATTGCTGTTGGGCTTTGTTTCTCTTCGCTGCTTCCCTGCTCTCTGATCGGATGTCACTCTTTTTATTATTATTATTCCCTCTGTGTTGACAAGTGATTTAAACACTTCCCGGCGGGGGGGTGGGGAGAAAGGGTGGGGGTGGGTGGGGAATCTTTTCTTTGAATCCAGGGTGTTCGTTTTTCAGATTAGCAAATAAATGACTATGGGTGTATAATTAAAACTAATAGGTTAATTAGAGAACATTTAGATCTTTCTGAAAAAAAATAATGAAAGCCCAATGACTGTCTCTTTCTGAGACAAACTGTGAGTGTATTAGGTAAGGCTGCATGGGGAGACGGCACACTTACAGTCTACTCTGTCCCTTCCTTCAGGACCACATGATCATTGTGAGTGGCTGGGTAACCCAGGCCAGGCACTCCCCACAGACCTGAGGAAGAGGACCCCGGGAAGCAGAGGCAGGTTTTCCTCCAGGGAGGCTGGCAGCTGCTGGGGTAGCCAAACTGTCCCTCCCTGTCTCTCTGAGCTCCAGCTCTCACTCTGTTCTCTCTCCTCTCTCTCTGCCCCTTTTTGCTCAGCTGTGACTGTCACTCAGCCTGAGCCAGTCTCGCTGTTCTCCAGACAATGGGATTTGAGAGAGTGTCTCTGCTGTGTCTATGCTGCGACAACCTTTTCTGGCAGTGGAGTAAGCGGATGTGAGGCGGGCAGCAGTGCAGGGAGGAAAAGCCCTGAAGATGAATTACGTCCACTTCAGCAGGCTGACCCTCTCGGGCAGGAGGGCTTTGGCCTGGGAAAGTGGCCTTGATCAGAACTCTTAAGAGTGCCCCGCAGATCACTTGAGGTCAGGAGTTCGAGACCAGCCTGACCAACATGGTGAAACTCCATCTCTACTAAAACACAAAAATTATCTGGGTGTGGTGGTGGGCTCCTGTAATCCCAGCTACTCAGGAGGCTAAGGCAGGAGAATCGCTTGAACCCATGAGGCGGAGGTCACAGTGAGCCGAGATCATGCCACTGCACTCCAGCGTAGGTGAAAGAGTGAGACTCTGTCTCAAAAAAAAAAAAAAAAGATGCCCCACATTCTACTCACCAAGCCCAGGATGTATGGGATGCAATGGGACAGGGATATGTGTGCAGTGTTTCATCCCCTCTGGCTGCGGCAGGGCCCGGAACTAGGCAATGCGGAGGGAAACCTGGCTGCCATGGACAGGGCCTTCTTCCTGGAATGACATATCTGGAAGTGAGCTTGAGATGTGCCCTGGAACCCTGCTGGCTTCAAGGCCTGTTGTGATGGACAGCGGAAGGGCCCTGATATGGGTGGAATCATATCCCCCCAAAGAGGATATGTTGAAGTCCTAACCCCCAATACCTCAGAAGGTGAACTTCTTTGGAAATAGAGTCATTGCAGATGTAATTAGTTAAGCTAAACTGAGGTCATACTAGAGGGAGGTGGGCCCCAATCCAATGACTGGTGTCCTCAGAAGAAGAGGAAACAGATACAAAGCAGATGACCATGTGATGATAGAAGCACAGATCGAAGTGATGTTGCCACAAGCCAAGAAATGCCTACAGCTCCAGAGGCTGGAGGAAACAAGAAAGAATCCTCTTCTACAGACTTCCAAGAAAGCACCGTCCTTTCGGCACCTTCGTTTTGGACTTGTAGCCTCCACAACTGTGAGAGAGTAAAATTTCTACTGTAAGCCACCTGCTCTGTTGAAATTTATTATAGCAGCACTAGGAAACATACAAGCCTTCAGCAGTCACCTGAACTAGTGACTAGTAAAATCTCAGGTTCAGTCTGGAAGTGAAATCTCAAATCAAATACTTAGAAGAAAATCACTGGGTCTCAGAGTGATCACTCAGGCTATTATATCATGGAAGGTTCAAGAAGCCAGACCCCAGCCCCATCCTTGCAGTATCTCATTGTGCAGTTCGACACTCAGCAGATTTCATATTCAGATACTCAGATTTCCTTATTTTCTGAGATAGACATTCTAAACCCTGAATGAGAGGGACTATCTCAGGAGTTCAGAGAAAAGGAGATAGATTAAATCTTTTTCTTTCATTGTCCCATTTTTACCAATAACAATTGTGATGCCTATGAATTATGGAGTGTTTACCATGTGCCATGCAGTGTCAAACACTTTATAAGGATTTTCTCACGTATGGCTGCCCTTAAGTGAGCCCTGAAGCTCCTGGGATCCACAAAAGAAGATGCCTGCACATATCACAGGCACGCACCAACCCATGTTAACACTGTGGACGGTGAGTGTAGGGCCATGGAATTCAAGTCTTTTCAAAGTTTTGCACAGGGCCTTGGAATTCAAGTTTCTGCTGCCAGTATTTCCCTCCACATATATCCATGTATTTGTCCTTGTTCTCATTTTCCATAGTTATTTTTTTAACTTGGTGTTACTTTCACAAAATTAAAACAAACAGTAAGCCTACCTGGCATGACAGAAAGTCCAGAAAAGACTAGAAAAGTACCAGGAACCCAAGGCACAGTCACACCAGCTCAGCTGTTCAAATCCCATTAAAAATAAATGATCTAAGAAGTACTCTCTGGGGGACCCCTACTCAAACAGAGGGGGAAAGAGAGCAGGGAGTACAGGAATATCTCTGTGAATAAATGACAAACATCATCACCTTCCTATGCTTCTGCAGGAGTGCTGACCAGAAGAGAAGAGAGAGGTGGGAACAGGAAACCTTCTTTCTAGTCATCACCCTCACTTGGCATGTACTGTGGTTGTCACCCCCTCAAGGCCTGTCCGGTGCAGGAACCAGTCAGGAAACAGACAAACCCCACTCTGGGAGTAAGCAGAACTAACATTTCCTGGAAACGAGGTCAGGTGTTGATTTTCTAGTCCGCAGAGTTTAACTTAGTAGACTGGCCTCCCTTGTCCTCCATATACATTCCCCCACCAGCCACAGTGGTAGCCATACTACTTCTTCATCTAAGGTGTCTGCAAGCTCCCTCTGCATAAGACCTGTGGTCTCAGCTAAGTCATTTAACCTCCCAGCCAACGTTTTCCTTTTCTGCAGAATGTAAAATGTGAAGCAAAAAAAAAAAGTAAATTATGTCAGAGTTTTCAGGACAAATGAAAAATGCCTATTAATGTAGGATTAAAATTGTATACAGAATCATTATAATGTGTGAACTGTTGGCGGCTTCAATGTGCAAATAGTAACAATAATTATTATCACTATAGACTCCCAAATATCCCTGCAGCTGCTGGAATAGTAAAGAACATTTCCAGGCTGCTAAGGGCAGGAGAGCCACTCATTCTAACTGCTAGTCCTTCCTAATTTGACAGCCCAGCCTGTAACCTACATTTTCAATTTGCAGAAAAAGAAAAATACAGGTCTAACCCCAGGAGAGAAACCAAAGTAAAAAAGAAGTGAAGATAGAGGACTGAATTTAGATGGTTTGCTTTTCTGCCTTGAGTTAAAGGTGTCAACTCCAGAGAGCAGGTGTATCAATGGTGGTTTTGTCTACCCGACAGAAAGATTGTGTTAGACCCCTATTGACCCGTAGCTAATCCCCTTCCCAGGCAGGTCTAGCGAAGGACTGTTTGTCTAGGGCTCTGAGCATTTTCTGCACCTTGAGGTTGCAGCACACAAGGACCAGTCTAGAACGACAGCCACCACCCTGCTTTCCCTGCCAGAAAGCTAGCAGGAAACGCCTAAAGGGAAGGGATTCATTAGCCTCGCTCTGCTGCCTGGGGAGCCAATCACAGGAGCCTGTTCGGACAGACAGCCAATCACATCGCTGGACAGGACAGGGCCCAATCGTCTTGCTCCCCCATCCAGGCCATTTCGTCTGGAGCCTCCTCCCGCGGTGGGCTTGTTTCCCAGCCCTGCCAGTCACTCGCGAAAGCTGCTGGGGAGGGGACGCTGCGAGCCCCGACCCGAGCCAGGCCAGCTTGGGGAGCAGACTCTGTTTTATGGGCTTCAGAAGGGCAGAAGGGCGGGACAGCGAGACTGATGGGAAACACCCAGGGCAGAGACCAACTCCAATTCATCAATTCCACAAATACGTGTTTACTGGGCACCGTTTCTGTGGCAGGCACTGGGAAGAAGGGCACAATCCCTACCCTCAAGGAATTCAGAGTCCAGTGGGGGAGACGGAAGTAAGGAAATGCAGTACTTCTATGAGCGTGTGATGAGAACCAAGCAAGAGAAATAAGATGTTTATGAGCAGGTGACAGGGCGACAGGGCGCTACCTAATGGGTCGGGAGACCCCCCCCCCCCACCCCCAGAGGAGTTGCAGTGACCCACAGTGGCAAATCACAGACCAAAAGCCCCTGCATGGGGGCTGGAGACCCTCACCACCCCCTACCCATCTGTACTAGTTGACTAGGGTGTCCTAACCAAGGACCACAGACTAGGTGGCTTGAACAAGGAAAATATATCTTCTCACTCTTTTGGAGGCTGCAAGTTGAAGACGAACGTGCCAGCAGGGTTAATTTCATCTGAGCCCTCTCTCCTTGGCTTGCCTTCCCAATGTGCCCTCACATAGCCTTTCCCTCTGTAAGCATGTCTTTATCCAAATTTCCTCTTCTTATAAGGACACAAGTCATACTGGGTTAGGGCCATTTTACCTCTTTAAAATACAGTCTGTCTCTAAATGCAGTCACATGCTGAGGTACTGGGGATTGGAAGTTCAACATACAAATTTTAGGTGGAATACAAGTGAGCCCATAACACCATTATTTTCCACAAATATTGTGAAGCTCCTATTTAGCCACTTCCTCCCCCAAAGACCACAGTGACCAGGGGTTTTCTGTCTTCTAAATCTCCTGTACTAAGTGCCTGTTTACTCAGACTTAGACCAGCTCCTATCAGACAAGAGGTGTGATGAAGCCGCATCTGGCTCTTGAGACAAATGTCTTATTGCTCATCTTTTCTTCCCAAAGCTGTATGTCTATTAGAGTCTTATAGCAACTTCTTTGCACTGCGCAACAGCCCTGCTCACTGGCCTCATGCCCAAGATATTTAGTATGGCATTTCATTCATGATAAGGGCTGGTCTTTCCTAGAGGCCTGGCGGGGAGAGAGCAAGTGAAACAGCCGTTTATCAACCAGGGCCCACACAGGCAAGCCAGAATCCCCTGGAGGCAATGCCAGGCATCCTGAGTCTGCTGCTATGGGACATAAGGGCACACTCTGTGATCTCTGAGATTGTAGGCAACACAGCAGGAATCTGGATGGTCTACATGAAAGTGGGGGAGGCACCTGTCTGAGACCCACAGTTGAGTACACTGAAGATTTGTTTGCTGAATATCCACTGGGTGCCAGGAAGGAGCACTGTGCCAGGAGCCAAAGATGGAGATGCATGAGTCACAGTCCAGTCCTCAGGGTCTCCTGGGGAAGGCTCTACACACAATTTAACACAGGCCTGCCATCGAATTCCAACCCTGGAGCTGAGGGAACAGAGAGTTGAGACAGCTGGCCGTGCTTGGGGGTTAGAGAGGCCTCTGGAAGAAGCTGACATCTGAACAGAATCTGAAGAGATCCATGGAGTTAGGCAGCTGATGGGGCGAGTGAGGAGAACAGGATGGTCCAAGCACGGGAGTCGTATGGACAAGAGGATGGAGGCATGAAGCATCGGATGCATGGGAACAACCATATGCAGGTCAGAGTCACTGGAGCCTAAAATGTAACAGAGAGAGAGAGCGGCAGGAAGTGGGACACGGGAGATGGCCCATGACTAGATTGCAGAGGGAGATGTAAACCCTACTAAGTGGCTCCAACATTCCCTGGGAGTTTTCAGACTGTATTTGTGGGAGCACCTGGACTCTTTAATGGTGCCTTGGATAAAGGGAAAGATTGACCAAACAAGACGCTCATCGATATCTAAACTCTTACCTCTTTTATATTTGGTGTTTCACTTGCCAAAAAAAATGTTCTAAAGCTTAAAATATCCATAGTTACTATTGTCTTAGCTCTGAGGAGTCTGTGTAGAGTTTTAAGCAGGGGGTGATATGGTGGTAGTGTGGGGTCTGAAACTGAGGGGCACAGGCCAGGAGGCAGGGGTATCAGTGGGGAGACTATTGTAATACTCAAAGTAAGGAAAATAGAAAGGAGTCGAGAGATTGAAGGAAGGATTGCCTGGTGAAACTATGGGACTTGCTAATAATTATTAACATAGAGAGTGAGGGGGGTACCCAAAATGAATACTGGGTTTATGGCTCAGATGACTAGGTGCACGCTGGTGCCATTAACTGGGTAAAGGACTAAAGGGGAAGGAACATATTTAGGCAAACAGATAAGAACTAGAATGTTGACCATGTGAAGTCTACTGTGCAGTGGAACATCCAGATGGAGATACGCAGGTGGCCATTTGAGAGTCTGATTCTTTGCAGTACATCCCAGCCTCCTAAATTTAGAGCCTTGCATATTGCAGAGAGATGCCAGTAAATGTATTTTTTTCCTTTTAAAATTTACAGTTAATGCCTTCCAGGTTCTCCACACTCTCTTCTGGATCTACCATTCACTTTTTTTCTGATACTTCTCACAAGTATGTGAAATCAGAATTGGCTGACCTGCCCTGTCCACAGATGCTTGGCTCCACCAGATCTGCTGTGTTACTGGCCCTTAACCATGTGTCTCTTTGGAGCCTGGAATAGAGAGGGGATTGAGAGACATAACTGATCATTCCCACATGGGATGCTTGTGGAATGCAAGATGAGGTACTATCTATGGCACCCTGACCCTCTGTTTCTGTGCGGGTCCCCCTCCCACTCCTTCTGACCATCTGATGTGAGTCACCCTCTCAAATCCAGTGCCAGTTTCACTTTCTCCATGAATCGTTCTCTGCTCTACTCCCCTGAAGAAGATAGTTCTTTGGAGAAACTGTGAGTTCTGTAGGGAAAATTCATTATTTAGAGCACGCCCTTGTCCAGGGCCCCTTTGCCTGGAGACCCACCAACTGGGCATCCTGGGTCTGCAGCATCTGGCACAGTTGCACTTGTCCCTACAGAAGGGGACTGCTGACCCAGCAGGGTCTGTCTGTCACTGTACTAGGTATTCCCAGAGTGCTGGGACCCCTCCTTCTGGATCAAAAGCATCCTGCTCACGGAAATATCCTGGACTGTCTGTCTAGCCTCTGTTCAGTCTCTGTCTGTGTAGCGACATCAGGGCCTGTTTCTAAACTGTTTGGTGTGTTTCTCTGCCACATATCAGTATTACTGGGTTTCCATCGCACACATGGGCTAAGCTTTCTTTTCCCTGCCTTATTTTTAGTCTATTCCTTCTCTCGAATGAATTCTAATTTGCCAGCCTTGGTCAAATGCTTAGCAACAAAGCCCAGGAGCCCAGGGCCTCTTTCCAACTCTCCAAGCAGCACCTCTTTCTACAAAGATCTACCTCTTCAGTGAGCAGCAATGTCCCTTCTTCTAGTAGCAAATATGGAGGGTTACCCTTAGTTCCACAACAGTGGTGGGTGGCTCTTCCCCACTTCTCCTCCCCCTTTTTAGTTCTCTACTTTTCAGGGTGCCCAGAGGGAACCCTGAGATGATTCCAGCTTTTTTTTTTCCATGCACTGTCTTGCAGCAGATCAATAGAGATTCCATCTACCCCTCCCAAATATAGAAATATTTACATAGTCCACATGGTATACTTGTAAAATACACATGAGGCCTGATAAATTACACAGTATCTATTATGCTACTAAAATGATACCCTTTGCTTAATTAAAGTAGCCATATGCTGTAGTGCAAATCATTCTCATTCATTAAAATCCCCAAATATGTTTAAAGAAAAAAAGAGAACAGTCAGCAGCAGATAGGAAGAATACAATCAGATCACACAGGTTTCAGGACATAACTTTACTGAAAATAGGCTTGATGTTTCACCCTGCAGAACACCAAACATGTCCATCTATTCATCCATTCATTCATTCACTTAACCAACAATTGTTGAACACCTACGCTGTGTCAGACACCTTATAGGTGCCAGCGACAATACCTGGCCCTTGTCCTCAAGGAACAGACAGGCTAAGGGACAGACGGGTAAGTAAACAAACAGGCAGTGTACTTGTAATGACAGTGGTAAGCCTGGTGCTCTGGGAGCATATTAGAGGCTTGTCTATCCTAGACTTGTTGGGTCAGGAAGACTTCCCTGAGGAGGTGCTATCCAGGTTATATCTCAAAGGATAATTAGATCTGGGAAGTATTCCAACTTACTCTGTTTTCCATTACCTTGTTTATTTTCTTCTTAGTGACTCATAGATCACAAATCTGGGATAATCTTCTCACTCATTTTATTTACATGAATATTATCTGCCTCCCCGTTACCCCTACAACTTGAAGGTAGGTTTCAAGGGAGTACAACACCTTGTCAGGTATCTTATCCCAGCATATATAGTAGTGATTAGCACATAAAAGAGGCTCAAAAACATTTACTGAATGAATAAATGAATAGTGACAAAACAATAGCATGTGCAAAGGCCCAGTGCTGAGAGAGCACATGATACGTTCTGAGAAAGTTAAAGGCTGAGATGCCACATCCCCTGGTGTTTCATCCGGTCCCCACCGTCCCCTCCCCTTATCACCTGTCTCCCTTCTGTCCACCCACCCTTTCCCACAGGAACTGGTATTTCCCCACTGGCTAGAGTAAGTAGGCGCATTTGCTTCTGGAACAACAACTGCTATGTTTTGCATGACCTCGGGGTTAATGGCCAGTGACTCCCGGGTACCATCTGCAGTGAACCATGAAGGAGCACACTGGGCCATGACCACCTGACAGCCTCCCTGTCTTCCAGAGCCACCACTGAGGTCCCTCACCCATACTTGCTCTTGGGAAGCCCTGTCCAACGTGGGAACAGCTCCAAGGTCATTGAACTAAACCTGGAGTTAAACCTAACCTGCCTGATCTTAGGCAATGGACTTAATCTCTCTGAGCCCTTTCTCCATTCTTAAAATGGATATAAAAATACTCACATCATAAAACTTTCAGGGATTAAAGTAGTCAATGTATGTGAAGTGCCTGACATACAGGAAACACTCAATACATGTAATT
This sequence comes from Homo sapiens, assembly GCF_000001405.40. NCBI lineage: Eukaryota > Metazoa > Chordata > Mammalia > Primates > Hominidae > Homo > Homo sapiens. The sequence goes on from NC_000011.10 coordinate 112,886,885, forward strand.
ATTATAATTAGATGATATCTAACCCTCTTCCAGTTCTAAGTCTTTTTCCCTTGCCACAAACACCCACACACAAGCAGTTTTCTCTCCATTACGTCACTGAATCCTCACAGCAACCCTGTGAGCCATGTGCTCTTACCATTATCTGCACTTAACTGATGAGGCCCCTGAGCCTTGGTGAAGTTGAGAAATGTTTCTAAAGCTACAGCCTTGGCAGGGCTGGGATTCCAACCCAAGTGCATCTGACTGTAGGAGCCTCTTTCTCAGCCCCACATTGTGTACTAACTTCCCAGGGAACCTGAGGTGGTTGCGGGCTGCCCTCAGCTTCAGCACATTCCCCCTGGAGGCACAAGGCAGAAGGAAAAGAAGTGTATGGCCAGGGGAACTTGCTCCAGGGACAAAAATGGAATACCAAAGAGAAGAGGATTGGCATGCATGGGAATACAGGCAGGCCCACGGCATGCTCCATCATCCTCTCCTGCTCAGGCCAAGTTATTCTCTAGCACTTTTTATAAGTGGGAAGGAGGATGTCAAAGCTCGGTCCACCTTGGCCTAGATGACCAGCTACATTAGAACCTTTCTGTCCAGCTAGATTATCCCCAGGTCCTTGCTGTGATGGAGGGGAGGAAAAGGAGAGCCTGTTTTGCCTATGTATCCTAAATATAATTTACATATGTATTAATATATGAAGATCTTGAAATGTATGTGAAATCCATGAAATGGATTGTGAAAATTTGTATTTCTCAAAAATGGTCATGACAATATTATCCATCCTGCATGTTCTCCTAGAACCTTGTCATTGCCCACCCCTAATCCCCATCAAAAAGCAGATTCCTTGTCTCCTCCTGAACCTGGATGGACTATTGATTTTAACTAAGTAGGATAGTTCCAGAGCCCATGTTTTTAACCACTATTAAAGGGAGTATTTGTAGGCCTTTTTGACAAAGCAGAGAGCCTCTATTGGGAAGGAGGAAAAATAAGTCTGGAAGGATAGGTTGAGGCAAATTTGAGGAGGGCTTTGACTGCCACTCTTCAGTCATTCCCTGACCACTTAGTGGCTTTTGCCACATCCAAGTACCACCTGTATTATTATTTACATAGTCATTTTCTTTAAATCAAATTTAAAGCTACTCACTTTTTAACAACTTGGCCTCATTCTAAGAAATAATCATAATATTACAAGTTTTATATCCTACTAATATTTATCTAATAATATAAGTACACAATTATCTTTTTAAAAATTTTGTTCACCAACCTTCTAATGTAATCTCCTATATACACCTGGGCATCTGTGCCCTGTTTCAGAATCAGCATACCAGGCAGTGGAGGCCACCACATTGAGCAAAGAAAAGATCAAAGCAGCCTCTTAGGACAACTGACCCGTGACATTTGTAAATATCAGCGAACACATCCTCAGATCTGCAGGTAAAAGGCATTGTGGGAGGTGCAAGAAGGTAGATGGGCCACAATTTGCATTACTGGGGTTCCTCTGGGCCCTGGAGCCTGGGTTATGTAATAGCATGGGAGGCACAGGAAAAGTAGGGTGCACCTTCTTGGAGTAGAAATTTGACTCATTGGTAAGCAGTTTAAAATATTACAATTATATTATGGATATATTAACTTTAGCTAGCAAAAGTCACAGGCACATTTAATTAAAAACAAGCAAAGTCTAAGAAATTCTATGCTGGTTGTGGGCAGCTTTGGCCCATGCCCAGGGCAGAGGGGCTCATGGTCTTCTTGTAGCCCATGGTTCTCAACACTGGCTGCATTTCAGGGTCATCCGAGCAACTTTTAAAAATCACCCTGGCTCAGACTCTACCCTAAACCATTTACCCAGACTCCAGCCTCTGAGGATGCTGCCAAGGAGTCTGTGTTTTTAAAGGGACCCCAGCTGATTTTAATGGGCAGTCAGTATTGAGAACTACCATTTTAGGGATACTTTGGTGGGAAAGTGTGAGGAACTCTGAAAGAGAGCACCAAGGGATTGAAGATAGGAAGCCTGGTGGGGATGAGATTCTCATAGTCTAAGAAAGGGTCCACACATTTTCCTTCATATATGTTGGGATCTCTGTGAATGTATGGCTAGCACACCTACAACAGAGGCACACACAAACAATGGCAAATGCACGTGAACTGTTAAGTGCATATACATACGAGACATTTAAGCCAGGCTTTATTTGTCAAGCAAACAGAGCTTGCCTACACAATCTAGTCAATTCACTATAATGACTCCATAGGGCAAAGCCATAAGACCAAGAACTGGGAATCTAATTAGATTTAGGCTTCTATGAGGTTGGGTCAATTTCTGACAAATTTGGAGTTCTAATTCTATTTGTCCATAATCAAGAAGTCACAGAGAAAGGGGAATATATATATTTATATTTATATTTATATATTTACATATTCATTCACAGGGTCACACATATTCACATTTACAGACAGGTGCACACATACACATACATATGGGGGCTCATATTCATACACATGCACATTAGGTTAGGCACAACAATTCTCAAACTCTCATACCTCAAACTGCCCCGAGGGATCTGTGAGGGTTTTGTTACTACTACCTCTGGTCCCACTTCCCCAGAGACTGAAGGCCAAGGCCCCTTCCGACTCCCAGCTGGGAGCGGGCCCTCTGTCCTAGATCGGAGGGGCATTTGGCAGGGGACAAAAGAAATTTCATCCCAGCTCTGGGTGCAGAGCTTTCCTTGCTTCACAGTTAGTTCTTGCACTCTGGGCCCCCAAACAAGAGGCCACTCAGAAATCACAGTTTGAGAACAAGGCAGCATTGTCCCCTGAGCCTGGGCTTTCCTGAGGCTTGGGTAAGAGAAAGAGAGATGAGAAGGCTCCCTGGGCTACAGAGGTCTGGAGAGAAGCTGGCACCTGGGAAGAACAATTTCCCCAGCAGCTAGCCAAGCTGGGGTCTTCCAAGTGGATGCAGAGACCTGCCCTGCTGCCCTCCCCATCCTCTGAGAGTGCCTTCTCTGGGCTTTTGCTTCAAAGAGCCATCTTTTTCCACATGGCACTCATCTTCCTTGTCCTTTGCTTCATGACACCTTGAGCGTGTTAGAAGCTAATCCTGAACAAGCATAGAAGGGGCACTGGGGTAGGAGCTGCAGTGGCACCACCCGAGAGGCCAGCTTTACCTCCCCCAAAGATCCACTGCCCAGAAGGGAAGACCAGGGGCCTCCCTGGTGCCAAGGGCTGAGAGTATGCATCCAATGCAGCTAGGTCCTCCACACACTGTGGTGGGGCCCCTCACCCTCAGATCAGCATCTTACTCTCAGAATTGGTAGCATCAGGTAGTGAGGAATTTCTAAGGATCAGTAATTATGAGGAAGGCTCAACTGCCCAAATTTTCCACTGAACAACCACAAAAATCTGAGGCTCTCCCCTCCAACCTGAGCCTGGGCCAATGGCCCTGCTGACCCTGTAGATGTCCACCACGCAATGTGCTCATTATCCTCATTTTAGAGGACACTTTCTTGGGTGCTTAGCATTCCTTCTGTTTTCTGGAACAGTGCCCTTTCCATCCCCACTCACCCCATACCAGTTAAGGTGCTTTTGGCTGCAAGTTACAAAACAACCAACTGAAATTGGCTTAAAGAACAAGGAAAGTGATGGGCTCAAGACCCAAAAAGGGCCGACTTCAGAGTTGGATAAGCACAGAGCTCTTGCTCCGTTTTTCTGCCACATCCACAGTTGCACCTGCTTCCATGGGTTGGCTAAGCTCCCTCATTGTTGCAAAATGGCTTTAGCAACCTCATACCTCACAGACATATGGCCAATACCCAGAAGAGAGAGAGTTTCTTTGGGTGACACTTCATAGAGAGCAAAGATACTTTTCTCCCAGAAAACTTCCTTTGGGGACTACTGGAGACTGGCATCTTCTTACGGGATCCTACCTCTATTGTTAGTGATGGATTGAGAAGTGGATACCAAACCCAAAATGAACTAATTATAGAATGTAATCCCATTGGCCACATCATTGGTCTGTGGATGGGCATATAACCCAAGCCCAGGTGATTACAATATTTTCTTAGGAATTTTCTAACTGAAGCCGGGGTCAAGAGACACCTCTCTCTGGTTGCGATGCTATATGGATCTTAATCTGGGCTACCGCCAGCCACCAGCACCTCCTCATTGGAGAAGCCATCTGCGAGAATGATGCCAATAATCAGAAGGACCTAGTCAAGAGGTAGAGACCAGACCCTGATAGAGTGTGAGTTCCAGGTTCTAGTGGTGCCTAAGACCAGTTTCACCTCTTCTCTAGTATTTTGCTTTTGTCAGAGAGTCACTCCCTGCTGGAGACTTCCCCTTACATCTCACACACCCATTACTAAGTCCATAAGTGCAAAGGGAAGAACGAACGAGGACTGGCTCAGGCTAACCAGATCTGCCCGTAGAGTGGAAGAGGGGATCACCTTCCCTTAAGCCACATGAGGTAGGGATGGGTTTCAGAACACATTTATAATTCTATTACAGAAGAAGAAGCAGGCAGGGATTGGATGTTGAGTGAGTAACGCAGTGTCCACTGTGGCAACCAGATGACTCCCTGGATCAGTACATTATCCAAATGTATTTGGATAGTTCTCTCTGATCAATAAAACAAAGGCTTCTGAGTCAACCCAGTCTAGGTGCTCCTGTGGGCATCTCATCCATCAGTTTCCAAAGACAGCCAAGTTGGTCACATCCTTGCAAAGCAAAAGCTCAGGGGCGTCATTTACTACCAAGATGCCCTTTGGGGTTCAGCTCATTGGAATCAGAGATATCCCAGCAAGCATGGGAAGAAGAGCACATCACTACAATACAGGAGGCTCAGGTGGCAGCCACGCCACCTAGAAGACATCTCACCTCACTGGCTGGAATAGGCCAGGATTGAGTCCACAACTTGAAGCCTTCTCTGGATCACAGATGGAAGAAGGCAAAGGGTACCCTTCAGCAGAGGGTCCTCAAAGAAGGCTGGATTTACAGCAGCTGCTTGTTTTCTCTTGTTTTTCTTTTATTCATTTAGTCAACAACAATTTTAGGAACACCGGTAGGTACCTCTAAGAATATTTCACTTCTGTATCTTTCTGTACCATCCTTTTCCCCTCCTTGTTCATTTGCTACTTTCTCCCTAGCTGGTTAGTTAATTTACGGCTCTTTTGTGCAGTATCGTTTCCTCTCTCAGTTTCTTTCTTCTCCACTTGATGAATTTCCCTATGTACTCTATGTTGTAGCTTCCCAACTTGTTTTATAAAATACCTCAAGTCAAGAGCCCTAAAACTTACTCCTGGGCATGGAAGGAAACAACTGCAACAAAAAAGAGAAAGAAACAGGGCATTATCCTTAGAAGCAAGCTCCCTGTGAGCTGAAAAATTCTGTACTCAGACCTCTGGACAGAAGGCTGCCTCTGAAGTGACAAGACCAGCCACTGAAGTCCCAAACTCACCAGCTGGGAAAATAGTCTTCCAGAGAAGGTCTTTCCCAGGAACCAGCCATTAACATGCAGGGATGCCGTAGACAGTGAAGTGTTGGGGGCAGATATTAACTGTACTGAACAACCAACCAAAAGAGCAGATTGAACCACACTAATATGTGAAAGCTTGGACCAAACTGGACCTATGTCAGTGTGCCTTGTTTTATTTTTAAAAAAACTCAATCAAAAGTGTTTGTTAATGGGTTTTTGGTCTTTCGGTTGTTGTTTGTTTGTTTTTGCCTCTTCCAAGGAAGGTCCCCATTAATCAGATTGAACTAGGAAGTAACCATGTGTCTTCTAAAACTCAATTGAATTGCCCTAAGTTCAACAGTGATCCCTTAATTGCCAAATCCAAGAGCTTCTTTAGTTCTTTTGAGTCCTCATCTGCTTGCCTCTATGAAGCACTTTCCTTCCTTCCTTCCTTCCTTCCTTCCTTCCTTCCTTCTTTCCTTCCTTCCTTCCATTTCTTTTTATTTTTATTTCTTTTTATTTTTGTAAGGCATTTCTTTCTGCATTCCCACTTTCTTGAAACTTTCTCTACCATTGGTTTCTGAAAAAAATACTTTTCTGGCCCCCTATCTCTTTGGTTTCCTTTTCTTCTTGGTGCTCTTCCTGGCTTCTTTTTAATATCCTTAGTCCCTTAAGTATTACTGTCCTTGTGCGTCCTCTTTTACCTGATTTTCTTCTCACACAAGCTCTTCCATGTTCTCATCTACCCACTTGATTTTTTTTTTTTGGAGACAGGGTCTCACTCTGTCACCCAGGCTGGAATGCAGTAGCACAATGATGGCTTACTACAGCCTCAACCTCCCTGGGGTCATGTGATCCTCCCACCTCAGCCTCCCAAGTAGCTAGGACCACAGGTGCGTGCCACCACACCCAGCTAATTTTTTGCATTTTTTGTGGGGATGAGGTTTTGCCATGTTGCCCATGCTTGTCTCAAATTCCTGAGCTCAAGCGATCTGCCCACCTCAGCCTCCCAAAGTGCTGAGATTACGGGTGTGAGCCATTACTTCCCGCCACCCCCTTGATTTTTATTACCACCTGTGAAGATAATTCCTTATATAATACCACCAAATCCAGCCTTTTCCCCAAACTCAAGACCTACATTTCTGGCTGCCCCCAAAACAACCTCACAGACATTTCAAATGTAAGTTGTTCAAAACATAACTCATTGCCCTCCTTCCCTAAATTTTCTCCTGTTGCAGTCTCCTCTAACCCAGTTAAAGGCTTCTATTCCAGCTGGCCATTAAAGCCTGAAAACTTAGAATCATTCTGGAGCTTTTTCATTTACTGTCTCCTTCACCTACTATAGTAAATTAGGCATAACCCCTAAACTCTAAACGTGTTCACACTTACACTGTCTTCTTCAATCCAATGTCATTGCCTTCATCCAAATCCAAGCCAGCACTCTCCTCCATTAATTATAGCAATAGTTTCCTAACTGCTTTTCTTTCTTCAAATCAAGTCTCCACCCAGACCATTCTTAAACAGGACAGGCCTATCTTTCTAAAATGCAGACCTGATTATGTCACTATTAAGAACCTTCAATAGTTCCCCTCCTACTCAGAAGAAAGTTCAACTCCTTTATCATTGAATCATCGCACTGCTATATCCCATTTCTGGCCTTTTCACTCCCCTTGTGCATTTATACTGTAGCAGTTTCCTGGATACAATACCTTCTATTGCCTATCTATGTCTCTGTTCATAATCATCCCTCTTTCTGGCATTTCTTTATCCACCAAACATAATTTTCATGTCTCCTCCACACACTCACTGCAGTCCTTATCTTATCTACCTAACACATGGAAATTGTGATATTTTTGAATGAATGAAAACTTAAAAAAATTCATACTTTTCCTTTACATTTGGCTCTATCATCATTATCTCTAGAAAGACCTCCCTCTCTTACCCAAACAGAATTAACATCCCTCTTCCTTGAATCCATAGTAACTTCTAAGTTTCTTCTTGCAGATTGCTTTAAACTTGTCTTAATTTAGCTTATTTAATTTCTTTTTCTACCATAGACTGTTAGCTCCTTGAGGACAGAAACAATAATTTTGTTTCTGTGCAACCCAGGGGCAGGTGAAGAATAGGTCCTGAACAAATGCTTGTTGAAATAAAATGAGATTAACCAAATCAGTGTATCAAAATATTCTACAAATATTTCCCAGACTATTTTGTTCAACTTACATGCACAGTTTTGGAATGAAGGTATATGTGAGGGAGGGAGAGCATCTGACTTCACTCGGGGAGGGCTGAGTTGACTGTTCCCTCTGAGGGAGCAAACAACAAAAGGGCTCTCACTTTGTCATTCTTAATAACGTGTAGGCAGCAATCAGGGTTTGACAGCAGTAGTCAGAGCATGTCCTCTTATGTTCTGTGTGCAAACTGGGGAAAATAAGCAAACACAACAGTAGAAACCAATGCAGTTCCCCTGTTTCCTATTTAACAGCACCAGCAAGCAGCCCATTGATGCTAATTGCGGGGGGGTGGGGGGAGAGTAGGGGGCCTTCCTGGTACCCAGGGAAAGGTGAAATAATGCTACACAAAAACCTGGAACTACACTCTTACATGTCAATATTTATACTTTTTTAAGGACAGGCAGCAGAGTTATGAAGATAACAGAAGCAGTTTTGTGCCAACCAAAGAAGATGTCACCCAGGGTAAACCAAGAAAAGTAGCTTCTATCAGGACAATCCTGTGCTTTGCTGCTGCTCAAAAGTACTGGCTTGCAAATGGTTATTTCATTCACAATAAGGGGACTGAATTCTTACAGGGCAATCTGGTGATGGGAGACCCAACTCCTACCCAAGAAAGCTAGGTAAAGAAGAAGAATGAAGAAGAGGAGGAGGAGGAGGAGGAGAAAACCAAGTGCTGGCTTTCTTGTTTGTCTGCTTTTTGACCTTGGCTAAAGCTACCAAGAAGGTACGTACTAGCTTTACTCAGGAAAATTCTACTTGCAACCACATACAGTAACTTTACTTCCATCTCACACCAAGGAATATCAATACCAAATAGATGAGTCTGGTCCTGGTACCAGTAGCATCTAGGGAGTGAGTGATAATGTGGAGGGGATGGAGGAGGAGATCAGTGCTGAGAATTTTTAGGGAATTTGGTGGTCTCATTTAAGAACATGGTAGCTGTAAAGGGTTAAATTCAGAATGTGGCACAGGGGACGTTCTCATGTGTTTTCTAGAGTTGCTTTGGAGTCATGCACTAGAGATATTTTCATCTAGCAGTGACAGTCTAGAAACAGTTCTTTTCTTCTTTTCATTTGTTACAAGCACTTCCTTTGGACCACATTCATGGAGTGGGTAATGTAGTGGTTATGCACTGGGGCAATTATTAGCTTGTTTTCCTCTATAAAGCTTGGTCATAATGTTCTTACTGTTTTCCTTAGAGTACACCCATACAACAAGCAGATGGGCCATTGAGGACTGAGAGCTCACAAGATTGATTGGAGCTGAAAAAAGTGGGGATTCGTGTAGGGAGGGCCGGGGTGAGTTAAACAGTATTATAGCAAAGGCTGCTGCTGCAACTTGGTATATCAAAGTTTCTACCAGTAGGCCAGCTCTCTTAATGAAATAAACCCCCATCAGCCCAGATGTCCACAAACCAGAGATCTCAAATAACCATTTTAACATAGAGTTTATTTAAAAAGCTATAAAACAGCAAGTTAGAAAGCTAATATCAGGGATTATTCAGAAAAGCACACTTCAGTATATAATCATCTACTATTATTCATCTTTACTTTCTTGTAGAATCTCAGAACATCTAAATATTTATAATCAAAGACAGTGTAAATATTATATGCAGCTTGTTAGTGTTTTATTGTATTTGAATTATTTGAAAACTTGTTGTCTATATAGCCAAATGGTACCTGCAAGCTAGTCCAAATAAATCAGAATACATCAAATAGAGAAACATTGTGTTATCTATGTGTTCTCTGCCCCACTGCTACTGCCCCCACCTCCCACTCCTGCTCCTGGCCTGTCCCCTTGCATCTTTCTAAGAAGTGGTCCTTCCTTCATACAAAGATTGCCATAGAAACTGCTTAGGTAGGGCAGTAGTATCCACACCATGGAGACAGTTGCTTGATTGGACTGTGGCAGGCACCCAGGCCCAAACTCATCCTGCCAGAGCCCTTCTTGGGTTGTTTTTTTAAACAGCTTTGATGAAATATAATTGATATACAAAAAGCTGCACATATTTAGTGTATACGATTTGATGGGTTTAAACATATGCATACACCCATGATATCTCACCACGATCATCATGGTAATAAACATATCTATCACCTCCAAAAATTTCATCGTACCTCTTTGTTGCTTTGTGTTTGGATTTGGTTTTGATTTTGTTGTGTGTGTATATGGTAAGACCACAATATGAGATCTAGCCTCAACAATTTTTTTAAGTAAACAATACTGTATTGTTAGCTCTACACATTCTTTTTTTTTAAAAATTATACTTTAAGTTTTAGGGTACATGTGCACAACATGCAGGTTTGTTACATATGTATACATGTGCCATGTTGGTGTGCTGCACCCATTAACTCGTCATTTAACATTAGGTATATCTCCTAATGCTATCCCTCCCTCCTCCCCCCCACCCCACAACAGGCCCCAGTGTGTGATGTTCCCCTTCCTGTGTCCATGTGTTCTCATTGTTCAATTCCCACCTATGAGTAAGAATATGCGATGTTTGGTTTTTTGTCCTTGTGATAGTTTGCTGAGAATGATGGTTTCCAGCTTCATCCATGTCCCTACGAAGGACATGAACTCATCATTTTTTATGGCTGCATAGTATTCCATGGAGCTCTACACATTCTTAAATGAAGAATTTCGAACCTTTGCGCACTGTTGCTGAGAATGTGAAATGGTGCACCCACCATGGAAAACAGTGGAGAATGCGTCAAAAAAAAAAAAAAAAAAAAAAAAGAGACTACCATGTGATCCAGCATTTCTGCTTCTGGGTATCCAAAAGAATTGAGACCAGTAGCCTGGCGCGGTGGCTCACACCTGTAATCCCAACACTTTGGGAGGCCGAGGTGGGTGAATCACCTGAGGTCGAGAGCTCGAGACCAGCCTGACCAACACGGAGAAACCCCATCTCTACTAAAAATACAAAATTAGTTGGGCGTGATGGATCATGCCTGTAATCCCACCTACTCGGGAGGCAGGAGAATCGCTTGAACTCGGGAGGCAGAGGTTGCAGTGAGCCGAGATCCCACCATTGCACTCCAGCCTGGGCAACAAGAGTGAAACTCCGTTTGAAAAAAAAAAAAAATGGAGAGCAGTATCCCAAAGAAATATCTACACTTTCACATTCACTGTTGCATTATTCACAGTAGTTTTTTTGGGGTTTCTCTGACTGAAAACTGAGGAAGAGAAGATGATCTTTCTTCTGGTGCAAAGTCAAGAAAATAAGTTTAGTGATGTAGGCATCACTTCCAAAGGGGGCAGAGTTTGAAAATACAAAAGATTGTATCCCAAGATACAGAGAAAATATATCTTGACCTAAGAAAAGCCAGTTTTATTTCTGGTGCGAAGAATGAAACTCACAAAGTATTTCAATGACTTGTGACCCTAAGCATGTCCCAGCACCCAGCACTGTATTAAATGTTTACCAACACGATATCAGAATGCATGGCAGTCTCACTGGACATGGAAGTCTGCCAACCACTCTGTTCCAAAGAATCTGTCAACCAGGGCAGATCTATCAATATCAGTGATCAATGTGATGATTATGGTCAGTAAAGCAGACTAGCATTGTTTAATGGGCATTTGTCCTTATGACCCTTGGTTTGGCTGACATCCACCCCATGCAAGTGGGAAGGCTGGACAACCTACAACTTTCAAAGGAGGCTGAGTAAAATCTTAGGGGCCTGACATCTGAGTCCTTTTCATAGCAGTGGGAATGCACATTCCCGACTTGGCCCAGGGGACACCAGAGACACGAGTCTTGACAAAGCGTACTAGAGAAATACTGGGTTTTCCAGTTGGTATTTTTGGTAGATTGACTGAAAAAATGGCCTCACTTATTCTTTTCCCAGAGTTTGTGACCTTGGCAATGTGAGTTTGTAGCTCTTCCTGTGAAGAAGTGGAATCTATTTCCCCACCCTTGAATCTGGGCCGACTGACTTACTTTTGCCCATTGATTATGACACAGTGATGGTATATCAGTTCTGAGCCTAGGGCTCAAGAGGCACTTTGTGCCTTTACTTACAATCTTGGAACCTCAACACCATGTGAACAAAGCCAGGCTAGCCTGCTGGAGGATGAGGGACCATGTGGAGGAAAGCCCACTCATCCCAGTCAAAGCCATCCCAGATCAACCAATAGCCAACAACCACCACCCCCCTAAAAATGTGAGAGAGACCAGCCAAGACCCCCAGAGCTGTCCACCTGACCCACAGATGACTCCTGGTGAATAAGTGAGCCCAGCTGAGACCAGAAGATCCATCCAGCTGATCCATGCTCAGAAGCCATAATACTTACTAGTTCAAGCAATTCATCTTTGGGGTGGGTGGCTGTTATGCAGCAACAGCTAACTGAGACACTATTTTTTTAAATGTTGAAGTCAGATAAGTGGCTCTGTGAAGGAATTTGCTGAACCTTCCTTAAATTATAGTATATCACACCTTAAAAGGGAAGCAGTGTCAGCTTCTACACCACATCGATCCAGTTAGACACCACAACTGCCCTCATGGGAATGAAGTAAAGCCATGTCTCACTGGCTGCAGGCCACTTCCCATTTTGCCTTCCATTGTGCCTCTTACTCTGTTCTCTTTTTCCTAAGTCTTGCTCACTTCATACCTTGATTCCTTCTTTCCATCTAGACCTTTAAGTATAGAGACCTAAATAATATTCTACCTTCTCAATATAGAAAGACAAAGAAATATGTGCTATATTCTAGAAAAATTTTCATTGACATTGGCTAACATAGTAAAAGTTTTACTACTTAAAAGAGTGAGTTCCAATCATTGGGCCCGTGAGGCAACATTGAACCTCTCTGTAAAGCAACTAGCACGTGGTATTCTTCCAATTCACAGTACATAACAGTGATCTGGAATGGAGCAACTGAGTACTGACTGACCTTCTATGTGCTTGGCGTTGTACCAGGTGCTGTGGGGAAGATACAAGAAGTAATGCAAACAGGCAAGTCAGTGTGAAGCCGGGAACCAAAGTGAGATCTCTGCCACATTCACTATTAGTTGGGCTCAAGGGATCATGTGAACCCATTTCTATCCCAAACACAGTCTGTTAACTTCAAAATCCTTTTCAACAACATTATGGAACATTTAGATGCCCTCTCACTACAGTCTCTGATTTCATAAGCCCACATCTTCATGAAATAGGGATGCTGTTTCTAGCTCCCTTAGGTTTCTGAGAAGGCAAAATTAAAATTCACTGATTTAAGAAATGGACTCTGTTTTATGCAAAAACACAAAGCCTGTCCCTGCACAGTCATGGTGTAGTGTCCCAAGGGAATATTCTATGTGTTTTTATTCAATTTTATGTGCATATCTCTGGTTGAATTTTCATGAGGTTTTATTTACTTTTTTTGCAAAGTCCAAATTCTCTCTGAGATACACCTTAATGAAGAGTAGCAAACCACTTATAAGGCTTATAATATGCTCTAGTAATGGGAATTAGATGTCATTATCTTTTGTGAAGGCAGCAAATGGTTGTCTGAATTGAGTTGATTTTGGTGATACATATTATAATGGAACAAATTACTAATGAAGTGCTAAATTACTGGAAACATCCTTGTTACTTATGAAACACTTTGGTTAATTAGGATGGGAAAAATAAACGGTTGAAGCACATTTTAATACCTCTTTTGAGGCCAGGTCAAAAGTGAACAGATGTGTAAACCCACAGCCCAGCCCAACATAGGCTTCCAACTACCTGTGAGAGATGCTCTAGGGAGGAGCTTCTGACCTTCCGAGTCCTGAGCAGACCTTGAATGTATCAGCAGATGCCCTTCTCTGTCTAAAATTAGAGGCATTGGCCAATCAGCCACTACCTATGTTTGTTTTTAATGAGCATGGAAAATACAGCTGGGAATAAAGGAAAATGGAGCTTGCAGGGGGTGGGGGGGAATATGGAGATAGAATAATAAGGGGATGTTTAATATTGTCTATTTTGAAATCTCTTACTTTTCAGAACACAACATAGCTGAGAAGCAAGGATGTTACTCAAGCCGTCCCTATTCACAACGTCCCTCTCCCATTTTTCTCCATTTCGTAGCCTTGTTCTGTGTAACTGGCTTCCAATCATATCACCTGTGCCCAAGTTCTTCTCTACTGGGTATACTTCTGGCTTATGAGTTTACAAACCAAACTCACCCTGCCCCACCCCACAGGACAGTTGAATTTCAGGCCCCAGCCATTATGCAGTAAATGAGGTACAGGAACAAAGTCAGAAGATCCCAGCTGCGGCCCAGAAACTGCCACTGGCTAGCCGTGCTGTTAGAGAAATCCACTTCACCTCTCTGAACCTCCATGGTCTACTAGGTATTGGTAATTTGAAAGATTAAAAACAGCAAGCTCCTTGCCCACAAGGAGCATTGTAGCTGAGGAAAGAGTCTTGAAAATAAATAATTATTAAGTTATGGGACACATATTAATAAAGCCTTAGTCAAAATGTTGTGAAAATATTGAGAACAGAGGAATTAACTGTGGCTGGGAGAGACCAAAGAAGAATGTATAGAGGAGAAGATGTTTGAGCAATACTCAAGGGTGAGTGGCTGCTAACCAGGAAGTCAAGAACTTTCAAGGCAGATAAAATAAATCATGCCAAGGTGTAGGATGAGCAGGACTGCATGACAGATGCCAGAAACTAAGCATGACCTTGAACAACTACACAAGTTACAAGTGGCCAGCAGTTAGGTTCAAAAGTAGACAACATCTAAGAAAGGATGGGCCTCTTCTGTCAGGCTAAGGAGGTTGCATTTAACCTATAGACAGCAAAGACTCATCAAGGGTTTTTGAACAGTAGGATTGTCAGACAAGACCAGTGCTTACAGGAGCACTCCGACCTACGTATGGCACATGGGTTGGAGAGGTAGGCTGTGGAAGCAGGGAGGTCAATGAGAAGAGTACTATGATAGGGCAGTTAAGAGACAGAAAGCAGTGGTGGTGCAGGAGGCAGAGCTCAGAGATTCATAGAATGAAGAACTGGGAGAACTTGGTGCTTAATTAGATGCAGGGTGTGTGGGAGAAGCAGATGTCAGATTACCCACAAAGGTTCTGGTTTGGATTCATTGATAGAGATGCAAGATCTCTGCGGAAAAGACTGAATGGGAGAAGATGAAAAGTGATTTCTATTTGGGACCATTTGTGTTTAAAGTGCCTAAGAGGAAGCCAGGTGAAGATACCTGTGGGCTGTAAGATATCCCACTGTGGAGCTGGGGATTTTGAGTTAATGGCACATTTGAGGGGCATCTATGGAGGTGATGGTTGATGTCATGAGTTGATGAGACCAGTCAAACAGAATGCAGAGTGAAAAAAGAACAAGATCAAGGACAGGCTTATATGGAAGGGGCAGTATTTAAAGACTTGGCGAAAGAGGAACCAGCAAGACACTGAGTAAGGGCTGTCAAGGAAGTGGGAGTTCCAGAAGAAGGGGGTCTCTGAAGCCTGAAGGAGAGTTTCCTAAGGAAGCAATGAGCAGCATCCAAGTGGCAAAAAATTCAAGCACTAACTGGGAAAGCGTTCATTGGTTTTGACAACTGGTGAGTTATTGATGACTTTGCAATAAGCGGTTTCTAGGAATGATACCTAAAAGATGGATTGCAGAAAGGCAAGGCAGGGTTACAGGCAGGCTGTGTGGTATTCGAGTCAGTGAGTATCGGCTACCTTTCAATGTATTTGCACTGAAGGGAAGAAGATAATTAAAGAGGTGGCTGGAGAACAACACAAAGTATAGCAGATTTTTTTTTATTTAAAGTGGAAGAGATTTTAAGCATATTTACAGTGAGAAGACTGGACACAGTGATGGCCAAGATTCCTTCCAACTCTCTTGTACTTTGCTTCTAAGAACAGAGGGGAACCATCTCCTGTTACTGGAGGAATTCCAATACAAGAAGAAATATGAGCTGGAAAATGCCAAGTTACTCGACATGGTTACTAGTGTTTCTGCCTGCCTGACCCTCTCTCCTTCCCCACACCAGGCCATTCTCATGAGCTCTGAGCACAATCAGTACTTTAGGGAGGCTCACCAGGGCCCAAAGGCATTTCAGCCTGTCAAAATTTACACCATAGATTCCTATCACATCCACCTTCTCATCCAGTATTGGCAGACAAAAGCTTCTCTGACCTCAAAGAGTCACCCAGAGAACTGCCTGGTATTCATCCAAGGTCCTGAAAGCAAGTGAAACCATGACCAGAGTCAAATGGAAAGCAAGAAGCAAGGGAGTATGGGTGGGAGAAGGAAAAAGAGAAGAAAGCTCTTGCAAAATTCATTTCCCTCTCTCTTAGGAGTTTCCAGCAGATCTTACATTAGTTATCTCTGCAGCTTTTCCCCTCCTGTTTGGTTTAACATTCCCAAGAGAATACCCAGTTGAACATGAACAACAGAAGACTTAAGCACTCAATCTATTTTAATCCTTTAGCAACATAGCTCTGAAATAATTTTTAGAAGGCGTTTAGACTTTCAGGAGGAAGAATCTTAACTTCAGTGAATTACTATTTATTGAGGCTTTGATAAATGTTTGTTTTTTTTTGCTGGCAGGCTGCTTTCTGTAGCTCATTAAAGTGAAGATTATCTCTGGAGGAAGAAAAGCACAAGTCTGGTTTTCAGCCTGGGTAACGGAGTGCTAGAAATACAAGTAAAAACTTCCACATGATCAGTTTTAATCTCACCTGCTGAGGTGGTTTTTTGCTACTTAATGATATATTTTGGAAATGGATGTGACATCAAAGGTCATCCATAAATAGAGCTCAGAGTGAAGGGAATGAAAATCACAAATTAGATTCATTTGTTGTGCTAGATAGGGAAGTTTCCAATCTTCATTCAATTTGTGACATAGAGAATCAAGCAATGGTTCTGGAGCCTGCCTTCTGAAGAGGAGGCTTGGGGGAGGCTCAGTCATTTTCGTGTTTGCTTGTTTTCTCTGTCCAGTCATGTGAAAAAAGTTGGCTGGGAGGTTTTTTCTTTATTATTGTTGTCTATGACACAATCGCTACATTATACTGGAGCCTTTTGAAAAGCCGGTGTACAGCTCAACTGCCCCATTACCATTGTGCTTGAATGGAACACGATGTAGCCTTAGGGAAGCCCAGGATTCTCTACAGTGGCATGGGAGAGGGGCTGCTGTCTTCAGAATTTTCAGAGAATATGCCAAAACCTGTACAGGCAACACGGAATTCTCAAGGGCCTCTGTCCTGTTTTTTATGCAAAGGATGAATCTCAGCTCTTGAAAATGCTGCTTTTGAAATCATGTAAATGATTACAGGCACCCTGACTTACAATGGTTCAATTTACATTTTTTTTTACTTTACCATGGTGCAAAAGCGCTATGCTTCCAGTACAAACCATACTTTGAGTACCCGTACAACCATTTTGTTTTTCACTTTTAGTAGAGTACTTAATAACATAAGATATTCAGCCAGGCACAGTGGCTCACGCCTATAATCCCAGCACTTTGGGAGGCCGAGGCAGGTGGATCACCTGAGGTCAGGAGTTCGAGAGCAGCCTGGCCAACATAGTGAAATCTCCTCTCTACTAAAAATACAAAAATTAGGCACACATGGTGGCAGGCGCCTATAATCCCAGCTATTCCGGAGGCTGAGGCAGGGGAATTGCTTAAACCTGGGAGGCAGAGGTTGCAGTGAGCCGATATTGTGCCACTGCACTCCAGCATGGGCAACAAGAGCGAAACTCTGTCTCAAAAAAAAATTGTTTAAATCATGAGATATTCAACTCTTTATTATAAAATAGGCTTTAGGTTAGATGATTTTGCCCGACTGTAGGCTACTGTAAGTGTTCTGAGCATGTTTAAGGTAGGCTAGGCTAAGCTATGATGTTTGGCAGGTTAGGTGTATTAAATGCATTTTTGAAGCAATGATATTTTCAACTTGTCAATTGGTTTACCAGGACATAACTCCATCATAAGTCAGGGAGTATCTGTACACCCTGGGAAATAGTGACCCAAGAAGTTTGTCTTCTGATACATTTCTAGAACTGAAATAACAAAGGTGAGGATGTTACACCCCAAATGGAGTTCCTCTCTGCCCAAATCTTGATAATCTTGATGTCATGGACAGAGCACAGCCTTCCAAACCAAAAAGTTCTGGCTTAACTCTTGCCCATGACACTGGCCAGCTGTACTGCAGAGCTTTCCTGGCCCTGCTTACTCATCTATAAGATGGGGGAAAATAGGGCATAGCTCACAAGTGGTGAAAAGAATGATAGAAAACAATTCAAATGAATTTTCATTAACAAATCTTTCTTGAGTGCTTACCATGCATCAGGCACCAGGCACTGTTCTAGATACATAGGATAGAGCAACAGTGAGCAAAACTGATTGTGGCCAGGTGCAGTGGTTCATGCCTGTAATTCCAGCACTTTGGGAGACTGAGGCAAGAGGATTGCTTTACCCCAGGGATTTGAGACCAGCTTGGGCAACATAGCAAGACTTCATTGCTACAAAAATCAAAAAACAAAAAATTAGCTGGGTTTGGTGGTGTGCGCCTGTAGTCCCAGCTACTCAGGAGGCTGAGGTAGGAGGATCACTTGAGCCTGGGAGATGTAGGTTGCAGTGAGCTGAGATTGTGCCACTGCACTACAGCCTAGGCAACAGAGCCAGACCCTATCTCAAGGCCAAAAAAAAAAAAAAAGAAAGAAAGAAAACTAATGCATGCAAACTGCTTAGCACAGTGCCTGATCACTGAAATGACCAACATACAGGTCTGAGCCCTCATGTCAGACTAATGCTTTGCTTCTAGAAAGTCTGGTCTAAATCCATGATCTATCTCTGAAATCATTAGACTCAGCCATCAAAACTTATTGAAAGCAATATAACTACAGGACTAAACCAAGATTGCGGTGCCTTATAGGAGTCTCTAAACTTTTCTGCTCCTTTGGGATGAATAGTAGGCAGAAACCATAGCCCATCTTGCTGAAAGATGGGTTGCGTTATTGGGGTGTATGGGTTGCAGGCAATGCCACCCCTAGGCATGATGAATCAAGGTGTTTGGGACTCCACCAGTAAAAGGAGCTAAGCATTGCTGAGTAATAATAGTGGAGGTCATCATCTAAGAGGGAAAGAGGTGAACTACATCTGTTCATAGGTGTATAGAAATCAGGCTGTGACTCATCTTCCTTAGTACCATTGAGCCAGTCACAAGAGGTAGGTCGTTCCAACACACACACAGCACACTTTGTATTTATGTTCCAAGCACTGTTCTAGATCCCAGGGATACGGCAATCACATAAACTCTCTTTCACACCCTTGATATATTTATGGGCTAGAACAGGGTCTACAACCTTTTTCTGTAAAGGGCCAGGTAATAAATACTTTAGGATTTATGAGCTACCCCATCGTTGTTGGACTTCCTCAACTCCATTCTTGTGTAGGGAAAAATGCCAGCCCTATATACTGTGTAAGTGATTGTGCATGGCTGTCATCCAATTAAACTTTCTTTACAAAAACAGGTGGCAGGCCAGATTTGGCCAGCAGGCTTTAGTTTACTGACCCTTGATCAAGAGAGGAAGACAAATATGTTACCAGATAAGGACAACAAAATGTGAAAAATGCTATGATAGGGATAAGCAGGGAATGGGTACTGCTATGGTCTGAATGTTTTTGCTCCTCCTCCAAATTCATATGTTTAAACTTTATTACCATGGCAGCAGTATTAAGAAGTGGGGCCTTTGTGGGGTGATTAGGTTATGAGGGTTCTGTCCTCATGAATGAGATTAGTGACCTTATAAAATAGGCCTGAGGAACCTGTTTGGCCCTTCCAACCTTCTACCACGTGAAGACAAAAAATTTGCCCCTTGCATCATATGAATACTCAGCAAGAAGGTGCCATCTAGGAAGCAAAGAAGAGGGCTTCACCAAATACTGAATCTGCAGGCCTTTGATCTTAGACTTCCCAGCCTCCAGAACTGTGAGCAATAAATTTGTTGTTTATAAATTACCCAGTCTAAGGTATTTTGTTTTAACAGCACAAATGGACTAAGAAAGGTACCTAACCTGCCTGGGGGTTTCAGGTAAGCCTTCCTGTTGAGGAGCTGGTCTTGCAATTGAGTGTGGGGAGGGGGGGATGTTTCTCATTTCTTTGCCCTCTCTGAAAGAGCAGACCCTCTGAGGACCACTACTTTTCAGTTTGGAAGACTATTGCAAAAGTCAGGGGAGAGAATATGAAGACCTGAATTGGAGCAATAATTTTAGGAATGGAGCAGAGGGGAAGATTTCAGGACTATACTATTTTACAGGTAAAATGGACAGGTCATGGTGATAGAATATGGGGAAGGAGGAAATTGAAGTGTGTCAAGAGTGGTTACCACGTTTCTGACTAGGGTGGTTGGGCAATTTTCATCAAGGCAGGGAATTCGGAAGAAGCATGATTTTGAGGTAAGAGGATAAGGTTTTATTTCTTTGCAGAAAACCGAAGTGGACGAGTCCAACAGGTGGCTAGATATCCCTGAGTCCTGATGCTGTCAACCCAGCTATTAGTAGAAACTCCTAACTGGCCTCCCTGTCCCCTGTCTTGCCCCCCTTATATCAACCCATCCTCACTCAGCTGCCATGATGTTCAATCTGAAACACCAATCTGACTGTTATTCCCCAGTTAAATATTCTTCAATGATTGTCCATCCTCTATAGGATAAAAATTTGATGTGTTACCTTGCCATGGATGGTTCTCTAAAGCTGGCCCCTGCCAACCTCTTCAGCCTCATCTATCACTGCCTGCTTCCCCTGAGCTCCTCCGCAAGAAGTCAGAGCCGAGCCCAGGCCCAGGCGAGGGGTTTGATGATTCAGTGCAAATAAGGAGTGCTAAGTCTGTGCCTTTGGAAATTGGACCCTTTCAACATGAGCAGAATTAGAAATGCTTATCCTCAGTTGCAGAAATAGAATTTCAGTTTCAGCCCAGGAATCCTCAGCAAGGCTATAAAACTCAGACTGGCAAACAGGTTATTACAGTCAAGCCCCGTCACCAACATGCCCTGCACCTTCCACGTTTCCAAAATTTGCAGAGGAAAGAAGAACACCATCAGGAGTGAAGCCTCCTCTCCCATTCTTTTCTCCCATTAGCTATACCTGGTGAACTCAAGGCACCAAGGACATAAAAACGAACTCCTCTTCCCATAAACTCCTGGGACCCCATTAAACATAAACTGCCTAGCATTCACTTCACTGCTCCTGAAAAAGGAACGGGATCGATTTTTCTCGGCTGGGGAGCAAAGGCTCACGATCTGGAGCTGAGGTTTAGACTCATCAGACATCTCTTCAGAAGAGGATTCACTCTCTGTGAGGCTCCTGGCATTCACTGCTGACGTTTAGCTTGTCAAATCAATGCTGAGGGGAGCAGCATCCTCCTCAAAGATTACAGGTCAAAGGAACAAAAAGAAAAATTTTTAGAGAAGCATTTACAGAAAGGATGAGCCCCGACAAGAGGCTTGTTCTAGCTGAGCAGAGACACACAGTTGAGGAAAAAGAAATCTTCCAGCCACCTGTGGAATGTTTCTACCTTTATTTTGCATGCAGGGAGGATTTGCCTGTTTACCTGGAGGTTGAGTTACCAGCACTATGAGAGAAAGGGTGATTTCAGGCCATCTTTCATGGTTCAGTACACTGCACATCTTTCTCTCTTGGTGTAATGATTCCAAAGAGCCTTTGCCATTCCCATTTGTTCAACATTAAACGACTTTTAGCAATGAGAGTGGTGCCCCTGGGATGAAAGCTGTTAGCTTGGCCATGACTCCGGCACCTATGCTGGCCCTTCCCCTCCAAGGTGTTCCTTTTTCATAGTGTCTTTGACCCAGCCTTGACTCGAGGCACCACATGCCCACAAATCTAGCCTCAGGAGAAATCGGTCTGAGTAAAAACATCTGTTTCACCTTCACTCTCAGGCTCAGTTTTGTCCCTTTATGGACAGATGGGACTTACTGCCCCCAGACACTGCTGTCCTCAGCTGTGTGGGACATTCAGTAAGGCTTATTTCTTTGCATAAGCAAGGATTTTAGAATTCATTTCCCCAGATTTTTTTCTTACAAGAACTAATAAACATTTTTAAATGTCTGTAAATTTCCAGAACAAATATGTATCAGGAGTTTGATGATAGCCTCTACTGCACTGTGGGTAGCTAGCAATTTTAAGGTCAGTGAGAGGAAACAGTGGAATTGGACACACAGACGTTTGCCTTCACACCTAATCTAAGTCCTGTTCTGCTCCTTGATGCTATTCCTTCATTGTTATTTCTTCCGCTGCCTTTCCGTGTGCTCTGGTGAATGTGTAGAAAATTCCAGGCAGCAGGAGGATTTTTGCTGCAGTGTACTGCCAGTGCCATTGCCTGGATCATTAATTATCACTGCTAGTGAAAACATGGAATTGGACAATTGGTAAAAAGTAATTATTTACCATCTGTTATAGGTTCTCACATGTAGTTACTTAACAATGGAAGTGACTGTAAAGTAAAGGTAATGATAGCAGAAAAGTGAATGGCGGACAACACCAGAAAAAAGATTTCATCCTTCTAACAGTGGACACTGCTCTTTCTTTCTTTCTTTCTTTCTTTCTTTCTTTCTTTCTTTCTTTCTTTCTTTCTTTCTTTCTTTCTTTCTTCCCTTCCTTCCTTCCTTCCTTCCTTCCTTCCTTCCTTCCTTCCTTCCTTCCTTCCTTCCTTCCTTCCTTTGTTCCTTGATTATCTCTCTCCCTTCTTTCCTTCTCTTCTTCCTTCTCCTTCTCCTCCTCCTCCTCCTTCTCTTACATAGCTGAAGTACACTAACCATCCATTTGTTTGCTCAAACCTCCTCTTGAGTGAACCTTTCTAGAAGTCCCTGGATTCCCTCTTGTAGGCTACCCTAGCAATATGTGAGCATGTTTGTCTCTATTTGGGCATATGTCATGTTATATCATAATATTTTGTTTTCATGTCACAGCCAGGTCTTTTGTACATCCCACTTACCTGTCTGCTTACTCACTGAATCATGAAATCCTGAAGCAAAGAGATGTTTGTCTTTCCAGTGCCCACATGGTACCTGACATGTAACACACATTTACTAATTTTTTTAAGGAAGATATACATGAATTTCCCTCTCTGAATCAAACCATTTAAAACCCAAATTATTCATCAACATAAAATGTTGAAGTTGATCATCAGTGTTGATGGGAAATTTAATAAGTTTTTCTAGAGGGAAAGACCCCTGTCCTTGGCTCCTTATCAACTAGAGCCCCTGGGTACAATTCCCATTGGTATTTAGGCTCCTTCATTGTAAACAAATGGACAAGATTTACAGATCCAAGTACCAGAGTAGTTCTGAGGCTGTTGTAAGTGGGCTCCCTCACATACCTGTTTTCCCTTTATTTGTGTTATAAGGGGATGGATATGTAGAGAAAGGAGCTCCTCCCCAAAATATCATCATTCACTCATCCATTCATTCAGTACTTATTTCTTGAGTGCCTATTATGTGCCAGGTACTGTGAGAGGTGATGATGAACACACACTTTGAAGTCTTTCTTTTCAATGCCTCAGTCTACTAAGGGGAACATCTTATTAAAATATTTGTAAATGATGGTATAGCAGCCTAACTTTGATACCTAGTAAGGTATAAGGTACTGGGAGAGCACAGAGAAGGAGAAAGATCTTGATTAACTGTATACTAAGCAAGCAGAGCTGTGAAATGGATTGTAGGGTTGCCAGGCTGGACTTGGGAAGCTGAGGCTGGAATCCGTGCATTATCTGTTTATAAAATGAACAGGTCAAATTTGTTAGGAAGCACCATGCGTGAGGCCAGACTGTAGAGAGAGACACAATTTCAGGGAAAGTTCCCTGGACTCCCAGGGAAAGATAGCACAGCTGAGTTGGGCATACTGCCTGGGAAATGTCCCTGTACCCCTTTCATTCAGAATGTCCAATAATGCCTAGCATGGTCACTAAGGACTACTGAGAGAAGGCTGCCAGGAGGGTATGTTTTATAGAACATCTTGAGCCTCTGGAGTTATTTTGGCCTCCCTCCCACTTCCCCTTTACCTTCCCTTCCATAGAAAGGTGCTGGTGATAAGCATTGGGGTCCAAGAACATAATTTAACCTGAGTTCTCGATCTCTCCAGCTTTCTGAAGGATCCAAGTCAAGAAACGCTTTGCAATTTACAACCCCTACCTTGTGGTACTGCCAAATCTTTCTTAAGAAGGCTGTTTTATATTCCCTCTTGAGTTTAGTATGCCATGTTTCCCTTCGTATATTAAAAGATGAAAATCAAGGTGATGGACATGTTCCCTTAGTACCAGAGTCAGCTGTCAAGTTTCGCTGGTTGACTTTATCTCCTCCTACAACACTTCATTGCCAGTATGATCTTCACAGGGAGAACCTAGGAGAGTACATATGTCTCTCTCACTTTTTTCACCTGGTGAGCTACCTGGGAGGTGACCAGAAAAAAAGAAAGTGAAATTCATACACAAGTGGGTCCAAAATACTGTTGATTTTATAAGATTTTAATGCTGTACTGAACTGAGAGAACAAATTGTGTTTTATATTTAACTCCAGCAAGAGACTTTATGCTTAATAGGTTTTTTAATACAGTTTGACCTAGTACTGTCAAGAGAAAAACTACATTTGTTCCCACCTTACATTCAGGATGTGATTTCTGCAGATAAATAATTTGCAATGCAGTTTCTATTACTAAGCCAGTGTTTCACACATCTGTTTTATGTTTCATTAATGGTACAACAAATGAAACCATCAACCATCCTGCTTCTCTACATTAATTCAATGTATAAGAAAAATGTGTGATGACTCTAGACAGTAAGGCCAATTACCATGTCAGGGAAATCTACTAGTTTACTTATGGATCTGCGAAGGCTGCCAAAGCACAAATCACCACCCCAGCAAATGGCTATCCAAGTTCCCATTTAAATGAAGAAGGAGCACCATGGTCTAATCCACAGCAGAGCAGTTTAGAACCCATTAAGTACTAATTTAACTTAATATCCAGTACCAAACTGATGATGAATAAGTCAATTGGAATGGGAAGTAATGGCAGGAGACAGGCATCTTGAGGAAGGTGGTGGAGGGGCTTCCCAACCTTCTTAAAAAAGAGGCTGTCTTGGGCTGGACCAAAGAGACCGTGTTATTTTCTGTAGTAATGAGTATAAGAGGAGCACGTTATACACATCCCTCATGCTACACAAGTATTGCAAAAGACCTAGAAGGATGGGGCACTCGGTTGGCTTGGGTTGCAAAGAAAATCAAGGGTTGAGCCAAGTTCTCAATTCTGAATTTAGTATGGGCTTTACCCATTCTTCTTCATATACAGGCATGATGTCTCTGAGGTGCTCTGTAGATCATTTCCCTTGTATCTATGTTCCAACAATAATAACACTTTTGTACTAGGAAGGTCACATCCCTTCATTCAGCTTTTCTTCTAACAAGAATGTACACTTATTGGGGGTTGGCTTAGACTATGGAATTGGAGTGATCTGGTTTGGACTTGGGGGACATAGCTCTGCGGAGAATATCTCAAGCCCACCCACTTCACTGGCTCCTTTTCCTTCAGTTCCCTTGAATAGAGCCTTTCATGATGCCTACTGCTGATTTCTAACATCCTGAATGGCTCTATGTGTGGTACTTGCCACCCACTGACATCCTGCTGACTCTTTTATCTCAGAATATTTTATAAGGTCCTTTGTGATTGGGTGCAGAAAAAAAGTCAGAGTCGCAGTTTTTACCTTCTTTACATTTGATTGCAACATGACTGTGATGCATAACATGTTAATGAGGGATGTTGAGAGGGAAGTGTGTGGATCTGAGTGGTAATGCTGGAGGAAAGATATCAGGGGAACCCAAGTCTAGATGAAACTTAAGAGTTGACCTGCCAGAGCCAGGTGTCATAATATACCAAGGAGCACAAAAGAGGGGCATCAAATCTAACCTGTCCTGAGGGATCGTGATTAGGAAATGTTCCCAGGAAAAATATGATAGTTGGCCAAATAAGAAGTATGAAGGTTGGGAAGGTATTAGAGGCAAATATGATGGTATCAGAGAAGCATGGCGTGAGAAACAGCATGGCGGGGCTGGTGGCCTCGAGTGTAAAATTCAGGTAGGAAATAGCAAACATGGAGCCCAGAGGAGGAGAAGGGGTGAATTTGTGCAAGGCCTTGTATGCAGTGGTAAGGAGGCTGTGCCTTATTTAACAAGTAACAGGAAGTACTGACTGGGTTACATAGGGGAATGAAGGAACAAGTGCAGTTTCAGGATGTGCTGGATGAACCTGGAGTAACAAGCCAGGAGGCAGGGAGAGTGACCAGGAAGGCACATACAGTCGTCTGGATAGGGGATAAGGAGGGCCCAAACTATGACTGTGAGGTTGGGATGAAACAGAGAATCATGAATCATTTAAGAGGATTGGGGTCTCCAGTAGTCTAGGAGGGGAGGAAAGGCACCTGTGACAGGCAAAGGCCATGGGCACTCCCTTTGTAGCAAGTTACTGAGAGATCAGAACTGGGATTCCAGGGACTATAATAGCCAAGGCCCAGGTCAAACCAGCAATACAGAGGACCTAGTGCCCAGACAGGAGGCCTTCCTCCACCTCAGCCAGCACTCTTTGCCCACTGCTGCCATGAGTTTGAGTTGGTCTGGAACCAAGAGGAGCTGGTGGTGTGGGAAGTGGTGAGGTCAGCAAGTCTGGGAGTAGAAAGCGAGGGAGGCCAGAGGCAGGAGAAAAAGGCTGGAGCTGCAGATTCAGGCTGCAGATGGTCTGTCACTTCTATCTCCTGCTGCTCTGGGAGAGAACCCTGAAAATCAGCTCCAGTGCATGGCACCTGCTCAATGCCCTCCTCTGACTGCAGCACACAGGTTAGGCCTCATACACCCTGACTCCTCACCAAGGATGTCCTGGCAAAAAAAGATCACATGATGGTACCAGCAGCTAGCCCAGACCTGACTTTTTCAGAGACAATAGGGACTTGACCACTGTTACCCCAAAATCTACAAGGATCATTCACTTGTGTTGTCATTCTCTAAACATTTACTGTGGCTTACAATGTGCCCAGCACTATGCCATCAGGCATTACAGGGTATGCGATGCCACAAAGAAGATTTGGATGTGAAACTTACCCTTAAGGTCAACTGCAGATATTACAGTCTGGTGGGGGAAACAAGGTAGGCACAGGAATGACTATGAAACAATGTTCAGATCTGCTAGAGAGTGAGACATAAGTTACAGACATTCTAAGGAGGAACCTGTGGAAATTTAGGGAGCTAAATTTTCTGTTGTGGACATCCCAGAGGTCCAGGGAAGAAATGGCCATTGAACTGGCCCTTGATGAACAGGAAGAACTAACCATCCTGGTGGAAGAAAATGTCTAGAAAACATCAGAAATAGGAAGGCTCGGGAAAGGATCATTGAGTAGATGGGCTTATTTACTATGAAGGGGACAAAAGAAAGTTGAGGGGAACAGGCTGAACGGTGGGCCCAAAGGACACGAACAGTCAGACTGCATGTCTGGACTTGATTCTGCCAGCTGCAAAAAAAGCCAGTGGGTCATTTTGAGCAAAGAATGATATTTTCAGGAGATACCCAGAGAAAGCTGGTTTTTTGCTCATGACTTAGCCCTAAACCATGAGAAATGTCCCACTCCTTAATTTTCCCCTGCTCTGGCTATAAATGCCAATACAACAGTTGCCTGGCTATAAATGCCAGTACTCCTTTTAAGCTTGCAAAAACCCAGTTCTGCTTTGAATATGGTGAGCTATTGACTGACTTAAGTATCTCCTCTTTTCTTTCACAGGAATGCCTTTTGTGCCTAGCTGATAAGTCTAAAAGGACATATGCTCAGCAGGTGCCAAGAGCAAGCCATATTTGGGGATGTAGAGCGTTTGTGGAAATTAGAGCTCAATAATATATATGAAGAACTGTTGTGTAACAAGCACAATGAAATATTCATCTCATTCATAAGGTTCAGAAAAATATAATAAAAGTCCCCCAGGGACAACCTGCGATATTGGAGAAATGTTAATGTTGTCTTCTGATCTCAGAATGCACACATCGGTCTTAAAATAGAACACCCTGAAGGTGACAGTGATCTTATAGGAAAAGGCAAAAGGAAAAGGACATGGGGCAGGGATTCCTAATACCTGACAACAAAGCTCCAGCTGTCACTGGGCTAAGAGGCAACCACCAGGGTCAGGCCATGGATCTCAAAAATGGGAAGTGAGGAAGATGAGGACAGCTATTCCTCCAAGATCAGTTGAGAAAAAGGATTACATTTTCCTCCTTAAAGTTCTCTTTTTATTTATTGGATGAAAATTACCTTCATCCAGGATTTAGATTCCTTGTCTCTGATAAGATCATTTAAACCTTTATCTGTTCAAAATTTCTTCCATTTATTCTATTCTTTCTCTGTAGTTAGGTGTCATGTTTGTAAACTGGATGCCCCAGGCCTTACTGGACTGCACATAGAAAAGATGTCTTATTAATCCTAACAGTATAAGACTCCCTGCTCATATGGTCCTCCAGCCCTCCTGAGAAGTGCTCCAAGCATGTTTCAGAATCACCATGAACATGTGCTCATAAACTTCCCTGTCAGCCTCCATCACCTACCACCAGATACTCACACCAGTGTTCTCTGCATGTGAGGTAGCTTGAAGTCATACCCTTGCAAGTGCCAATTAGACTTTCCAAAAAAAAAAAAAGTTGAAGCCAAGGGTGCTGCTGTTAAATGATCCCCAAATCTCCATGCCTCAAGGTGCCAGATAGGTGCTAGGTAGCTGATATGGTTTGGTTCTCTGTCCCCACCCAAATCTCATCTCGAATTGTCATCTCCACATGTCGATGAGGAACCTGTAATCACATGTCAAGGGAGAGAGGCGATTGGATCATGGGGGTGGTTTCCCCCATGTTGTTCTCATGATAGTGAGTTCTCACAACATCTGATGGTTTTATAAGTATTTAACATTTCCTCTTGCCTGCTGCCATGGAAGATATGCCCGTTTTCCCTTCTGCCATGATTCTAAGTTTCCTGAGGCCTCCTCAGCCATGTGGAACTGTAAGTCAATTAAACCTCTTTCTTTTATAATTACCCAGTCTCAGGTAGTATTGTTTATAGCAGTGTGAGAATGAACTCATACAGTAGCACATCAAAGTGGGAAACATGGCCTTCCATGGCTCCATGCCCCCTTTTTCCTGCTCTGCCTGTAATAACAATTCTTATGCCCAAATAACACAACTTTTCTTCAGCTTCTCTCTTATCCCTTGTTCCCAAGGAGTAGGGTGGGGGATAAGACAGGATACCATCCTATCCCATCCTCTGTATTGTCTTCATGTCTATAATCTCCCTATCCTGTATCCTAGGTTAAAAACATTAAACATCAAGTTCATGAAAATTTTTTAAAAAGACATATACACTCATACACACATGCCATCTTCTTCCTTCCTCCATGTCTTAGTTTGTTTCTATATCAGAATACCTGAGACTGAGTAATTTATAATTCTGGAGTTCTAGAAGCTGGGAAGTCTAAGACTGAGGTGCCAGTGTCTTGGGAGGGAGTTCTTGCTGCATTATCAAGTGAAAAGGCAAGAGATGGAGAGGGATAGTGTGGGCAAGAGAGGGCAAAATTACTCCTATGATAACAGCCTTATTCTATTTGTGAGTGTGATGCCCCTGACCCAAACACCTCTTATTAGGCCCCAACTCTCAACACATTGGGGATCAAGTTTCCAACACATAAACTTTGGGAAGACACATTCAAATGATAGCACTTGATCTTCTACCAAAAAAAAAAAGCGTATCAAGTAATGTAGATAATTGAGATCAAAAAGCCTCTCAGCTCCACAGTCAACTCTAAATTCCATGCAGGGCTGATCTAGGCTTCCCTGCTACAAGATCCCCCCACCTTGTCAGAAGGCTGGTTTTCTATAATCATTTATAGTCTAAAACCAGTTTTCACAATTGGCACTCCTCTGGTATCAACTGTTGAAATCTGTTTGCCAAAACACTGCCTCATGCAAGGCTCCAATTTGTTGCTGAATTGCTGCTCTTTGTTGTGAAAGGACAGTTTACCATTTTGGGCAAAGAACTGGGTTTATAAGTGTTTATATAGCAATTTGTAGAATAGCATTTTAAGATGACTTCAGCAGTTAGCTGTCAGGACAATATTTGCCTTCTGCAGAGCAATGAATTGGAACAAGCATGAGCTTTGGTGTCAGATAGACATAGGTTTGAATCTCAGCTCCGCCAGTTACTGTCTGTGAGAATTTAACCCTTCTGAGACTCAGACGTGAACTACAGCCAATAAAATATTGTCATGAGGATTAAATTAGAAGACATACGTAAGGCTCCTAGAGTAAAGGGACTCTATAAATGGTGGCTACCATTATTTATGTTATTACTAAATCATATTGCCTAAGGCTACAGAAGAAAAACATTTCTAAACACTTAGGGCAAACCAAGAACGTACATGGATGGCACTTACATGTCTGTCTCTACTTCCACACTCACAGCAAACATTATTAATTAATAACCATACTCTTTCCTGCTGAGGTGAAATGTGGCCTCGGAATCCTCAACACAGTGTCACAAGCAGTCACTAACTACTTCTATTTATTTTGTAAATAAAATACAGAAGGCCCAGTTACAGTTGAATGTTAACCAGTGAATTTAGTATAGGTCTGTCCCATGTAATATTTGGGATATACTTACACTAAAAATACATTAAAGATTATTTTACTAACATTATTCATTGTTCATTTGAAATGCAAACATAACTGGGAATCCTGTATTCTATTTGGCAACCCTTATTATAGTCTGCACCTGAGTTGGAGTTGACTTGCTATCTCTGACCTCTACATTAATCATCACTTCAGGCAGTAGAATGATTAAAACTCGGTTCTAATTAGTTTTAGGGGTAGCTATTAGATTATGTAGCTTGGAATTACATCAGGCACTGATGGATTCAAGAGCTTAAACAATAGGTGAGGTCTCTAGCCCTCTTTTCAGCCCTCAGTCCCACTTCCCTGTTGGCTTCTTCTACAGTCTAGCTCTTTCCACCTGACAAAGAGGAAGCCTCCCCCGATGGCAGATTTATTTATTCCCAACTTAACGACGAGGGAATTTCCATCTCTCAACTTCTCTGTAGCACTTCAGGGCAACTCTGATTGGCCTAGTGTGGTTTCTGCACCCATCTCTAAACCTGTAACTGTTGCTATCAGGACAGGCCTAGACTGGACCACGGGTCTGTGCCTATGGTGGGGGTTGGATTAAGATACCTAGCTGGGTAGTCCCACCAGGATCATTTGGCATGGGATGGGTACCATTCTCAAAAGAAGCAGGGTGTCAGGCAGGAAAAAAACAACAGGGTCCATTTCCACCCTGTATTGTATAATCCAATTAGAGAAAGACTTCAATATATAGAAGGTCAAAATCTGCAACTGAGAAACAAATATGTAATAAACCATAGTAAACCCAAGGTACTAGGGCATTTATGAAGACAAAAAAATAGTAACCTGTCATAACCAAATAGTTTATTGCAAGAAAGATGCAGGCAGAGAGAGAGAGAGAAAGAGAAAAGAGAGAGAGGGAGAGAGTTGTTGTGAGTGATTCACAGAGACAGTAAGAATTGCTAGTAAATGCTCCTTAGGGAAACATTTCTGACTCAGTATTGGTTTTCAAATAGTTTCAAAGCATGGGGAAAAATTCCACGGTTTCCTCACATCATTGAAACACCTGTCTGTCAGAACCCAAAAAGTTGACTATGAAAGGTACTTAAAGAGTCATTCCCCTTGCAATGTTTATAGCTGTATAGAGAGTAAATGCAAGGGTATGCAGGAGACTGTCAGGGTTTGAATCCCAGCTCCACCACTTGCCTGCTGATGAACTTGGACACACTGACTAATACATCCAGCATTTCTGCACTGGGGAGCTGCTGCTGGGACAAGGGCCCCTCCTGGGGAGAGGCAGGGATGTCTTGGGTAACAAGGTCTACAGCCAAAGAAAGTCTCCACAGAAAGGGGCTATGGGCAGGGCAGGAAATAAAACACAAACAGACCACCTATTTAAGAAAGTAAGCTTACCCTATCCCCATCCCCATCCCCATCCCCATCCCCATCCCCATTCTTGTGTGGAATCCCAGGATCTCATGGAACACTTTTTATGCACACCATCTATAACAAAAGATAAGTGTCCCAAGAGGGGTATATTTAAAATGTTATAGGGAAACAGAGAAGAGATGAAGGTGAGGGGGAGGGGAATAAGGCCAGAGGAGCTTGAAGATGTGTTCACTGAAAAAAAAGATGAGATCTAAGTGTGAGTTTGAAGGATGACTATGAGTCCCCCAAACAGAAAAGAGAAGCAACAGCCCAAGAAAACACAGAAGCATGAATATGCATGGCAACATCTTCCAACATTTTTGACTCTTAAATCTTACATTTTCACCTGTTACACACTCAAAGGCTCTCCTGTTCTGTTTTGAAAGAGAAAAATAGGTAAATAATTTTGTGTATTGATTTGTTTAGAAATTAGGAATTAAAATAGAAACCATCACCTCTTCCAATGACATATATCTCCTGGAGCATCATTGTGAATCCTGGAATGTCTGGACAACATGTCAAGAAGAAACTAGAGGAGCAAAAGGGATCAGGGCTGCAAAGTCTTATGTGTTATGCAAGGCATGTGGACTTTATGTGATAAACAAAGGGGAAGCAAGGAAGGTTTTCAAGTAGAGGTTTGACCAAATGTGGTGCTGTGAAATGGAAAGTTACTTTTTCATAATATTAGTAACTATAGCTGTCGTGGGCAGCTTCTAAGATGGACCCCCAGTGAAACTCACTCCCTTGTGGTCCACCTTTGTATGATCCTTTTCCCCTTGAATGTGGTCTATACCTAGTGACTTTCTTCTGATAAATAGATTATAACAAAAGGAGTTGAATGCCACTTCTGAGATTATTACAAAAAGACCATGTCTCCCGTCTTGCTGGCCCTCCCTTGCCCTCTTGCTTTCTCACACTGATAGAAGCCAGTTGCCATGTTTGAGCTGCACAATACAGAGGTTCACATTTCAAGAAATTGAGGAAGCCCTCCAGTCAACAGCTGGGGGAAACTGAGTCCCTTAGTCCAGCAGCCCACAGGGAACTGACTCTTTCCAACAATCACAAGAGTGAACTTGGAAGCAGATCCAACCTCAGTCAAGCCTTCAGATGAGACTGCAGCCCCACCAACACCTTGATTATTAGCCTTGTCAGAGACCCTGAGGTAGAGACACATAACTTAGTTGTACCCAGATCCTGTGCCACAGACAATATGAGATCATAAATGTTGGTTGTTTTAAGCCACTAAGATTTGGGAAAATTCGTTCCACAATAATATATAATTAATACAATAGCTAATATTATTTAGTTCATACTCCCTGCCAGACACCTTGTTAGGCACCATGTGTGCATTAACAATCTCATCCAATCTTTGGGGGAAACTGTATGAGGTAGGATAATGATGTCATTTTATAGATAAGCATCCTGAGGCTTAAGCCTAGTTAAGGAACCCTTCCAAGCTCATATAGGTGGCTAAGCTAGGATTCTAATTTTAATCTTTCTCGTCCTAGAATGCTAGTTCTGAACCACTACACTGTAGTTTGTCTTGAATGCAGCAGAGTGTTGTGGGAGTGGGGAATCATGTTGGAGATGGGGGGCAAGAAAGGCATTGACTTATAGAAAGTCCCTCATTGAGACTAAAGAAAGTTGGAGGACAGTAAGTAAGAGCTGATAATTTCATTGAGCCTAAAGAAAGTTGGAGGACAGTAACTAAGAGCTGATAATTTCATTGAGCCTAACGGAAGTTGGAGGAGAGTAACTAAGAGCTGATCATTTCATTTCACTTTTAAAGGCTATTAAACACAACATATTGTAGTGGAACTAGTGACCTTATTAAAATATTTACTGGCACATTACTACTTGATAAAATTATGAGTTAATAAATCTTTTTACACCTGCGAAGGTATAACAAACCATTCATCTGAAGGAAAATCATCTGGTTGCACTGACTGACTCATTTCAGGATATACTAACATCTCTAAAAAGCCAATGAGAGACTTGGGGAAGAAAGACATCTCTATAAGCCTGCCAGTACCCTCTAATCCAGAAGCACATAGCAAGACATCCTTTAAGCCAGCCCACCTATCCACCCATTCCTCTCACTCACCCTTCATCTGTTCCTCTGGCAGAGTGTTGGGAATGCCCTCTTTGGCCAAAAGTATCTTCACAGTTACCTGGGAAAAACAGGTGATTGATAGGGGTACAGAAATGTGAGAGATGAAAGCAAAGGAAAATTATCTGCCCTCAGTTTTGCTGGTACAATGCAAAACCTTCTTTCAGAGAAGACCAGCAGGCTTGGCATGAGAGGGAGACATCCAAGCCCTTAACAACAGGTGCAGATATACAGGCAGCGGAAGGAGGGGATGGGCACGTTCAAGATGGCTTCAAGATTATTAAAAAAATATCGTGTCCCCTGTCTTGCTGGCCCTCTCCAGCCCACACGTAGGCATCTCCTTTCTCAGTGAAAGAATATACTAGCCTTTATCAGCCTCTTGCTTGAATCCCTTCACAATCTCCTTTCTCCCACTACTCATCCATTTCTCCTTATCCTCCAACTTAGGAGCTCTTTGTTTTTCCTTCATGATCTCTGACTAAATGGCTGTTAGGCAATTTTCCAGAGACACCCCAGAATCAGCTGTGCATTGTAAATGAAAGGTACAAGGAACTTTTGACTGACTAGGATAATTAGAGAGAAGGAGGCATTGGTTAAAACAAAACTAACCAAAGCGTGGTACAAAATGTATAGGGATGTCAATTTTTTAGTTAAAATTATATCCAGCATTTAAGAACACATTTGTCATCCTACAGAAGTAGTCTAAATGTGTAAACATAATGTAATACTTTAAAAACACAGACATGGTATAAATTGCTTAGTAAAAAAAAAAAAGTGACCAAAAGTTTAACATCTGTTAAAATAATTAGTTGTTATTACTTCTTTCTTAGCAGAATTCTCCTTTTTATGTCCCTAATATTCAAGCTAGACCCAGGTTGGGCAGAGGCATAGCAGCCCCTTCATGCTTATTCCTCTTCATCTCCTCTCATTTAAAACCAACAGCCTCACTGCTCTAACCCATCACAAAGAAATCAATAACTTACTGCAGAGCTAGAATTGGCTGCATACCTGCTACATGTCAGGTGGCGTAATAAGACCATTACATACATTTTTTTTTTCATTTAGTCTTCATAATGACTCTAGGAAGATTTCCACATTTCAAAGAGGAAGAAACTGAGTCTTGGTTAGATTTGGTAGTTTACCCAGCTAGAAGTAACAGAGCAGGGAGTGAATTCAGGCAGTCTGACCTGCACCTAGCGCAGCTCCCACCCTGAAATGTGCCTACCTTTCATGTGCAGGGTGGACCCTGTGTTCTCTCTCGGGGGAACTATTGGCAGAGGGATGGAGCCACACACATTAGGTTACAATCTCAGGGAGGGATCGTTTGCTATTGTCTGCCCAAAGCCTAGCTCTGCACCTGGCTTTAGCTAAACTCCAACAAATATTAGTTGCATTAAATTTCAAACAATTGAGTTTATCTTAATTGTTCACAAATACTCTGCCAAATTTCTGTTTTATAAATTGTAGTCTGTAAACATGTTAATCCTCCCTTGAACAGCATAAAGGTGAATGGCCAGGTGGAGGTTTACTGGTCTTTGGCACTGTTTTAACCTGGTTCCCTCCAGAAAGCAGGGAGTCTATTTTGATAAGTGATCTCAGGGAACAGGAGTGGGGAACTGGGGAGAGAGGGCCCCAGAGGAGGAAAACCTGATTCATACATGAGTTCTGGAGTTGGTCAACCTGTGGGCCATGCCACAGGGGCACGATCCCACAAGGACACTGGAGAACCAGGTAGAATGTGCCTCAGAATTGCCCATGTGAAAGAAGAGGAGAGATTTACTCATGGGCTCCAGTCTCCCTGGGGCATTAAAGCACCCTCACTTCCAGGCTACACAGCATGAATGCCAAATGGATTCTATAGGTATCAGAGAAGCCCTGGGCAGAAAAGTGAGAGGTATGAATGCAACTAAGGTCAGGGGCTTTCAGGTTGCACCAGTGGGAAGCAGGTTGCTACAGTACTCACTAGAAAAAGCGGAGGGGTGAGAGGATGTGAGGCTGGTCACAGGAAGTGTCCCATACAGACCCACCTAGGCCACCGTGGTGCTGGGGGCTGGAGGGAGAGGAGAGGGACTGGTGAAAATGTGGGAGGGCACCTGAGGTCCAGCCTAGCTCTATTCCACAGGCCATTTGAAAAGTGCATTTCCTCACTCTCCAATCAACAAATTAGAAGCCTCTTCAGATTAAAAACTCTCCTTTTAAAATGCAAATAAGAGAGAGGCCAAGGTTAATTCAACTGGTCATTCAAATCTGCTGTGAAAGCTTTAATGGGATTGCCTCTTTAAAACCCTAGGAGGCATACTAAGAGCAGGGGTTTGGATGGAAAATGATGGGAGAGGGATAAAGAAAGGTAATGAATGACTGCCCGTATCTGAAAAATGTGAAGCAGCGTGCTTTGTGCCCAAAACACTGGTCACACCATGTAAGGCATGTGTAATGTATCAGTGTAACATGAAGCTGCATTGCTGAAGTGGCAACTCCATGTTAGCATTAAGCCTGTTTTTTGTTGTTGTTTGTTTGTTTACCTCTCTTGTGAGACGTGTAAAAATACACCCACCAAAGAAATGGCAGATGACACATTTTTTACAACTTTAGAGAAGTTTCAGAATTCTCAACCGTGCTTATAATGAGGACTTTCTATTTCCCTGGGAATCATTGGGCTACGCAGGTAATTTGAAGTTTATCAAAAACATTACCTCTTGTTTTAGCAACTTGGTTGTTCAATGTGTCGTGGAGTGCGGGAGGAGGCGGCAACAGGACTTGCGGGAGGAGGGGACAACTGGGTGATGTTTATCTGAAAGGATTCTGCTGGAAGAGCTGTAATCACTGGACATATTAGTGGGAAAACAACTGGCTCCTCCCACTCATAATAATTGTTATAATAACAATCATAGCAAACTCTAATAGTATATGGAATCGGTGCCAGGTACTGTTCTAAGCACTTATATATATAAATTACAGTGGCCTCATTCATCCACAGGAGACAGTCCAAGCCCCTCAGTGGATGCCTGAAACCATGGATAGTATGAAACCCTATATGTTCTGTTTTTTTTTCATACATACATACATACTTATACCTAAGGTTAATTTCTAAATTAGGCACAGTAAGAGATTAACAATAACTAGTAATAAAATAGAACAATTCTGACAATATGCTAGCATCACTACTCTTGCATTTTGGGGACATTATTCAGTAAAATACGGGTGATTTGGACACAAGTACTGTGATACCGTGATGATCAGACAACAGAAACAGCTACTAAGAGACAAACAGGCAGGAAGTGTAGACAGTGTGGATACGCTGGGGCAAAGGAGGATTCATGTCCTGGGTGAGACAGAGGAGGGTGGCATGAGATTTCATCACACTACTCAAAATGGCGGGCAATTTCAAACCTCTGAATCGTTTCTTTCTGGAATTTTCCATTTCATACTTTCTGACCTCAGAAAACTGAAACTGTCCCAAGCAAAATCACAGGTAAGAGGGAACTGCTGTAATTATGAACTAGGTACTATCATTATCTATATTTTATAGGTTAGGAAACTGAGGCAAGGAGACATCAAGGAATTTGTCCAAAGTCACACAGTAAGTAATGGTAGAGCTGTAATTCAAACCCAGGCCACAAGGCTCCAGAGTCCCGCACTTAGGCATTCTGACCATGGAGACTCAGGGAGACCTGTGTGAAGCCTTCATGGCTGAGAAAAGTCAGGGACTAGAAGGTAACCCCCTGGAAACCCATTGAGCCACAGGGTACCTGGGACAGGGGCTGAGGCTGGGGCAAAGCCCTCAGCATCCTGGCATTCATGTTCCCCCAAGGGAAGCCGATCAGAGAAGAATGCTGGGTTCAAATAACTGTGTAAAAGTAAGAACTGGAGGACATGTAAAAACCTGTCTCCTCCTATCTCCCTAGTGCAGAAGTGTAACCCGCGTGGACCCACTGGACTGAACCCAAAGCAGGTGAACGCGGGAATAAAAGACAAGAGATAAAAGAGTATATTTGGAAGAAGGGGTCAGGGGGCACCTTGCCTCTAGTGGACAAGGGCCCTGAGATTTACACAGCCCTCCATATTTATTAGGCAAAAGAGATAGTGAGAAGAGGGTGGAAGAAGGGGTCAGCTGCTCGGTCCAGAGTAGGCTTGCAGGACCGCCTTCTCTACATGTCGCAGTAGATAACCTCTGCAAAGCCAGAGAGTAATTGCCTCCACCAAACCTTCTGTCGGCAGGAGCAATCATGAGTTTGCTCACATCCTGCATTCATAATAAACAGTCTGCTGTTTGATCATATAGCCTCCAGTGGAATGCTGAGTTGGTCATGTTCCATGGGCCCTCGGCTCCCTGCATATCCCCCTTTCTGTTTATGAATTAATTGAAAGAATGTAAGGCCAGGCTGGGCAGCTCTTTCTCCGATTGGCAGTCCATCCGATTTTACAGACTATAAACAGAAGACAGAGACAAAACAACATTATTCCAAGAACTACATATAAGCTGTTAATGTGGTGCCTTAGATAGGTCCAAGGGTTGAGGCTCCCCAGGCCTTGCTGGAATTTGGTCCGGTCTTCTAAAGAAGGCTGAAACTCTGGAGTTTGCCTATTTAAATCAAGAATTTTGTTTTGTTTTATAATTCACCAATATCAAAGGTGATGTTGGATGTGAAAGCTCCCCGCAAATGGGCTTTCACGAGGTCCCATGGATACTCACTTTGGTTATATTCTAAGTTGGCTACACAAATATGGGTGTGATTAAAATGACAACGCAATTGCTGCTGCAAGTGCAAGCTTTGTACTTGTTCCTTTAACCATAGAATCATGGATCATAACGTTGCCACTTCAGTTTGTAACTCAGTGTTAATTTTATTCTGAAGTAGCCATGCTTGGTTAGCTGTATGTGTCCAGTTCTCTTCGTACTGAGCTGTTTAAACAGAACTATGCAAAGCTACAGAAGATTTCACAACAGAAGTTATTAGTGTGGCCAAGGACACAATAGCAAAAATTATCATGCCTAAAGCTTTACGGACACGATGAGTAAGCTGAGTTAGAAGAAGTTTCACACAGTGCAAAGCAGGTGTGGCAGCCCAAGGCTTGGACAGGTTAACAGGAATCCATAGCCCAGGGATGAGTCCTAAAATAATCAAAGTAGAGATATTATGTGTTTGCAATGTGCTATGATTAATGCAGTGATATAACTGGCAAGCTTTACAGGTCAAATGGGTATTGTTTACCTGAAGCTGGTGCTTCTTAGCTGCCCAAAAGACATAAGGATTAAAAACACAAACAGTAAATTGAGTGGTGATATTCTTTACAAATGTAACATTAGAACTGTGTCGCGACTCCAGTCGGCCTTCTCTCTGTCTTAGCACTCAGGCTCAGGTGACTCATGGCTCGTACCAGAGAGACCAGGCCCATGGTTGGCCACCCTGGGTTCCTCCAGTCCCCCATTTCATGGTCGCATGCACCTTGAGGGCACCCACACGGCTTGTCCATCTCCTATAAAAACACAAACATACTCTTGTCCCCATGTCAGTAAATCCACTGGACCTTTCCATTGTCTTTCTTCCAGGGATTTCCATAACACTTTCAGATAAACTTTCCCCTTTTCCTCTAACACTTGCCAATTTCTTTCTGCTGGAGTCTTACCATCTGTACCAGGAGTCAAAAAATTTAAAGTAAATAAGGCTAAGTGTAGTTTTGACTGAGGTGGTAGTTGGCCTCCTATACCCTTTTTGTCTTTTCAGCATGTGTTGTAATGTTTGATGTGCCCACTCTATAATGCCTTGTCCTCTAGGATTATAAGGAATTCCTGTTTTATGGGTTATAGATCAAAGCTGTAAGAAACTTTTAAAAGAATGACTAGTATAAGAAAACTGTAAAATTTTGTCTGGGCCAGGTGCGGTGGCTCACGCCTGTAATCCCAGCACTTTGGGAGGCCGAGGCGGGCAGATCACGAGGTCAGGAGATCGAGATTGTCCTGGCTAACATGGTGAAACCCCGTCTCTACTAAAAATACAAAAAATTAGGCGGGCGTGGTTGCAGGTGCCTGTAGTCCCAGCTACTCGGGAGGCTGAGGCAGGAGAATGGCCTGAATGGCCTGAACCCAGGAGGTGGAGCTTACAGTGAGCCAAGATCACGCCACTGCACTCCAGCCTGGGCAACAGAGGAGCCTCCGTCTCAAAAAAAAAAAAAAATTTGTCTGAGGGATAGTGAAAGCAAAGGTTTTTTAGGCTGTAGCCAGGAGGCCTGCCATTGTTGAACTCAGCTTCTGTTTTACAAGTTGCAACTCTGCCCCTGCCTCTTTGGTTAATTGCTGCGGGGAATTTAAAGAAGAATCTCCTTGCAGGGTTTAACCTGTCTTTCCAGTTATTGATATCAGGTTAGTGTCTCCTTATCCGAATTTTCCCTAAACCTTTTTCACTCTGATATCCCATGTTCTTCAATACTTTAAATCCTGGGTTATCAAAGTTTTCATTTGTAAGTCTCATATCCCATGCTGTAAGTAAGTCTCAACCCCATAAATTGATAGCTATATTTGCAACATAAGGCTGAAAAGTACATGATTGTCCATCTGGACCAAGACAAGGTAAAATCTCAGCACTCTGTTGAACACTTTGAGATGTTCCTACTCCCACTAAGGATGTAGAAGTTAATTGCAAGGGCCAGGATGGGGGCCAATTGTCTTTAGATATTACTGATGCATCAGCTCCCGTATCCATAAGCCCATAAAATTTCTTTCCTTTAATTTGTACTACACAGGTGGGTCTCTTAGAGGCTATGGGTTGGGATAGATAGATTTCCCAAATCCTTTATTTCCTCATTTCTCCTTTCGTGGAGAAGGGTGTAATTTGCAGGGAATAAGCAGTAATTGAGCAATATATTCTCCCAGTTCAAAAACCCAAAGATCTTGTGACATTAAAACTACTTCAATTTCTCCTTCATAATCGGAGTCAATCACTCTTGGAACTACAGTGATGCCTTGCAGGTTAAGACGGCTTTTGCCTAAAATTAGTCCCATATATCCTGCTGGTAAAGGTCTCCAAATGCCAGTGGGAATCTTGGTGGGTTTGTCTCCCCCAACTAATATAACCCTTTCTCTGGCTGGGAGATCTAATCCTGCACTTCCTGGTGTTCCTGGGGTGAGGGAATCAATGTGCCTCCAGGAAACCATGCCTGAAATGGGATTGAGATCTGGACTGGGAATGCCCTCACTGTTTCTGGGGCCTGGGTCCAGGCCCGCATCTCGTTTCCCAGTGTGGGGTGGGGAGGTGCCATTCTGATGAAATTTTGAGCAGCACTGATTAGCCCAGTGATTTTCCTTGTTATAGCAAGGACAAAGTCCTGGTGTTTTTTCCACTGGGTGGGCCTCTGCCTTGTAAGGTCCTTTCTGTCCTGAGATCTGGAGGCATTCCTTTTTAAAATGTTCAGTTTTTCCACAAGTATAACGTTTTCCCATTGTAGGGTTTGACCCTTGGCTCCTTTTAGATTTGTCAACAGCTAAATTAGCCATTGCTTCAGCTAACATTGAAGAGTGATGATGTCAGGTCCTACATCCTGACAAGCTCTGAGAAAATTTCCCAAATTCTTTGTACACCTCACTGGAGCCAGTGCACATTAACAATCCATGTTTGCATTCTCAAAAGCTAGAGTTAAGGTCAGCATTTCTGCAGCCGCGGTATGAGGAATCTGATGCTTCACTGCCTCTTGTAATCTTGCAAGAAATTGTGTATAGGCTTCCTGCAACCCTTGCATGATATGTAAAAAGGATTGTACTGGGAATTCCTCTTCAGCAATTGTGGCCCAGGTGCATTTAGCAGCCTGTGCACACTGCTGATAAGCAGTGTCTGGGAGTGCCATTTGATGTCCCAGGTCTGAATAAGGGCCATTACCTATCAGCATATACTCTGTAATGTCTGCATGTCCAGCAACATGATTCTGTTTAGCCTGGTCTGCACACATTTCTTGCCAATTTAATTCCATGTCAGATATGCACTAGTGGACAAGCAAGTTCACTCCAAGTGTTTCACATCAAAGGGTAAAAGCCGCATAGCACCAAATACAGATTCTAGCAATCCTAATGTGAATGGGCTCTGTATGCCATTATTTACCACACTCGCTTTTAATTCCTTCAACAACTTGAACTCTAGTGGAGTGTGTTCTTGAACAAGCTGCTGTGGATTATTTGGATCAGGCCTTAGGGAAATAGGAAAAGTGCAAGGTCCTAAGGGCTCTCCAGCTATGGCAGCAGAGTATAAAATTCTTTGTATTGGGGTCTCAATTTCTGCTACTGAAGGAGGTGGTACAGATGTTTCTGCAACTGGAGGAGGCGGTATAGACCAATTTTTATCCTCCCTCTCCTGTTTTTTATTTTCAGTTGGAGCTGTGGGTGGGACAACAGATTCTTTCAGATTTTTAGATTCAGCCTGCTGTCCCACAGAATAATAAGGAGATAATGGCAGAAGTACAGTACAAACTAAACTCTAAGTGGAAAAAACTGAAGAATCAACTTTAAAACCTTTTGATGAGCCTGTTTTAATACTTCTCCTGCTCTATCCCAATTTTCCACATCAAGAGTGCCTGCCTGCAGAAAACATGGGTTATGTGTAATAACTTTCTGTGGCTTCTGCAGGAGGTTAGTTAGTGTCTGCGAATTAACCTGAGCTCCAGACTGTCTCAACAGAACTTTAAGCAACTGCACATAATGTTTGTCTTCAATAGACAAATTCTTCCCCTTGTTACCCTGACTCAGAAAGCTTCCTGTTCCCAGTACCTCCTTAAAGCACTGCTCCCAGGACCTCTTTAGGGCACTGATCAGTACCTCTTCAGGGCATTCACCTTATATCCACTGCTGGCAGACTCGTCCTGGGGTTACAGTTCACCTTGTCAATTTCAGTTCTTCTGCTCCAGCAGACCTTCTTTGTTCATGTCCTTGAAGTCCCGTATTTGGACTGTCCCTGTTCAGATGCCAGTATGTAACTCACACAGACCTACTGGACTGAACAAACTGGGTGAACGCGGGAATAAAAGACAAGAGACAAAAGAGTATATTTGGAAGAAGGGGTCAGGGGCACCTTGCCTCTAGTGGACAAGAGCCCTGAGCTTTACACAGCCCTTCATATTTATTAGGGAAAAGAGATGGTGAGAAGGGGGCAGAAGAAGGGGTCAGCTGCTCAGTCCAGAGTAGGCTTGCAGGACTGCCTTCTCTAGATGTCTCAGTAGATAACTTCAGTGCCAGGGGGTGATTGCCTCCACCAAACCTTCTGTCAGCAGGAGCAGTTGTGAGTTTGCTCACATCCTGCATTCA